>NC_000007.14:43876605-44179635 GCF_000001405.40 Homo sapiens | reverse complement strand
CACTGGGGTGACTGACCTTGGCCTTCTGTTCATCCTTTCTAGCCCCTAAGAATCCAACACTCTATTAGCCTTCTCCTTAGACCCCTATAAGCTAATCCCTTCTAGTTGTTAGTCTGACCTTGGTGCCCAATATGATAATTATTCCCACTTTGCTTCTGATATGCTTCTAAGTGCTGCCCCTGGTCTCTGCCCTTAAGTGATCTATCATCCCCACTGCCATTAGGGGGAGAAGCTCTGAAAAAGAGTTGTCTCCCATCAACTCTGGTCTACAAAGGACAGCCCTACTGAGCCTCAGCCATGTGCCCGACACCAGCAGATTCTTTACAGCCTGGGAAGCAGAGTGTCTTCCCTGCCTTTCCAGGGAACATAGCCAGCTTACAGGCTTTTTGATCTTATAGAGTAGGTCAGTTATATTTTGCCCCATTTCTTTTATCCTTTTGATCACTTCCTCTTGGCCCACCATGTAAACTCAAGCATCCCTGCTTCATTTAATCGAGCTGTTGCTTTTTCTAAGCTACCAAGAGCAACCCCAGCAATATATCAGAGCCCTCTCTTGGGACCCTTGCTAGGGTGTTAAATCCTGCATCATAGGAGAATGCCCCCACATCAGCAAAGTCCCCTTATCCTCTTGATATCCCACCTGCCCCAGTCCAGCACCTTCAGGATCTGGTCTCAATCACAGGATCCAGCACCTTTGGGACTGTTGCAAGCATAAGATCCAGCACTTTTGGGATCTAGTCTCCCACTTCCTGCTAGTACTTGTTAGCCAAAGACTGAGTTCCTTTGGCATACAATTTTTTTCTTCTTCCTTGACAGGTCCAAGTTGGGCCATGCTGAGATTTGACCCTCCTTGTGGCCAGGAGGGGAGGTAGGGGCCGATCCTGAGGAAGGCACTCATTTTCTCCTGGGGCACTTGTCTCTTTCAGACATCTGCATACTTTTCAAGAGAGAAAAGGCCTCCTTCTCACAGCAAGACTACTTCTGTAGATGCAGGTGGCTCGTGGGAATCTGGCAATTCAAAATTCTCAAGTGTACTCACTAGCACATTAGAAAACCAGTAGTACACATCTCTTTCCAAATCTTCATTCAGTGACACTATGTCAGTAGCTGGAAATGGGCCATGGTGGGTGTATTTAAACCATGAAAATCAGAAAATGCTACAAACCAGGGCATCCCGCATCTCTAGACAGCAGATTGTTGGCCATTTCCCAGCATACCATTGTGTATACTCCTTCCCATCAGGGCCGTGGCTTGCCTTGGTGGAGGACTCAGCCCTTGCTGAAGTTCTGCTACTGCTCTTACAATTGAGTCCTATGCCTGGTCTCCAGCTCTGCCTGCCTCACTACAGGAGACAAGCATCTCTTTGAACACTGCCGAGAAGACCCTCTGGCTCTCAGGCTTGGCTTTAAATCGATAGACCTGAGCCTGCCATTTTCTCTTTTCCATGCATCACTCCACTGATCCACAGGTCTCAGTGGCATAGTCCTTCGGGTTAGCATCTCCCCCACACCCTCGGTGCCAGAGACACTGAGTAAGAAAGTACCTCCCTGTCTACCCCCATCCCCGCTCCCCACAGGCAGGGCCTTGGCGATCCACTGCTGCAATGTGCCAGAGACTGTCAGTACTCCTACCACCAGTGAGGTGGCAACCAGCTGGGAAGTGATCCAACTCCAGAGTCCCGCCCTCATAGGCTGATTTCTAGGACCACCCCTGGTATACTGTGTTAGGTTCTTGAAGCAGAGCCTGAGATAAGGATTCTGGCACCTGTGATTGAGTGGGAGGGTGCTCTCAGGATGAGATGGGGTAGAAATAGGCAAAGGTACAGATTCAGCAGCAGTTGAGCCTCAGTCTGACCCAGCAGGGAGCTCTCAAATGTGAATGACATCACAGAGTTGTCCCTCTGAGGCAGGGGCCAGCCTTTGTGCTCCTACATGAGTCAGTCACTGGCTGGAGGCCCCTGGGGAAAGGCTAGGGCTGCCAGCTTTAGCAAATAAAAAATTAGGGCACTCAGTTAAATTGAATTTCAGATAAACAACAAATTATTTTTTAGTATATGTCCCAAATTGTGCATAACATAATGTGTTTTCTCCGCCAGCCCTGGGAAGGGCGTAACTTCCCAGGTATTTCTAGGTGAAGTAACTTTGTAGATCAGGAGTAAGTCCCAGGAAAGAAGTCCAGCTCTTCTCTTCAGCCCTGGGCAGCTGGGGGTAGGCACAGGGGCCCAGCAGGCACCCATAGCATCTCCTACAGCATCTGAAATGAACAGGGTCATCACGTACTACATACAAATGTACCCACTGCTGAGTTCTTCAGGGATTATATCATTAGGTACTTGGTATTTTAAATACATTACATTATGCAGAAGTCCTTTGTGGATTGCTATATTTGGAGAGTTTTGTGATATTGGGGGGATTAGATGGAGTTTTCAGATGGGCATCATACGGTTTTTCATTTAAAACCCTAGAGTATTGTAATCCTAGGGAGTGATCCTGCGATTAGTAAATTAGCTCTCCAATAGATTTTCAATGTGGTTGCAAAGGACATGCATGTGGTTCACCCTCCCAGGAAATCCAGAAGGGCAGCATTGGCCTGAGTGGCCTGAGTTTGGCTGGTTGGGCTGGTAATGCTGGACAAAGACAATGGGTGGAATGGTTTGCTTCCCTCAGTCCTTTCAGACACAGCCCAGCCCACCACGTCAAGCCAGTGGGTGCATCTGCAACCAATCCCCATGAGAACTGCAGCCTCTCAGAGGTGGGCAAGTTGGCCCGGGTGGGTCAGGAGGATCAGATGTTGAGGAAATCTTTGGATTGGAGGCAGGCAGAGCAGGGAAGCATCGGGTGATTCTATGACAGACCCAGGGCTCCAAGCTGCAGTTCAGGAGGGGCACTGGCACGGCCTCTGCTCAACTCCCCCTTGAGTGACATCAGGTGAAGTGCCGACAACACAGAAGGCAGCAAATGCTGCCAGTCAGGTCTGCTTCCCAGGACAGCCAGTTGCTAACCCTTCTCCAGCACAGCACTGGATTTTGGTCACCTGGCTGGGAGCTCCACCTCCCCAGCTGCTGCCTCACCTGCTTTTCCAAACCCCACCCTGTAAACGGTAACTACATTTTGTGCCCACTACGCCTCGTTTCCATCTCTTTGGAGCACCTCTCACGTGGAGCTGAACAGAACGACCTGTTAAGCCCACCGTGTCTGTTAGGGTTGTCTAGGCTGTATCAGATACCCAACTAAAACTGGATTCACCAACAGGTATTGTCAAAGCACATAAGAAAGAGTCCAGAGGCAGGCAGCTCTCAGCCTGGTGTCAGGCTCTGGGTCAGCTTTCCAGATTCTCTTAACCTTCCCCACATCTGCCAGATGCCGCCACAGGCACAGGAGGTACAAACAAACCCAAAAATGTTCTGGAAACAAGAAGGGAAGGGGATCCCCACCATATCTCCCCAGAGGCCTTCCTTCTCACATCTCACTGTACTGAAGCCAGCTCTAGCAGAAGACAGCAGGGTGAATTTGTCCAGGGTATTCAGCCCCCAGTGCTGGGTCCATTACTACTTGACCCCTGAATAAAACAGAGGTTCCATGAGCAAGAAGGAAGGGGAACTGGATGTTAGAGGGCAAGAATGTATCCATCCCACCCCTAGGAGCACGCATGGACAACTGCCCCATTTTTGCTCCTATTGCAGCCCAGGGGCTAGCCCAGAGACCTTGCCAGTGCTGAGTCACAAGATGCTGGGAAAGTGAGACCAGAGCCTGGTCTTGGGGAACAGCTCAAGGCCGCATTGGTCTGCAGGTCATAGAGCAGCTGCTGAGCAGTGAGAGCCCACGATGGGCCAGGCCCTGGGTCTTGGAGACCTGAATGAGATAGACTGGGTTCCTGTTCTCCTGGGCATTGCCTCTTAGAGGGCAAAGACAATTAACAATAAACAAATAGAACATGAAGTGTTTTCCGATAGTGACTGATATACTTTGGATATTTGTCCTCTCCAAATCTCATGTTGAAATGTAATTCCTTATGTTGGAGGTGGGGCCTGGAAGGAGGTGTCTGGGTCATGGGGGCAGATCCCTCATGAATGGTTTAGTGCCATCCCCTTGGTGATGAGTGAGTTCACGTGAGAGCTGGTTGTTTGAAAGAGCCTGGCCCCCTCTCATTCTCCTGCTCCCACTCTTGCATGAGACACCTGCTCCCCCTTCTCCTTCTGCCATGATTTTAAGATTCCAGGGACTTCACAAGAAGCAAATGCTAACGCCATGCTTCTTGTTCTGTCTGCAAAACTGTAAGCCAATTAAACCTCTTTTCTTTGTAATTTATCCAGTCTTGGGTATTTCTTTATAACAGCACAAGAACAGCCTAATACAGTGATGCTCTCCAAGTGACCTTTGGGCTGAGACCTGAAGAAGAAGGGGAAGCAGTTAGGTCTGATAGCTCATGCCTGTAATCCCAGCTCTTTAGGAGGCTGAAGTGGGAGGACTGCTTGAGCCTAGGAGTTGAAGACCAGCTTGGAAAACATAGCAAGACCCTGGCTCTACAAAAATATTTTTTAATTGGCCAGGTGTGGTGGTGCACACCTGTAGTCCCACCTACTTGGAAGGCTGAGGCAGGAGCATCTCTTGAGCCCAGGAGGTTGAGACTGCAGTGAGTCATGTTCACACCACTGCACTCCAGCTTGGGTGACAGAGCAAGACCTGTCTCGAAAAAGAAGAAAGAAGAAAGTAGGAAGAAGAAGAAGAAGAAGAAGAAGAAGAAGAAGAAGAAGAAGAAGAAGAAGAAGAAGAAGAAGAAGAGGAAGAGGAACAAGAACAAGAAGAAGAACAAGAAGAACAAGAAGAAGAACAAGGAGAACAAGAAGAAGAATAAGAAGAAGAAGGAGAAGAAGAAGAAGGAGAGGAAGAAGAAGAAGAGGAAGAGGAGGAAGAGGAGGAGGAGGAAGATGAGGAGGAGGAAGCAGAAGCAGAAGAAAAAGAAAGAAAAGAAAGAAAGAGAAAGAAAGAAAAGGGAAGGAGGGAAGGAAGGAAGGAAGGAAAAAGGGAAGGAAAGGGAAGGAGAGGGAGAGGGAGAAGGAAGAACAAAGAAGAAAGAAGGAGAAGCAGAGGCTTGTGCTGGATAGCCTTGCTTTTGCCAATGACCTTGCTGATTTTCAGGGGGTCCTGGTGTCTTAGTCCATTTGTGTTGCTGTAAAGGCATACCTGAGGCTGGATAATTTACAGAGAAAAGAGGTTTATTTGGCTGAGAGTTCTGCAGGCTCTACAAGAAGCATGGCACCAATGCCTACTTCTGATGAGGGCCTCAGTCTGCTTCCACTCATGGCAGAAGGTGAAGCAGAGCCTGCATGTGCAGATATCACATGGTGAGAGAGGAAGCACGAGGGGGCAGGGAGGTGCCAGCCTCTTCCTAATAGTAAGCTGTCTTGAGAACTAATAGAGTAAGAAATAACTCACACCCTGCCCCCAAGGAAGGGCATTAATCTATTCATGAAGTATCTGCCCCCATGACCCAAACATCTCCCATTAGGCCCCCCACCTCCAACATTGAGGATCAAATTTCAACATGAGGTTCCGGTGGGCAAACATCCAGCTATAATACTGGGCAATGCTGACCAGACTCTTCCCCTCTCAGGCCCAGAGCTCCTTGGCCCTGTAACAACAGAAAATTGCGTTTGAGTGTCAAGATTTTTCCTTTAGTCCCCATGCAGCTCCTTAGAATGAGGTGGCATCTTCTCCCTTTTCATAGGTGAAGAAACAGAAGCTCTGGAGGAACGAATCATTCATCCAAGGTCAGGTAGCTAGTAAGCGTCCCACCAGCTCCCCAGATCTCCTGTTTCCTGTCCCAAGTCCCACTGAGTGAGCTGGAACAATGGCTTCACTGGCACCTGCCGGGAATGGTGGCAGGTGCCTATAATCCCAGCTACTCGGGAGGCTGAGGCATGAGAATCACTTGAACCCGGGAGGCAGAGGTTGCAGCGAGCCAAGATCACACCACTGCACTCCAGCCTGGATAACAAACGGAGATTCCATTTAAAAAAATTAACATATAATATACATACAGTAACATTCACTTTTTAAGTGTACAGTTTGATGAGTTTTATCAAATGTATATGGTTATATAACCACCATCACCATTAAGGCAGAATCTTCCCATCACTCAAATAATTCCCTCAGCCCCACCTCTTGCTGTCAATCACTTCTCCCACCCTAGCCACTGGAAATCATTCATCTGTTTTCTGTCCCCTTGGTTTTGCCTTTTCTAGAATGTTCTATACATGAGACCACTGAGAATATAGTCTTCTGTGTCTGGCTTCTTTCACTTAACATAATGCCTAGCTCAGCAGTGTGTCAATCCTCCCTCCCTTGCCATTGCTGAGCAGTGAGTATTCCACTGTATGGCTGTGCTACGGTGTGTTCATCCATTTATTCATTCACCAGCTAATGGGCATTTGGATTGTTTCCAGGCTTTGGCTATGATGAGTGAAGCTGCTGTGAATGTTCAAGTACAAGTCTTTGTGTAGACAGGGGTTTTCAATTGGCGGGATAAATACCTAGGAGTAGTATCGTGTGGTTAAGCGTACGTTTAAACTTAGAAAAACTGTCAAACTGTTTTCCAATGTGGCCTGTACCATGTTGCATTTCCATCAGCAGTGTTTGAGAATTCCAATTGCTCCACATCCTCCTCCCGACACTTGGTTTCACCCATCTTTTAAATATTAGCCACTCTGGTGACTGTGTAGTGATATGTCAGTGTGGTTGTAATTTGCATTTCTATGATTGACTAATAATAATGTTGCAGATATTTCTGTATGCTTAGTGGGCATTTTTGGTGAGTTTTTAAAAATTGGGTTGTTGTCACCGTCTTATTGAGTTGGAAGAATTCTTTATATGTTCTGGATGTTTATTCATGTGTGTGTCTGCTAAGAGGTGAGACTGGTTCTACCCTGGTCCTAACAAGCACCCTGGGCCTGCATCCCTTTTTGTGTCTGTGAGCTGGGTCTGCAGCCCTCTCCTCCCACTACCTACTGCCCAGCAGTACCCCTCACCCATCACTGTGGCTCCTGCAATGACATCTCAGCCTGTCTCTCCCTCCCTCCAGCTAGCCAGAGGCAGGATGGCTCAGTGACACAGGGTGGGCCCTGAAGACAGAGTGCCAGGGTTTGGACCTTGTATTAGCAAGAGTCACAAGGGAAACTTACTTTATCTCTCCATAGCTCTGTTGTGAGGATCCAATAAATTAATCCATAGAAGAGCTTAGGACAGCACCTGGCACAAAGTATACATGAGCTATTATGATGTTATTCTTCCAACCCATTGTTTCTGTGTTGTCATAAACATGAATGCAGGACTCAGTGTCCCAGCTCTGTGTCCCTCGCATACATTCCCTAACAGCCCACAGGTCTTGCCTGTCACCGCCTCATTCAATAAGTGATGACTCTGCCTCTTCCTTGGCTGGGGCCTTGCATTGGACATTTCTGTATCCATATTTGTTTTTTAAAAACTAGCTGTTGGCCGGGCGCGGTGGCTCACATCTCTAATCCCAGCACTTGGGAGGCAGAGACAGGTGGATCATGAGGTCAGGAGTTCAAGGCCAGCCTGGCCAACATGGTGAAACCCCATCTGTACAAAAAATACGAAAATTAGCTGGGCGTGGTGGCATGCACCTGTAATCCCAGCTACTTGGGAGGCTGAAGCAGGAGAATCGCTTGAACCTGGGAGGCAGAGGTTGTAGTGAGCCAATATAGCGCCACTGCACTCCAGCCTGGGCAACACAGCAAAACTCCATCTCAAAAAAAAAAAAAACAAAAAACAACCTAGCTGGACTTGACACTCTTGTTAGAGGAAGATTTTTCCACATCTGTTAACTTTTCTTCTATTGTTATCCATCTGTGCAGGTTTTTCTGTCCTCCTGAGTCATTTTGATAATTTATATTATATTTTGAAAATCATCCATTTCCTATAGTTGTTTATTAGTGTCTTCTCTGTTATATTTGATCAGATTACCAAATCTTGCTCATTGATTGCCCATTTATTTTATTGTGTTTATTTTTTTGAGACAGGGTCTCACTCGACAGCCCAGGCTGAAGTGCAGTGGTGCAATCATGGCTCACTGCAGCCTTGACCTCCTGGGCTCAAGCAATTCTCCCACCTCAGCCTCCTGAGTAGCTGGGACCTCAGGCACACGCCACCACAGCTGGCTAATATTTTATTTATTTATTTATTTATTTATTTTTGTAGAGATGGGGTCTCACTATGTTGCCCAGGCTGGTTTCAAACTCCTTGGTTCAAGTGATCCTCCTGCCTCAGCTTCCCAAAGTACTGGGATTACAGGAGTGAGCCACCATGCCCAGCCCCTATTTACTTTATAGTAAGTGCCTTCATGGGCATAAATGTTCCTCTGAGACAGCTTTGGCTATTAGCCATACTTTTAATATTTTGTACATTCATGGTTATTCATTTATAAATGGTCTGTAATGCAATGCAGATTTCCCCTTTGGCCCAAATGCCATTTACAGCAGCACTTTTCTCTTTCTGAGCAGACAGAATATTTTGGTTTCCCCTCTGTTGTTTATTTCTCGTCTGCCTCGCCTCATTTGCTAGGTGTTCCCTTGGTGTGCCTTAAGTATGAGCCACTCAAATATTTGTGTTTCTCTAAACACCCCTGACACTGTCCTGCTGGTTTCTCTATCTGGAATATCCTTCCCTTCTTGGCCAGTTCCCCCTAGTGCATCAAAGAAATCCTGCTCTTTTGCCTTCAGAAAACAAAACAAAACGAAACCTATCAGTCTCCTTATGTCCCCAAAGACATAGCTTTGCTGGTATCTGGTTGTATTGAGCTGTTCATTTGTCTCTTCTGCTAGATGGTAAGCTCCTTGGAAACTAAAAACTAATCACTTTTCTAACTTCAGACTGAGCACAAATTAGGTTCTCAAGAAACATTGAATAATGAGTGATCCGGTATCCCCTTCCAACATATTTTTGGTCATTGATACCATCATTCTGAGTAGTTACTAGGGAACACTTCACTGCAGTAACCAATACAGCAAAACGTGAAATACAGTTACATAGTAGAATTGTATTTCTTGCCCATATAATAGTCAAGTGCAGTTCTTCATCAGCTGGGAGGTTCTCCTCCACACAGTCATTTAGGAATCCAGGGAACATAGCAGAGGTTGCTAGCTCTAGACCCAAACCCATGTCCTCTTTGTCCACAGTGAGGACAATGCCAGCAACAGCTGGCCAGCTGTTCTGTAGTTCTCAGCCTCCCTCGCAGTGAGATGTCTCCATGCAATTTCAGTGGAGCAACATATACCATTTCCATTTCCAGGTGTAGGCTCCTAAGAAGAGGGTGGCTTCTTCATGTTCTTTCTCACCTTTCCGTAGGCTAGCTGCAGATAATGATGAGGCTTTAGGGAGTGGGTGGAGCCATAAAGTAGAAGCCTGGATTCCTAAATGACGGTGTGAAGTGTTCCCTAATTTCACGTAATTGTTTCTTAATTTCCTGTTTGGGTTATTTGTTGCTAAGGTATAAAAAAACCCTGATTTTTGTGTGTTGATATTTGTGTGCTGCAACTTTGCTGAATTAGCTTATTAGCTCAATTTGATCTCAGATATTAGCTCAAATATTTTGGGAGATTATTTATGGTTATCTACATAAGATCATGTCATCTGAAATAAAGATAGTTCTATTTCCTTCTTTCTATCTTAGTCCATTTGGGCTGCTGTAACAAAATGCCATAAATTGGAGGCTGAGAAGTCCAAGATCAAGGCCCAAGCTAATTCACTGTCTGATGAAGGCCTGCTTTCTGGTTCATACATGGCACCTTCTAGCTGTGTCCTCACATGGTGGAAAAGGCAAGGTAGCTCTCTGGGATTCCTTTTTGTTTGTTTGTTTGTTTTGTTGTTTTTGTTTGATTTTTTGAGACAGAGTCTCACTCTGTCACCAGGCTGGAGTGCAGTGGCACAATCTCGGCTCATTGCAACCTCTGACTCCCTGGTTCAAACGATTCTCCTGCCTCAGCCTCCTGAGTAGCTGGGATTACAGGTACCCATCACCATGTCCAGCTACTTTTTGTATTTTTAGTAGAGACAGGGTTTCACCATGTTGGCCAGGATGGTCTCGATCTCTTGACCTCGTGATCTGCCCACCTTGGCCTCCCAAAGTGCTGGGATTACAGGCATGAGCCACCGTGCCTGTCCTCCGGTATTCTTTTTATAAGGGCTCTTTTTCTTTTTATGTGGGCTCTACCCTCATGACCTAGCACCTTCTAAGGCCCCACCTCTTAATATCATCACACAGCAGATTTAATATATGAATTTTGAGGGGACACATTCTTTCCATAGCACTTTCCAGTATGGATACCTTTTATTTATTTTTCTTCCCTAATTGCTTTGGTTAGAAATGTCTTCCCTAATTGCTCCACTACTATGTTGAAAAGAAGTGGCAAAAGTGGGTATTCTTGTCTTGCTCCTCTCTTAGGAAGAAAGTTTAAGTCTTTTGCCATTAAATATGACGTTAGCTATGGGGTTTTCATATATGACATTTATCATGTTGAGGAAATTTTCTTCTTGTTTCAATGATGACAGGGTGTTGAGTTTTGTCAGATGCTTTTTCTGCATCAATCAATATGACCATGTAGTTTCTTTGTTTTATTCCATTATTGTAGTACATTACATTAATTTTTGCATGTTGAACTATTCTTGTGTTCCTGGGATAAATTTCACTTGGTTATGGTGTATAATCCATAACCATAACCTGAAGATATGCTGAAGAGGCTAAGTGCCATGGCTCATGCCTGTAATTCCAACACTTTGGGAGGCTGGTGTGGGAGGATCACCTGAAATCAGGAGTTTTAGAAGAGCCTGGGCAAGTAAACAAGATCCCATCTCTACAAAAAATTGAAAATTACCGCTGGGCATGGTGGCTCACGCCTGTAATCCCAGCACTTTGGGTGGCCGAGGCAGGCAGATCACCTGAGGTCGGGAGTTCTAGACCAGCCTGACCAACATAGAAAAACCCCGTCTCTACTGAAAATACAGAATTAGCCAGGCGTGGTGGCACATGCCTGTAATCCCAGCTACTCAGGAGGCTGAGGCAGGAAAATCACTTGAACCTGGGAGACGGAGGTTGCAGCGAGCCAAGATCATGCCATTGCACTCCAGCCTGGGCAACAAGAGCAAATCTCCGTCTCAAAAAAAAAAAAAAGAAAAGAAAGAAAGAAAGAAAAGAAAAGAAAGAAAATTAGCTTGATGTGGTGGTTGTGCACCTTTAGTCCTAGCTACTCAGGAGGCTGAGGCAGGAGGATTGTTTGAGCCCAGGAGGTTGAGGCTGCAGTGAGCCATGATTGCACCACTGCACTCCAGCCTGAGCAACAAAGTAAGACCTCATCACTAAAAACAAATTTTTTAATACTGAAGAATTTTATTTGCTGGTATTTTGTTGAGGATTTTGCATCTATATTCACAAGAAATATTACTCTGTAGTTTTTCTTCTTGTAGTATCTTTGTCTGGTTTCAGTATCAAGGCAATGCTGGCCTCATGAGATCAATCAGGAAGTGTTACTTCCTCTTTTATTTTTTGGAAGAATTTGAGAGAATTGGTGTTAATTCTTCTTTAAATGGTTGGTAGAATTACCAGTGTAGACATCTGGTCCTGGGATTTTCTTTGTTGGGAGGTTTTTTAGTACTAATTCCATTTCCTTACTTGTTATTAGTCTAATGAGATTTTCTGTTTCTTCTTGAGCTAGTTGTAGTAGCTCATGTGTGGAATTTTTCTATTTCATCTAAGTTATCCAAGTTTACCTAAGTTAAAGTTCCATTTTATCTAACTTGGGTAAGCCAACAAACAATACTAAATTGTTCATAGTATTCTCTCATAGTCCTTTTTTTCTCTAAAGTCAGTAATAACGTTCACTCTTTCATTTTTTCATTCCTGATTTTAATAATCTGAGTTCTTTCTCTCCCCCTCCCTGCAATTGAGAGTCATTTAAAAGTGTCTTGATTAAATTTTATATATCTGTGAGTTTTCCAGTTTTCCCTCTGTTATTCTCTTCTAGTTTTATTTCATGTGATCCAAAAAGATACTTTATATGATTTCAATTTTTTTACATTTACTAAGACTTGTTTTGTGACTAAAATATCCTTGAGAATTTCCATGCACATTTGAGAAAAATGCACATTCTGCTGTTGTTGGACAGAGTGTTCTGTATATGTCTGTTAGGTCTAATTGGTTTAGAGTATTGTTCTAGTCCTCTCTTTCCTTATTGATCTTCTGTCTAGTTGTTTAATCCATTATTCAAAGTAGTGGCCGGGCACGGTGGCTCACACCTGTAATCCCAGCACTTTGGGAGGCCGAGGAGGGTGGATCACAATGTCAGGAGGTTGAGACCAGCCTGGCCAACATGGTGAAACTCCGTCTCTACTGAAAATACAAAAAATTTGCTGGACATGGTGGCACACGCCTGTAATCCCAGCTACTCAGGAGGCCAAGGCAGGAGAATCACTTGAACCCAGGAGGCAGAAGTTGCAGTGAGCTGAGATCGCACCATTGCACTGCAGCCTGGGCAACAGAGCAAGACTCTGTCTCGAGAAACAACAAAAACAAAAACAAAAAACAAAGTAGTGTACTAAAGTCTCCAACTACTATTGTAGAACTCTATTTCTCCCTTCAATGTTGCAAAATTTTGTTTCATGTATTTTGGTGTTCTGTTCTTTATAATTTTTATATCTTCTTAATGGATGAAAACTTTTATCAACATATAATGTTCTTTGTCTCTTGAGACTTTTTTTTTTAACTTAAAATCTATTTGGGCTGATAATACAGCCACCACAACTCTCATATTGGTTGTTATTTTCATAGAATATCTTCTTCCATCCTTCTACTTTAAAATTCTTCTATCTTTATATCTAAAGTGAGCCTCTTGTAGATAGCATATAGGTGGATAATGTTCTCTTTATTCACTCTGCCAATATCTGCCTTTTAACTGGAGTTTAATCTATTTATATATAAAATAATTACTGATTAGGAAGGACTTACTTCTACCACTCAGCTATTTTTTTTCTGTGTGTCTTATACATTTTTAAGTTTCTCAATTCCTCCATTACTGGATTTTTTTTTTTACTTCTTGATTTTGTGTCTGTGTTGTTACATTTTGATTATTTTCTCCTTTTGATAGCGGCAGGAGGCAGCCAAATGCCTGGCAGATAGAAGCTTGTCCCCCATGAAACCCCACCTTCAAGCCAAAAAATAGCCTGAAGGCTGAAAGACCGGACTGCTGGTCCCAGATGAAACCCATGATCCAGAGTGAGAACTTCCATTCCTGTTTGCCTGCCCTCTAAATAATCCCTTTTAACCAATCGAATGTTGCCTTTTCCAATACTACCTATGGCCTGCCCCTCCCCCATTCTGAGCCCATAAAAGCCCTGGAATCAGCCACATTGGGGGCACTTTGCCAACTTCAGGTAGGGGGACCACCTCTGTATCCCTTCTCTGCTGAAAGCTGTTTTCATCACTCAATGAAACTCTCACCTTGCTCCCTCTTTGATTGTCAGCGTATCCTCATTTTTCTTGGGTGTGGTACAAGAACTCGGGAACCAGTGCACAAGCCAGACTTGGTCTGGGCAGCACGGGTTAGTGGGCCATCTCCCACAGCAGGTAGCATGGCCAAGTGAGGCCTGGGCAGGGCATCACCAAGGTCCCTGGCTTGCAAAGTGACCAAGGAAAAAATCCTGTGTCACTTTCCTTTTCTCATATTTTTTAGTTATTTTCCTAATGATTGCCTTGAGGATGGCAATTAACATCTTACACTTATAAGAAGCTAGTTTGAATAATAGTTCCAATAGTACATGAACACTCTACTCCTATATATCTCCATCCTTCTTCCTTTATATTGTTATTCCCACAAATTATGTTTTTATACATTATATCCTCACTAACATAAACTTATTATTATTTTCTGCATTTGCCTTTTAAATCATACAGGAAAACAAGAATCACAAAGAAAAACTACATTAATATTTGCTGTTATATTTACCTATATAGTGACATTTAACAGTGTATTTTTATGTCTTCAGATGTCTTTGAATTACTACTTAGTGTCTTTTCATTTTAGCCTCAATGTTTCCCTTTAGCATTTCCTATAGGGCAGGCCTGCCGGTAATTAATTCCCTTTGGTTTTCTTTATCTGAAATGTCTAATTTCTTTTTTATTCTTGAAGAATAGTTTTGCTGGCTATAAGATTCTTAGTTAATAGTTTTTTTCCCAGCACTTCAATTATTATTAAAGTGTTATTATTATTATTATTATTATTTTGAGATGGAGTCTCCCTCTGTCACTCAGGCTGGAGTGCAGTGGCGCAATCTCTGCTCACTGCAACCTCCGCCTCCCAGGTTCAAGCAATTCTCCTGCCTCAGCCTCCCGAGTTAGCTGGGATTACAGGTGCCCGCCACCATGCCCAGCTAATTTTTGTATTTTTAGTAGAGACGGGGTTTCACCATGTTGGTCAGGCTGATCTTGAACTCCTGACCTCAAGTGATACACCCACCTTGGCCTCCCAAAGTGCTGGGATTAGAGGCATGAGCCACCATGCCTGGTCTAAAGTGTAATTATTATTACAGCTGCCATTTGGCCTCCTTGGTTTCTAATGAGAAATCATCTGTTAAACTTATTGCAAATCCTTGGTATGTATGCTATGTGTCATTTCTCTCTTGCTGCTTCCAAGATTCTCTCTCTGTCTTTGTCTTTTGACAATTTGACTATAATGTGTTTCAGTGTGAATTTCTTAGAGTTTATCCCACTTGGATTTCATTGAGCTTCTTGGATGTGTACGTTTGTCTTTCACCAAATCTGGGAAATTATTTCACCATTTCTCAAATATCTTTTTCTTCCCCTTTCCATCTCTCTTCTTCTGGAGCTCCCGTATACTTAGTTGGCATGACTGATGGTATCCTACTGGTCCCTCAGGTTCTGTTCATTTTTCTTCTTTCTTTTTTTCTGCTCTGCAGACTGGATAACTTCAATCGCCTTTTCTTCAAGTTCAATGATTATTTCTTCTGCCTGCTCAAATTGGCCATTTAACCCCTCCAGTGACTTTTTCATTTCAGTATTGTACTTTTCAGATCCAGAATTTCTATTTGGTTCCTCTTTAATAAATTCTTTTTATTGTCATTCCCCATCTGTTCATACATTGCTCTCCCAATTTCCTGTAGTTCTTTGTCCATGGTTTTCTTTAGTTAATTAAGCATATTTAAGACAGTTGACTTAATGTCTTTGACTAGTAATTCCAATGTCTAAAATTCCTTATGGATAGCTTCTTTTAAATTATTTTTGTCCTGTTAGAGAGTCATATCTTCCTCTTTATTTGCTTTGTAATACTTTGTTGAAAACTTAACATTTTGAGTAGTAAAATGTGGTAATTCTGAAGCCAGATTCTCCCCCTCCTTTGAGATTGGTTTTGTTGTTTGTTGAGGGCTGCAGTTGTCCATTTGTATAGTGACTTTTCCAAACGATTTTTGCAAAGTATGTATTCTCTCTTGTGTCTGGTCACTGACGTTTCTGTTCTGGTGCCTCTGCAGTCAGCCTATGACCTGGAAGAGCATTCCTTAAATGCATAGATTTTTTTAAAACCCAAGAAACAAAAAACCTAGCATGTATGTACCTTTTTAAAAATCTTCTGATAGATGCCACCTGGAAGGCTGCTGCTGCCTGAAGGGGCAGAAACAAAGGCAAGCTCTACTCTGAGCCCTCAGGGAACCACCAGATAAACAAAAGAAATTTGATTCTCCAAATTTCTGGAAGACAAGGTCCTTTCTGCCCACTCCTGCTCCAGCCAGCTGCTCTAGGAACACAATTACTGTCCACATGGCCACAGGAATGTTGAAGAATGCAGGATGGTAGCTGGTTTGCCCACACCACTCACTTATGAGCCATCAGCATGCCTCTCCCTTCATCGAGCACTCCCATGGTTGCTGTAAGTGTCCAATCAGGTTCCAGAATTCTGAAAGAGTTGACTCTTACAGGATTTTTTTCTTTTCTAACTTGCTGGTTGTTTAGATAGAGGAACCAATTCCTGAAGTTTCCTACGTTGCCAGCTTCATGAGGATCATTCCCTAGTAACTCTTTTCAGACAAAAAGCTTCATTGATTTACTGTAGGACTAGCATCAAAGAGTCTATGCCACCTAGTCTGTCTCCTTAAAACACAGAAATAATCAGTATGCATTGGGGTAGGAGTTTGGCATTAGATCTGCCGTAAATCAAGAGCTGGGGACAGCCCATGTCTTAAACTCTGACCCAAGGGCTAAAATATCCTTTGGTAGCAACAACAGCTACAAACTATTGAACAACTTGTATGTGCCAAGAGCCTTACCTGCATTATCCCATTGAATCCTCTCAACAGCCCTGTGAGGTAGTAGAATTGTTGCCTGCCCCTTACTGAGGCCTAGAAACATTAAGGAATTTGCCCGAGGCCCTAGAGCCAGTGAGTGGCAAAGCCAGTCTCCAGACTCAGGCTGGAGATCCTACAGTTCTGTGTTACCCCAGTGTTATCCTGCCTCTCAGCACAGAGTCTTGGATGATTCTCCTAACCCCTCCCTAGGCAATGCACAGGGCTGCTCCCTGCACCCTTACTCATGCTCTGCTCTTCAACCCCAACAGTGCTGGCCTTAGGCTTTATCCCTGACACCCAGCCCCAGGCTCCATTCCATCTGTTGACAGAGGCAAACACTGGGGCAAAACTGACCTCTGTGGATACCACTGTGTCCACCTCCACCAGCTTCAGCTGAAGCCTCTGAACATCTCCAGCATGGAAGAAGCCCCAAAGGATATTTCCTGTCCCCCAGCATATGCTTGACCCTGAAGCCCTCCCCATCTAGTCAAGAAGACCAAACTGTTAACAATCCTGGAGTCAGAGTGACCCATGGGTGAATCTTAGCCAAGTCACTCATAGCTGTTGCATCCTAGTAAATCCCTTAACTCCCATAGGCTTCAGTTTCCCTGCATATAAAATGACAGCCTTCAGCTCATCGGCCAGTTTCAATCCATCTAAAGGGTCTAGCACATCCCCTGGCATGTGGAAGCCACAGGGCACACACTAGTTGTGGTCATTTGATCCTGGCATGCTCTGCTGTCTCTCGGCTCTCCCCTTGCCTCTTTCCCTGATGTCCTGGCCATCAGCCACTGCCTAACACCCTCCCACTCACCAGGCCCTTAGCCTGCCCCTTAGCACAAGAGCACAGCCGGTCTCAAGTCTACCCTGCTGTAAGCAAACACTTGCAACATCATGCTGACCTCCAGGCCCTGTTGCATCAGCGTGCCCACACTTGGTGCCCAGCTGGTACTGAGGGTATCAGGGAACAGGCCAGTGGTGGAAGGGCGGACACTTTGGGTTCCCTGGTTTCCTGGCTCCCAATATCTTTCCCAATGGCATATGGGGTCTAGCAGCTTGGCTCATTTAACTGTGAACCTCTACCCTTTAGAATCTGGGCCTCCAGGCTTGCTTCTGTGCAAAATGGCAGATAAGGCTCAACCTTTCTTTTTTTAACTTCATTGTTAAATATTACTCCATTAATACCCATTTACTGCAGAAAAGGTAGGAAATACAGATAAGCAAAAAGGAAAATAAATTAAAATCCTCATACCACCATCATCAAGATAATTACTGTCACCATTTTGGTATATTTCCTCCCAATACATATATTATCTATATCGTATATACGACAAAAATGGATCATACTATGTTTCCTGTTCTTCCCCTGTGTTAGTCATCTATTGCTGTATAACAAACTGCCTCAAAACTTAGTGGCTTCACCTTTCCGTGTATTATGATGACAAGAATGTGGTATGACACTGTCTTATATCTGGATCATATGCTAAAAGATAGAAAATGGTTTCTAAACTTATTTGTTCTGTAATAACAAAATTTTATTTCATAAAGTGTTTTTAAAAAAAACCATAGTAGCTTGAAACAACAAACCTTTGTTATCTCACACAGTTTCTGTAGGTCAAGAATTCAGAAGCAGCTTAGCTGGGTGGTCTGGCTTGGTGTCTCTCCTGAGGTCAGGGTTTTGGCTGGGGCTGCATCACCTGAAGGCTTGACTGGGGCCAGAGGAGCTGCTTCCAAAGTGGTCCACTCACATGGCTGGCAAGTTGGAGTTGCGTATTGGCAAGAGACTTCGCTTCTTCTCAATGGATCTTCCCAGAGTTCTTGTAGGCAACCTCATAGCATAGCAGTTGGCTTCCCCCAGAGGGAACAGTCCAGGAGAGAACAAGGCAGAAACCACAGGGTCTTTTCTGGCTTAGGCTCCAAAGTCATACTCCACCATTTCTGCATTATCATATTAGTTACACAGGCTAGACCTATTCTGCATGGAAGAGACTATACCATGGGGTGAATACCAGAAGCAGGGCTAATTGAAGGCCAGCTTCAAGGGCGGCTACACATTCCCTTTCAACAGTATGTCATGAACATCTTTCCATGCCAATAGAGCAGATGAATCTTACCATTTTTAATGACTACATGTAAGTGTAGCATAATTTATTTAACCAACCTCCTGTAGTTGGGTATGTGGGTTGTGTCTCGTTTTTTGATAGTAGAATTAATCATCTTGAATATCCATCACCAAACTTGTCATATTATTTTCTTTTGATGAATGAAAAAGAAAATCAAGTCATGTCTGTCAATCAGAACCCTGAGCAACTAAGAAATGGGGGTACCACTGGGACATAGAGCAAGGTCCCTTCTGATTCTGCTCTTGTCTTTCTCTCCCCATGAAATGGGGAGTTCACTATCTACTGAGACATCCTAGCCCACAGCTGCACAGTTCTGTCTTTTTAGAAAGCTCTAAGCAGAAACAATGTTCATCCATCCTCCTCGGGACAGCCCTTGAGCTACTGAAGACTCTAAGCATGTCCTGGTCATCCTCCATGAGCCATCATCTCTGAGGCCCTCCCCTTCTTGGCCCCTCTTCTCTGGACAGGTTCTGGACAGTCTTGCCCTTCCAAAATTCCTGGAAAGCAGGAACTGTTCCTGCTACAATGACTCTCAACTCCAGTGCAGTACAGACTGTTGGTGTCACCCCTTATCCTGAAGAAGAGGCACTGAGACAGGACAAGGGTGGGTGCCCAGGAGGGCTGGCATGAGTCATGAGAATCTGGTCCCGGAGAATTAGACGGTGTGGGGAAGTAGGGGTGTTGGGCCGCTTTCTGGCCTCATGGATGCCAATGAATATCAGCAGGTGGCTCCCAGAAAGGAACTCTAGGGGATGCCTGTTGCTCTAAATAGAGGCTAGAGAGGGCACTGGCAGTTCAGTCAACCAAGAAAGGGGGCCCACTTGCCTCAGCTTCAGGCTTTGTACACATCCTCAGCCTTTCTTGAGAACTGAATTTAGATTCTCCTCCCCTGTGCTGTGTGCTTGGCCCAGAAGAAGGGCAAGTCTCGCTGGGTGGCTGCTTCTTGGCCTGGCTGAACCAGAAGGCCCCAGTGCCACTCCAAACCTGGGTGTGAGCCCTGCCCCCATGAGCAAACAGTAGCTCAGAGCTGGGGGCTGTGGGGGTCAGTGGCCTGTCACATGAGATCTGATGAGGCCATCTCTGCTCTATATTGGGAAAGGGATCAATTGTATCAAGGGCTTTCTTGGGAGTGATCACTCTGGCCATTGGCGAGAGACCTGGCATTCTGACAAGGCACCCTCCATACCCTGACCCACTTGCCAGCTCCAGCTAATTTTAGCAGGCTTTGGCAGGTGCCAGCAAGTACATAGCATGTGGATGTCACTCCCAGGTGAGCCCAAGGAGAGGCCTGGGCCAGAGCCTGGAAGTCATGGTCTATGCCCATGGAGGCACCCAAAGCAAGCCTGAGGCCTGGACTTTGCAGTCACAAAATTAAGAATGATACCCCTGTTTTTTGTTTGTTTTTGATCAGTTGGCCACCTTCCTCCACCACCCCTTCCCCAAGTTCCATACAGACCCCTGGATTGTATGAAATGCAAATCGAACCTCTCTGCAGATGAAAATCCACTGGGGATCCCCTTGCCTCCAAGAGCAAGTCCAGACCTGCACCAGCGCGGGCCAGGCCCCCTTAGGACCCCCTCCCTGTCCAAGGGCATTTCAGTAAGTGTTCTGTGGCCAAGGCAGCCTGGTGACTTTCTGCCCGCACAAGGCTGAGGAATGGAAGATGGGTAGGCTGGCTCTGCACACCCCCTCCTGCTGGGCAGCAATCCCTACCCCATGTTCACAGAGTGTGGCCGGCTGCCCCATGGCTCTGTCCCCGTGGCCCTGTCAACTGTTACCCACATGGCCTACCCTCCCTTTCTGCCCTGCCTCTGACCCCATGGCAGGGGGCAGAGTATTTGAGCAGCCGCCAGGCTGAGCCCTTTCAGTGCAGAAGCCCTGGGCTGCCAGCCTCAGGCAGCTCTCCATCCAAGCAGCCGTTGCTGCCACAGGCGGGCCTTACGCTCCAAGGCTACAGCATGTGCTAGGCCTCAGCAGGCAGGAGCATCTCTGCCTCCCAAAGCATCTACCTCTTAGCCCCTCGGAGAGATGGCGATGGATGTCACAAGGAGCCAGGCCCAGACAGCCTTGACTCTGGTAAGGGTCACACCAAAGTTAGGGACTTTGCACTGGGAGAGCAGCACCCAGGGCAGGGCCCTTGGTTTTGCAGATTACCAAAACTAAGGCTGGGGGCAGGGAAGGCGAGCAGGCTTGGGGCACCTTGGAAGGAGGCACATGGGCCTTGGGGGTCCTGGCTAGGGCAGCTGTGCCTGCCACTGGCCCTCTGCCCACCACCCCTCCTCACTGTGGCTATCCAGTGTCCAGCCTCTCGAGGGGTTCTAGGGTACTTATTCCTGGAGCTAACGGTGACCCAGGACACCAGTGTCCGGGGCCTGGCCTGGGGCTTTTATGGGGGGAGCTGGCTGGCTGCCCAGGGCTGTCTGGCTCTCTGGGGGCTCTGCATGGCATTTCCAGGGGTTGGTGGATCAGGGATTCTGTCCCTCAGGAGAATGTGGGCACTAGCCCAAGGCCACTCACTTCTGTGTACATAGCCACCTGAGGGCCCAGGAATGGAGGGGGCCAGGCTACAGCTGGACATCTGGCACTCGGATGGGCTCTGGAGCCCCCAGGCCTGCAGCATCTGCCCAGGGACTGCCCTGGCCCTTGGCCATTTCCTCAGGGACCCACAGCTCCACCAGCCGGCCCCTCCCAGTGCTGGAATAGACAGTTCCTCAGTCCACATCTGCCAAAGGCGGCACTAGAAGGCATCCTGCCTTTTTTACTGCGTTCTGGAGGTGGGGTCACAAAGCACTGCTCACTGCATAAAAGGGACAGCATCCTGCCCCTGGCAGCCCTGCCTGACCAGCTCCGCCTCTCCCACTGCTATCCAACCTGTACACCCTGGTGACCATGTCCAGGCCAGTGGCCTTAAGGACTGTCTCTGTACTGATGGCTCCACATCTACCTCTCCAGCCAGACTCTCCTCTGAACTCGGGCCTCACATGGCCAACTGCTACTTGGAACAAATCGCCCCTTGGCTGGCAGATGTGTTAACATGCCCAGACCAAGATCCCAACTCCCACAACCCAACTCCCAGGTCAGATGGAACCTCTTCTTCCCAGGCCCTTCTGTTCCTCTCCTCAGCCCCTCCCACCTCCCTTCAGAATAAGTCTAGACTCTTATCGCTTTCACCAAGCCTGCGCCCAGCATCCCTGCACAGGGATTGTTAGGACAGCCTGACGCCCTGCTTCCACCCTGCCCCAAGATGCCCCTGCTCTGCAGCCCGGCGCCTCCAGGCTTCTCACCTCCTGCTGCTCACAGCTCAGCCTCACTCCCTCCCTCCCCGCCTCTGCTCCAGCCTCAGTGCAGGTCCCCTGCTCCCATCTTCTGGCAGCAGCTGCCCGACCTGGTCCCTCTTCATCTGTCCCCATTCCTTCACCCCCCAGCCTGTCCCCAACTTGACTGAGGTTCTTTCCTGCAGATCCCCGCCCTTGAGAGGGGTTGGTCCCACTGTCAACTCTGCTTCTGTGCCCTGTGCCGCACCTGGCATTCAGTGAGCATCTGCTGAAGAGATGAGGGTCAGATGCCCTGCAGGGAGTGTGGGGGCGTCCTCAGGCAAGAAAAGTTGTACGTTTGGCTGTGGGCCCTGATTATGTGTCCTGTGACCTCTTGGGTGAGGTCAGCAAGAGAAACCTCTGCAAGCTGGCTGGGGCTGCCTCCCAGAGGCTGCCAGGGGGAGGGACAGGCTCTGTCTGTGCTCTTCTTCCGAGGCTACACCTGGGGCGCCAGGCTCTCAGGGCTCCCCAGGTACCACCACATTTCCTACACTGCTTGGGAAAGCCCTGTAAGTTTGCACAGACACCCAGCATGAGGCTCGCCAGAGAGATACTTGTAGCTGGGGTCTGGGCACCAGGAACAGCTTGGTGCTGGGCCTGAAGTCGGGCAGGATGCAGCCTGGCCAGGTGAGAGGAAAGCTTGGAGCCAGTGCCTGGGTTCAAACTCCTCTGTGGCCTATGGTTCTGTGGGCTTGGGGAAGGGTTTGTACCTCTGTGTCCAGTTTCCTCACTTATAAAAAAAGGAGATAATAAAAGTACCCATGTCCCAGGGTGGCTGTAGCAATAATAGGGAGGGGTGCCCAGAGCAGGTCTGGCACACAGGAAGTGTGCATCAGCCTCAGTCCCTGCCATTGGGCTTGTCCTGGGAGTCTGTGAAGCCAACCTCTGCTCCACAATGTGACCCCCAGGCTTGTGAGACCAAGCTGGGTCAGAGCTTCCTCCTCTGGGGTTGCACCAGGAGGGGAACTTCTGCAGGCCCAGATGCACCCTGAGGAAAGGGCTTGTTCCCACCAAGAACAAGGCTCACCTTTGGAGGATGCTCCCCACATGAGAGGTGAACCCCCAGGTCTACTGGTGACTGCAGCCTCGGAAGCTGACAGCATCTATCCTCCAACCCATGCCCACTGGGAAGTGTGTGAGGGGTCCTCATAGGCCCTGCGGTGTGGACAATGCAGAGACCCTGTAGCATCTGGCTAGGGCGGGGCCCAGATAAGAGCCCTGTGCCAGGAGAGCCTGGCCGGTTCTGCCACTGTGGGGAGACAGGCTCCCCCACCCCATGTCCCCTGCTTCCCTGCAGCCCACAGAGAATACAGACCTACTTTTACAGAAATCCAGATTTTTGTGTAAAAGTGTCTCTATTTTAAGTAGATTTTAAGTGGTGGCAGCAAATTTAAGCTTTTGAGAATATTATACAGAACAAATCAGATTCACAGGCCAGATGCAACTTTATTTACAGAAATGGGATCAGGTCCTACCTCAGGTCCCATCTCACGTTTTCACTTATGCCTATACGTCTCCTTCACGGGAAAGGCCACAAGAGGCCCTGCGGTAAGTGTCCCGGTGTTGATTTAAAGTCCCCAACAGTGAATATGAGGGTCCTCACTGTTGCAGCAAGAGGATACCCCCCTGTGTATCTTGGAAATGCCTGCAGCCCTCTTGCTGCAGAACAGATTCTTAGGAGAGAAACTGTCAGATCAAAGTTAAACTTAGAGAAACTCCAAATTGCCCTCTGAACAGACGGTATCAGTTTGACATCATCCAATACCGGGATTCCTCGGGGAGAACTTTCTGGCCTAGAAGGCAGTAGAGCCAGGACTTCACCCAGTCAGTGGCAGGGCCACACGTGGGCCTTGATACAGAGGGGGAAGACTTGAGCCTCCTCGACACCCTACAGGGCCCAGCCTCCCAACATGTGATAAGAGAAACAACAGCCAACTTGTACCTAGCTCTCCTTATTCTCCAAGGGCTGGGCCAGTTCTCCCCACAGCCCTGCAAGGGAGGATCACTCAAGGGCCCCAACTGTCTGACAATACAGCCACACTCTGATCAGCCACCTGGGCATAGGCTCCATGCCATTGTCCTCCGCCAAGACCTCAGACTGAAATGTTGGCTCCTCCCATGAAGAACCTGGGGCCAAAGGACCAGAGTCCAGGTCCGTGGCTGCCAGGATGGGCCACTTGGAGAGAGGCACAAGGGTGGTGCCAGGCAGGTGTGAGGGCTGGACCTTTGCAAGAGCAGCATCACTTTTGTTGAGAGCCCACAGGTATCTTATAATTGGGTCCTAGGACTTCCTGCCAGTAGCCATTGTGTGCATGGATTTGGGTGCTGGCCTCACCATGGTGTGCTGGCTGCCCATGCCTGCAATAATGACTTCTGTAAGCCTTTCTTCATCTGCAAGATGGGTGCTGCTGGCACCTCCTCCCCGGTGCTGTGGTGACAGGGCATAGTGTGTGAGGCTGCTATGTGAAGCACCTAATGCAGGGCCTGGCATATGGAGGAATTCAGCAAATGACAGATGCCTTCACAGTTAGTTCCTGGCATCCTCTACATTGGTGGGTGTAGGAAAGAAAGACAGAGGAGGCAAAAGTTGTAGCTGTGGGGCATTGAGGACAGCCTGGATTGTTCCACAGAGCCCTGAGGACATCTCCAGGGGTGTGCTCTGCAGGGGCAGCTGGATTGGAGGGTTAGGGGTCGGGGAGGGCGTGCACTCCCACCCATGCTCACAGCCTCGGAACAGTGCCTGCTCAGCCAACATGGGTGTTTGATTCTGTGTCTTTTGTCACAGACTTTATCAGCCCCATCCCTTTCTGACCTTGCCTCAGTTTAAATTTTACATGTGGGGCCTCATTAAGAGACATGGTTCTTAACTAAAGATCTGTATCCATTAGGAATGCTTTGGGCTGCAGGAAGACAAACACCTGACTCACTGTGGCATAAGTGGTTTGCGTCTGCTCCCATAAGCTGCACGTGGAGGGTGGATCTGGCATTACTCTCTCTTCCCTACATTTGCAGTATGCTAACAGCTTTAACCTCCAGCCTTGTTTCTTCATGGTTGCAGGGTGGCTATCACAGCGCTGGCCATCACATCCTTACACAGCTGTGTTTACAAATTTAGGGGGACATTGAAGCTCCTCCCCTGCTAAAATCAGGCTTCCCTTCACCTGTCATTGGCCAGAACTGGGTGAAATGCCCAACTCTAGACCGATCATCAGTAAGAGGAGTATAGAATTGCTGTGCCCACCTTAGATTAATCATGGCGCAATGTGCTCCCCATACCAACAAAATCTGAGTTCTAGAAACTGAGGAAGAAGAGGAAAATGGCCGTCTTGCCTCCTGGCTGGGATTCAGAGCATCTCCAACCCTCTGAGCTTATGTGTAAGACTGTGGGCAAAAGTGTGTGAGTTTTTGTGGAATGGATCCACGGCTTTTATCAGAGCATCTTTCCTTTTTCTTTTTGATTCAAGATGAAAATATTCTTATGATTATTTTTCTCACCACTGCCCAGAGATAACCAGCACATTAACATGGCCTTTTCTCCATGAATAGCACTAGGGTGCCCAGTGGACAGACACATAGCTGTCCACACACCAGCTTGCTGGGGATGCATAGGCAGAGTCACATCTGCACTCACGGCCTGTCCTCACACTGCCATGTGGAGAGCCAGCAGCCACACCATGGGCCGTCCATGCTCACGGGAGTGGCAGTATCAGATCTGAGCTTCGTGTGCCCAGGCGTCTCTCACATCAGTGCATAGGGACCCTCTTTGTTCTGTGGCCCAGTGTGCCCATGCCACAGATGGCTTCAGTCAGCAGACACCTCCTTCTAGACACTCACACTCACTCCTGGCTGGCCCTTAGCACACCTGTGCAGACAGGCCCATTTATTTTCTTGTGTAAATCCCAAGTAGGAGGACTGGGTCTCTCTGACAGCAATGCCAGCTGCCTGGCACCCTCCAGACAGGTGGCTCAAGCCCCACCTCGCCAGCTCTCCCAGTTAGCCCCTCCTTTCCCTGGCTCTGACCTGAGGGACGAAGCAGGGTGCTACAGGACGCTGTGCCACAGGGATATCGTCAGGGACAGAAGCTACTCTGCCCTCTGCTGCTCACCCCTCCAACACGCTGTGGGCTGCATTTGTTGAGTGGCTGGTACCAGACTCTGCTCTTCTGACTTTCCAGCTGGTTTTACCTGTAGTAAAGTTTGAGAAGATGGGTCATCCTGACCCCGGGGTCAGAAGACAGAAGGAGGCCCATGGCGTGTGGGGGAGATGCCCCGTGAGGCCCTCGGTGTGCAGATGCCTGGTGACAGCCCCACCCTGAGGTCCCCAGCCTACCCCCTCCCCAGCCCGACTGCTCCCATCCCCCTCCCTGTGCAGGTAGAGCAGATCCTGGCAGAGTTCCAGCTGCAGGAGGAGGACCTGAAGAAGGTGATGAGACGGATGCAGAAGGAGATGGACCGCGGCCTGAGGCTGGAGACCCATGAAGAGGCCAGTGTGAAGATGCTGCCCACCTACGTGCGCTCCACCCCAGAAGGCTCAGGTACCACATGGTAACCGGCTCCTCATCCAGAAGCAGCTGTGGGCTCAGCCCTAGCTGGGAGAAGCACCCCAGGCACTCCCAGACTCACAGCCAGCCCGAGACAGAATCTCCTGGGGAGCAATGAAGTCCTCGACTTGGGCCAGTTCTCACCCTTGGCTCCTCTGGTCCGGCCCTGGGGCACTCGGGCTCACCCTGGAGCTGGCAAACCTCAGGAAAACTGGCGTTTTAAATCTCACTCCTGGCCAGGTGCAGTGGCTCACCCCTGTAACTTCAACACTTTGGGAGGCCAAAGCAGGCGGATCTCTTGAGGCCAGGAGTTTGAGACCAGCCTGCCCAACATGGTGAAACCCCGTCTCTACTAAAAATACAAAAATTATCCAGGCATGGTGGCACATTCCTGTAGTTCCAGCTACTCGGGAGGCTGAGGCATAAGAATTGCTTGAACCCGGGAGGCCGAGGTTGCAGTGAGCCAAAATCGCGCCACTGCACTCCAGCCTGGGGTGACAGGGTGAGACACCATCTCAAAAAAAAAAAAAAAAAAAGACCTCACTGCTCCCCATGGGCACTTAGGGAACTCTCCCAGCCCAGTTCTGCAGCTGGGCCATTGCACTAGATCCTCAGTTGGTCCCTGGGCTCTCGGTGACTGTCCAGGGCAGGAGTTTCCCATTGACTTTTCCCTGGTTGACCTTTGACCCCTTCCACAGTTGACACTGGTGTCCCCAGGTGTCTGGTGGCCCCTTGTCCAGCTCCCTTAGTCCCTTGTGCCTTCCCTCCTCCTCTTTGTAATATCCGGGCTCAGTCACCTGGGGCCCACCCAGCCCAAGGCCAGCCTGTGGGTGTCCCTGAGGCTGACACACTTCTCTCTGTGCCTTTAGAAGTCGGGGACTTCCTCTCCCTGGACCTGGGTGGCACTAACTTCAGGGTGATGCTGGTGAAGGTGGGAGAAGGTGAGGAGGGGCAGTGGAGCGTGAAGACCAAACACCAGATGTACTCCATCCCCGAGGACGCCATGACCGGCACTGCTGAGATGGTGAGCAGCGCAGGGGCCGGGGCAGGGGGCCAAGGCCATGCAGGATCTCAGGGCCCAGCTAGTCCTGACGGGAGGTGCCACCTGTCTACCAGGGGTGGGGAGAGCGGGGGCTGGAGGACCACCCAGCCTCAGAGGCAGCTGGAGGCCTGGGTGAACAGGACTGGCCAACATGTCCCCAAGTCCCACAGTCACCATCTGGCCAGCATTGAGAGGGGAACGGGCTGAGGAAGAGTTAGTGGCAAGAGGAACCCCAGCCAGTCACACCTTGTCCAGTTTACCAGAGGAAAAACCAATGTGTAAGAACAGAAATGTGACCCGGCAGCCAGTGCACTGCCCCCCTCTCCAAAGGCCACCCCTCACCCTCCACCAGCATGCACAGAAAGTGGGGTGACAGCAATCACAATGTCTACCCAGGCAGCAAGGACCCCTGACCATGGGGAGGACTGGGGTGCAGGGAACATAGAAGCAGAATGAGGCCTAGGGGGAGTTGGGCAAGGCCAGAGCCCTAGCTGCAGCCAAGCACATGGCCAAGGCCAGCTCCTGGAAGGGCAGGGCTCCGAGGCAGGAGGCAGGAGGCTGCCCGTGGCTACCCGTCCTCACACCCCTGCAGCTTGCTAGTCTGTCTGTGGGCTGGGTGTGAATCAAGGCAGTGGGATGGTGTGGGGACCTCCCTGGCCCCAGCAGCCAGTGAGGAGCCTGGTCAGTCAGCAGAGCATTCAGCAGTATCCAGTTCCATGGAGAGGCCCGTGTGAGGGGAGTCGGGGCTGGTCTTCAGTAAGGATGGGTGGCCAGGGCCCCTAGAAGTAGAAAAGGAGACTCCGGGTGCTGGAGACAGAAATCAAGGATGTGCCTCCATGTGGAGCCTCAGGAATAGCTGGCCAGGCCTGAGGCTGAACCTCACAAGGTTCAGCTGGGAGGGCTAGGCTGACAGAGCACAGCCGGGCCAGGGACCAGCCTGCCCTGTGTTGCCTTGTCCCGAGGGCCACTGTCAGCAGGTCTCTGGCATGGGGGAGGCTTAGGGCCTGAGCCCAACAAGCAGCAGCGGAAGAGGAGAGGGAAACTGTGGACAGGCCTGGCATTCAGTGGCCAGGTGTTGCAGTGTCCCTGAGGAATAGCTTGGCTTGAGGCCGTGGGGAGGGCTGCCGGCCAGCGCACCCCCCCATGCCAGATGGTCACCATGGCGTGCATCTTCCAGCTCTTCGACTACATCTCTGAGTGCATCTCCGACTTCCTGGACAAGCATCAGATGAAACACAAGAAGCTGCCCCTGGGCTTCACCTTCTCCTTTCCTGTGAGGCACGAAGACATCGATAAGGTGGGCCGGGTGGAGGGGCAGAAGGCAGATGAGGGGAGGCACAGGCACCCCAGAGGAACTCTGCCTTCAAATGTAGCCCCCATACCATGTGCTCAGAAGGGAGATCTGGATTCAAATTGTGGCCATGTCACCTGCCACCTCTAATGCTGTGGAAAAGAAGCATCACATTAGCTAATTCTGGCTGTGCGCCTTGTGAGGCACCAGCTATGATCACCCCACTCCAGTGGAAAGAGCAGCTGGCAGTAGGGTGGGGCTCAAACTCAGGCAGCCGGGCTCTGGGTCACCTGCAGGCCACGGTCATGTCACACTGCCTCTAGCTGAGTCAGAAATGTGAAGGAACTGAGATTCTACCCTTCCTGCAAGCTAGCAAAGTGGCCTGCCAGTTACATCTGTGCATGCACACACACACACAGTTATATATGCACACACATAAAACACGAGACCTTTGGGTCAGGGAGAAAGCCAGATCCTCACTCACGGCAGAAGCAGCAGCCAAAGCAACATCTCATGTGGTTTTCCAAGCCCCAGTCCCTACAGAGACAGAGAGGGCCAGGTGGCACCTGTGCATGCAGCGGGGTACCTTGCAGGAGGGAAATCCTGATTTTACACAAAGCTGCTCCCCCCACGCCCTGCCTTGACTCTGGGATGACGTCTCAGAGCTGTGCAGTACAACATTCTTAAATTGGCTGGGACTCAGCCCTGCAGAAATATGATATCTTCAAGGAGAATCGTTCCCAAAACCTCTCAAAGCTATGGGGCTGCTCTGAGCCTGTTTCCTCAGCTGTAAAGTAGGGTGCATACTTTTATGGCCCTGTGCAGGAGGTAGTGACAGGCCCTAGCACCCTGCCTCCAGTATATGTTAGCAGCCACGAGGCCTATCTCTCCCCACAGGGCATCCTTCTCAACTGGACCAAGGGCTTCAAGGCCTCAGGAGCAGAAGGGAACAATGTCGTGGGGCTTCTGCGAGACGCTATCAAACGGAGAGGGGTGAGGGGGCACCTGTACCTGCCGGGGGGGCTGCCCTGGGCCACCCACCCCAGCACTGCCTGCCTTTCTCCTTGGCTTCCAGCACTGCAGCTTCTGTGCTTCTTGGCAGGACTTTGAAATGGATGTGGTGGCAATGGTGAATGACACGGTGGCCACGATGATCTCCTGCTACTACGAAGACCATCAGTGCGAGGTCGGCATGATCGTGGGTAAGGGCTCCTTGCACCCCTGCCCCTTCCAGACTGCTGAGGCTCCCTGTGTACAACAGGCTTCAAGGGCCCTGTGGGGTGAGGACCAAACTACTTAACAACCGGTGATGTCAGAGCAGAGCCTGGTGCTACAGCCTGGGTGGTCTTGGGGTATCAAGATGGAAGCACCGTGTACAGTAGGAAGCATTTCAACGCCATGATGCCACATTCCTGCATCAGATGGTATGCCAGCTGCATATCCACCTCACCCATCAGGATTATAATTAAAACACTTATCTGGTAAATTGACCAACTGGACAGATTGGTCCAAGTGGAAGAGGATAAGCAAAAGTGGTACCATCTCCACCCGAATGGTCTTTCCACGGGCCTGCCCCTGCCCCTGCCCCCACCCAAAGTGAAGGCAGGTACCAGGAAAGGGAGCAGCAGTCCGCCCCTCCCAGCAGAGGGGTCTTCCACACCAACTCGGACCTTTCTCAGAAGTTCCGGAGGTCATTATAACCAGCCTTCACTGAGGAGCAATCCAATCAGATCAGTTATCTGCTGTGCGCACAGCCGTGTGGTTCTATACTTCTCTTACTTCCATTTTCACCTTTCAGAAGGAACGTTGTCTTTAAATCCAGCATCTAAACGTGAGCCCCAGCCATCCCTGGCTGTGATCCCCCCAGCCCTTTCCACCCTATCCTCTGGAACTGCCTGGGGCTCCCCAAGACACTTCCACATGAATTCCCACCAAGCCAAGCTGCAGCTGCTGGGCCCAGGCATAACCCCTCCTGGGGCAGAGGTGGCAAGGAGTGACCCACCACTCACATCTGCCCCACATCCACTCTTGACTCTGCTCAGTGTTTAAAAACATGTTTATAACAATTACCAAGATCTGAAAATTAGGAGAATTCACATCAAAGTCTGGATTTCTGTTTGTTCATAAAAAACTAGAAGGCAGCCAGGCAAGGTGGCTCACGCCAGTAATCCCAACACTTTGGGAGGCTAAGGCAGGCGGGTCACTTGAGGTCAGGATTTGAAGACTAGCTGGCCAACAAGGTGTAACCTCGTCTCTACTAAAAATACAAAAATTAGCTGGGTGTGATGGCGCATGCCTGTAATCCCAGGTACTCAGGAGACTGAGGCAGGAGAATTGCTTAAACCCTGGAGGCAGAGGTTGCAGTGAGCCAAGATCACGCCACTGCACTCCAGCCTGGGTGATGGAGTGAGTGAGACTCTGTCTCCAAATAAATAAATAAATAAATAAAAACTGGAAGTCTAAGCATCACTGAGCCCTGATTCCTATGTGGCAGCTCGACTGACCAGCATTTGAGTTGCTGTCCCTGACAGCTTTGGGGGTGTGCAGCCCACACAGTCATGCTAGCTTGAGGCTCTGCTGTCAGCAGTTTGAAACTCTTAATAACTTGTGAACAAAAGACTCCATGTTGTCACTCTGCACAGGGGCCAGCAAATTACAAAATTCCATATCCGGAATTGTCTACAGGAGCCTCTGGGCTGCTCCCAAGGGCCCACACCATGCCTTACTCACTTTGGGTTGCCATCCAAACATGTCTCATGACAAAGAAGCTCAAACATGTGCATGGACAGTGCCAGAAAACAAGGGTCGTACATAGACAAAATAAAATGATAACGTCCCACAACCATTTCTTTGATACACACTGTTTCTCTCAGTCCTCCCAACCACCTAGGTAACAGGCAGGGAAGGTGTTACTGTTGCCTGTTAGGAAAGAGGACAGCCCTGAAAGCTGTCCCTGGCCACTGAAGCAACCCAGGTCTTCCAGCCCCAGGGAGAGCCGCCTTTCCATTGTTCCAGACAAAGCAGAGACAGGCATGGGGGAGCGGGAGAGGGACTCCTGTGGGCAGGAACCAGGCCCTACTCCGGGGCAGTGCAGCTCTCGCTGACAGTCCCCCCGACCTCCACCCCAGGCACGGGCTGCAATGCCTGCTACATGGAGGAGATGCAGAATGTGGAGCTGGTGGAGGGGGACGAGGGCCGCATGTGCGTCAATACCGAGTGGGGCGCCTTCGGGGACTCCGGCGAGCTGGACGAGTTCCTGCTGGAGTATGACCGCCTGGTGGACGAGAGCTCTGCAAACCCCGGTCAGCAGCTGTAAGGATGCCCCCCTCCCCCACAACCCAGGCCCTGGGCCGCTCTGGTGCAGCGGCAGATGGGAGCCGGGCCATTGCAGATAATGGGCTTGTTTTTAAACAACTCTGGGGAAAAGCAAACTGACAATCCGTTCGTAAGCTCCATCCCTTCTGCTCAGTCATGACCTGCCCCTGTGAGAGATGAAGGGTTAGTCCCAGTTGTGATGTGATAAGCCCAGACCTCTTTCCTTCCGACAGGTGATCGTGCATGCAGAGGAGGCTCTGAGACGCCCCCAGCAAGGTTCCTGGGTTTAACCCAACATTCCCCAAAGTATGTATTTGGCCACATTCACAGAAAGAATATTAGTCTTTTGTGGAATGCTGCGGGTTGACAGTCACAGCTTGGAAACCAACCCACAGAGAGCTCATCATTAATCATGGCTATCACTTGTTTACCACCTACTGTGCCAGGCCTATGCTAATTACTTTATTAGCGTCCTCTCTGCCGCTCGCAGGCCTCTATTATTATAGGTCAGTAGTATTCGATTTATTTAAATTAAATACGGAAGGTCATAGATTAAGCAAGAAAGTGCCAGCAACATGGTGCGTGCCTCTGACTGGGCACTAACCCTCCAAGTCTTAGTTTTCCCAACCATAACTGGCCAATGAACAGCAGCTCTGGATGCAGCTAAAGGAAGACTGAAGCTGTAGGTCCCGTGCTCGGCGCAGGGCCCCCTGCAAGGAAGGTTTCGGAGGGACTGGATGGGGTCTTTGAACTATCTGTCTTTCCCTTTACTGCAGTGGGCCCAGGGGCAGGCCAAAGTTGCTCCCGTGATTGACTTGAACGTGCACGTTCCTAATCCCTGACATTTCTAAAGCTCTGGCTCATTAACGAGGGAAAGACGTGAACCAGCTGGGGGAGTGGGGATCGCAGTGCCCCACGTGGCCGCCTCGTGACCTCAGTGGGGAGCAGTGGGGCCGGCTCCCGGCTTCCACCTGCATGAGGGGCCCTCCCTCGTGCCTGCTGATGTAATGGACCTGCCCTATGTCCAGGTATGAGAAGCTCATAGGTGGCAAGTACATGGGCGAGCTGGTGCGGCTTGTGCTGCTCAGGCTCGTGGACGAAAACCTGCTCTTCCACGGGGAGGCCTCCGAGCAGCTGCGCACACGCGGAGCCTTCGAGACGCGCTTCGTGTCGCAGGTGGAGAGGTGTGCGGAGGAGGAGGGTGGGTGCAAAGGGCAGGGGCTGGGGACGCCCGGGCACTGCAGACTTGGTCTCAGGGCGACGCTGAGTCCCAGGCCCGGGGCGCAGGGATGGGAAACTAGGGCCTGGGGCGGGATTCCGGGCGTGGGCGGGGCCCGGGGCGGGGCACAGGGGGCGGGGGAGTGGGCGGGGCCCGAGGCCGGGCGCTGGAGGCGAGGGCGGGGCAGGGACGGGTCCAAGGGCAGGAGGCTGGGACAGGACGGGGATGCAAAGGGAGGGGCGGGGCCCGAGACGGGGAGGAGGGGGAGGGCCCAAGGGGAGGAGGCGGGGTCCGGACGGGGATGCCAAGAGCAGGGATGGGAGCGAGCCTGCGTCCGGGCACTGGTCCCCATCCGTGAGTCCCCTCGGTGCTCCCTGCCCGCCGTGGCCATCCTCTCACATCACTCACAACCCCAAGGCGCGGCATGGTTGACACCCCCACGTTAGGACGGAGACCCTGGGCTTAGTTAGAGGGGGCAGTACTAACCAGTCCCTGGCGGAAACGCTTTGGCTGGGTGAGGTGAGCGGGATCGCCCCCATTTCTCCAGAGAGGGGTCCCGGCTCAGCGAGGGAAAGAGGCCGCCGCTGGGGGGACGGCTGGCCGGGGCCCCTCCCTGGAGAACGAGAGGCCGCCGCTGGAGGGGGATGGACTGTCGGAGCGACACTCAGCGACCGCCCTACCTCCTCCCGCCCCGCAGCGACACGGGCGACCGCAAGCAGATCTACAACATCCTGAGCACGCTGGGGCTGCGACCCTCGACCACCGACTGCGACATCGTGCGCCGCGCCTGCGAGAGCGTGTCTACGCGCGCTGCGCACATGTGCTCGGCGGGGCTGGCGGGCGTCATCAACCGCATGCGCGAGAGCCGCAGCGAGGACGTAATGCGCATCACTGTGGGCGTGGATGGCTCCGTGTACAAGCTGCACCCCAGGTGAGCCCGCCCCGCTCTCTCCCTGGTAAAGTGGGGCCCAAAAAGCGCGCGCTCCAAGGTTCCTTGCGGTTCCCAAGCTCCAAGATTTCGTAGTCCTCTTCTCGTCCCCCTTGGCCTAGATTTGGGGGAAGGGTCGACTGCGTGCAGGGCGCCCGGTAATGAATGTGGAGGATGAGGTGGGAGGAGGGACGGCAGCCCTGCTTCTCTTCTGCCCAGCTTCAAGGAGCGGTTCCATGCCAGCGTGCGCAGGCTGACGCCCAGCTGCGAGATCACCTTCATCGAGTCGGAGGAGGGCAGTGGCCGGGGCGCGGCCCTGGTCTCGGCGGTGGCCTGTAAGAAGGCCTGTATGCTGGGCCAGTGAGAGCAGTGGCCGCAAGCGCAGGGAGGATGCCACAGCCCCACAGCACCCAGGCTCCATGGGGAAGTGCTCCCCACACGTGCTCGCAGCCTGGCGGGGCAGGAGGCCTGGCCTTGTCAGGACCCAGGCCGCCTGCCATACCGCTGGGGAACAGAGCGGGCCTCTTCCCTCAGTTTTTCGGTGGGACAGCCCCAGGGCCCTAACGGGGGTGCGGCAGGAGCAGGAACAGAGACTCTGGAAGCCCCCCACCTTTCTCGCTGGAATCAATTTCCCAGAAGGGAGTTGCTCACTCAGGACTTTGATGCATTTCCACACTGTCAGAGCTGTTGGCCTCGCCTGGGCCCAGGCTCTGGGAAGGGGTGCCCTCTGGATCCTGCTGTGGCCTCACTTCCCTGGGAACTCATCCTGTGTGGGGAGGCAGCTCCAACAGCTTGACCAGACCTAGACCTGGGCCAAAAGGGCAGCCAGGGGCTGCTCATCACCCAGTCCTGGCCATTTTCTTGCCTGAGGCTCAAGAGGCCCAGGGAGCAATGGGAGGGGGCTCCATGGAGGAGGTGTCCCAAGCTTTGAATACCCCCAGAGACCTTTTCTCTCCCATACCATCACTGAGTGGCTTGTGATTCTGGGATGGACCCTCGCAGCAGGTGCAAGAGACAGAGCCCCCAAGCCTCTGCCCCAAGGGGCCCACAAAGGGGAGAAGGGCCAGCCCTACATCTTCAGCTCCCATAGCGCTGGCTCAGGAAGAAACCCCAAGCAGCATTCAGCACACCCCAAGGGACAACCCCATCATATGACATGCCACCCTCTCCATGCCCAACCTAAGATTGTGTGGGTTTTTTAATTAAAAATGTTAAAAGTTTTAAACATGGCCTGTCCACTGTTCTTTGACTTCTGTGCATTAGGACTGTGGGGACAATCTATAAAGAGTCTGCGTCACATGCATGAAGACACTTCAGTATCTCGGCAATGCCCTCCAGACAGCTCCTCCAGCCATCTGTGCCAAGGGGAGTGTGAGGAGTGACAGACCAGGCTGTAGGAACAGGAATGGGGTGTCATGGGGGATGGCAGAGCAGTGGACAGTACACTGCCTGGCCCGGGCCCCTGCTTGCCTGCCCATGGAATGTGTGCAGAGGGAGTGCCAGGCCAGGTGCTGCTCTGGAGAAGTGGGGGAATGAGGCTGGTCCTGCTGCAGGTCAGTCTCAGCACCGTCCTGTCCAGTCAGAGTCACTTAGGTTTGCCAGTGAGTAGGGGCCCAGATACATGTTGGATTTCTAAGGTCCCTCCAGATGCTCCTGTCAGTGGAACGCCTATTTAGAGTTAGCCAAGCGTAGGCATAATGCCATCTTTCTGCAGCATAAAATACAGTGACATAGAAACATATTTGTGTGATTTTCATGCATTCCTTTTTTGATGAGAGATATTACCCAGCTAATTAGGAACAACTGTTTTGTTTCCTTCAGATCATAACCCAAAGTTGTGATTTTGAAAAGTCATGTCCCCCTTCAGATTTCTTGTTTTCTGCTACTTCTCATGTGGAATTGCTTTGGCTCTTCTTAGTTCTCTTGAGTCTAAATTATTCCTTATAAGTTGGTGCAAGCATCTGATTATTTTGTTATCATTACTGTTATGCTCAAGCATTCACAGAGTGGAACACATTTTAATATCAATTGCTTTCTATTTCTCCTTTATATTACAGTTCAGGACATTGTATTAATTATTAAAATTCTATTCGTAGGTAGGTTATATGACTGAATTGAAATAGATAAAATGAATTTCTTTTCTAGATAACAAAGGAGGTGTCATAAAACACTTGTTATGGGCCAGTGTGATGGCTCATGCCTATAATCTCAGTGCTTTGAGAGGCTGAGGTGGAGGATTGCTTGAGGCCAGGAATTTGAGACCAGCCTGGGGCAACATAGCAAGACCCCATCTCTTAAAAAAAAAAGGGTGGGGCGGGGGGGCACTGCTGGGCGCGGTGGCTCATGCCTGTAATCCCAGCACTTTGGGAAGCCAAAGCAGGTGGATCAAAAGGTCAGGAGTTCGAGATCAGCCTGGCCAACATGGTGAAACCCCAACTCTACTAAAAATACAAAAATTAGCCGGGCATGATGGCGGGTGCTTATAATCCCAGCTACTCAGGAGGCTGAGGCAGAAGAATTGCTTGAACCCAGGAGGCGGAGGTTGCAGTGAGCAGAGATTGCACCACTGCACTCCAGCCTGGGCAACAGAGCGAAACTCTGTCTCAAAAATGAATTAATTAATTAAAAAAAGAAAAAAAAAACACTGGGCAGGGTGGTGTGCACCTGTAGTCCCAACTACTCCAGAGGCTGAGGCAGGAAGGAGCACTTGAGCCCAGGAGGTTGTCTGCAGTGAGCTCTACTCATGCCACTGCACTCCAGCCTGGGTGACAGAGCTCAGTGGCTTACACCTGTAATCCTAGCACTTTGGGAGGCTGAAGCAGGCAGATCACCTAAGATCAGGAGTTCGAGACCGGCTGGCCAACATGATAAAACCCCGTCTTTACTAAAAATAAAATAAAATAAAAAATATATATAAAAATTAGCTGGGTGTGGTGGCACATGCCTATAATCCCAGCTGCTTGGGAGGCTGAGGAACAAGAATGGCTTGAACCCGGGAGGCAGAGGTGGCAGTGAGCTGAGATCGCGCCACTGCACTCCAGCCTGTGCGAGAGTGAGACTCTGTCTCAAAAAAAAAAAAGGGAATTTAAGAAATTTAAAAGAAAACTCTTGTTATATAAAAAGGGTATTGGGTCTGACAGATAAGAGCTCCTGCACTCTACCAGCCAGCTACTGACAGACATAGGTCTGGCTCCAGTGGAGGGGCAGCAGCCAGTGAGCCCAGCCTGGGGTGGCCCACTCCTGCTGCCTCCAGGATGTCCCCTGTTTCCCCAGCCCCTCTGCTGTGCCCTCGGCCCCAGAAGCTGGCGAGACTGCTTCTCTGGAACAGCATCACGCAGGCCTGCCCATCGGCCCACTGTGCACCAGGCCTTCTGGGGATACAGATGTCAACCAGGTGGGGTGCTCAGGAGGGGCACAGAAGCCAGGAATGACAAACACATCAGCCACCAGGCAAATGGGAAATGTGCCCCAGAAGCTCCCTGCTGAGGATGTTAGGGAGAGCATTCTGAAGTAGTGTGGTTGAGATGAGGCTTGAGGAAGGCAAGGCTCCAAACAGCAGGGCAGACTGGGAGCAAGGTAGACTGCATGGGAGGGCAGCTGATGGAGCTCCTTAACCCTCTGGAATTGCCCCAAAGCCAAGCAAAGTGTTCTTCTTGGGGTCACAGCTAGCTCAGGGATGCCTTCTGCCCCTTGGTCAGAGGGGCAAAAGGTCAGAGCCTAGGGTCACCAAAACCTCTGGGAAGCCCCGGGGGTCTCAGGCCACAGACCATCCTCAGAACTACACACTGCCCTCCCATGCCTGGCGGGGGCCCTGGACTGGCCCTCACCAGCTGTCTTCTTGCACTGGCCAGGGTTCTGGCTGGACTGGCAAGGAGGGGTGGTCAGATACAGGAGTAACTGGATCCCTTCATCAGGACCTAGGGTGGTGAGAGCTTTGAGCCTGCTCTGCTCCAGGCAGACATTGTGTCTGGCCCTGCCAGGATGGATAGACAGCAGGATGTTACACGTTGAGGACATGAAGGTCATCAGGAATGTGGCTGGAATCTGTTAGGCCTCCCCCAGCCCAGGCGGGGGCTGCCAAGTTTGGGCCTATCCTCTGTTCCTCTCCTTATTTGGACCTTCAGGTGATAAGGCTGAGACATAAAGGAGGCTGGGCCCTGCCACCACGACAGCAGCCACACCTCTGCAGAGAGAATGGTGAGTGCCTGCTGGGGAAGAAAGGCTAGCGGTCTCCCAGGTGCTGGCCTTTGGGCTGGGGGAGCAGAGTTTTCTGTGCTTGTGTTGGGTTGAGGGTGGTCCCCAGGGAGAGGAAGAGGATCCTGGCCCTGGCTCTCCTGGGAATGCTCTGGGACTGTGCATGATGGGTGGGGTGGGGAGACTCTGAGGAGTTGGGGAGAGGACCCCTCCCTACTCACAGTGTTGCAGGCCAGCAGGAAGGCGGGGACCCGGGGCAAGGTGGCAGCCACCAAGCAGGCCCAACGTGGTTCTTCCAACGTCTTTTCCATGTTTGAACAAGCCCAGATACAGGAGTTCAAAGAAGTGAGTGCCCACTCCCAGTAGCCTCAGATCCCATCCTGGCCCCCCCACCCCACCCCACATACATACCCCCCTTCTACCCTGACCTTGCCTCTCACACCACCCAGGTCTCTCCCCCACCTCCCACCTTCCCTAGAGCTGGGGGCTGCTCCCACCTGAAGGCCCCCATCCCACAGGCCTTCAGCTGTATCGACCAGAATCGTGATGGCATCATCTGCAAGGCAGACCTGAGGGAGACCTACTCCCAGCTGGGTGCGTGCACCCACCTCCCACCCTGCGCACTGGGGTCCCTACTCTGAGCTGCTGGGCGGGTGGGAGTGGCTGGGGGGACAGGACTCTGCTCCCCTGCTTCCCCTCCTCCCCGTCTCCTCACACTGCCCTTCCCCCCTTGTCACGCCTTGCTTCCACTTCACCTTCCCGACCCACAGCTGCCTCTGCCCCTCCAGCCCCTGTGGCCAGGATGGAGGGAGGGCGGCCTGGGCCTTCTGGGGGACACCCAGGGTCCCTGTGTGCACCTCATGCCCCACCCCCACCAGGGAAGGTGAGTGTCCCAGAGGAGGAGCTGGACGCCATGCTGCAAGAGGGCAAGGGCCCCATCAACTTCACCGTCTTCCTCACGCTCTTTGGGGAGAAGCTCAATGGTGAGCCTGGGACAGAGCTGGGCACCCTTGGCCAGGCAGGGAGCCTGCACCCTGCCTGAACCCCACCTGAACCCTGCCTGAACCCCACCTGAACCTTACATGAACCCCACCTGAACCCTAACTGAACCCCACCTGGACCCACCTGGACTCTTCCTGGCCATGACCCATTCCAAGCACATCCTCTGCCCCAGAATCCCATGTGCACTGGTCACCCCAGTGCTGACTTGGAGCCAGGAAATGTGCCTTCAGCCCCCACCCCCAAATTCCAGTCTCCCAGCCAAGCTGCCCGCCTCAGGAGGATGACCATTCCCAGCCCCACTGATCCCCGAGAAACATTTTATGTTAGGGAATACCCCCACCTCTTCTGGGATGTGGGAGGCTCCTCATGCAGCCCAGTTCCTCCTGCGGGGGACCTGGGATGCTGGAGACATGGATGCTCACCTGGCTGCCTCGGCCTTCCAGGGACAGACCCCGAGGAAGCCATCCTGAGTGCCTTCCGCATGTTTGACCCCAGCGGCAAAGGGGTGGTGAACAAGGATGAGTAAGTATGGGCCCAGCCAGATGAGGAGCACCGTGGTGGAAGCAGAGAGCGGGGTGAGGCCCCTAGTGAGGGGGGCTGCCTGTGCTTCGGGGCCTTACACTGCTCTTTGGGGTGCAGCCAACCCTTCCCTGCGCCATGGGAGCCTCCGTACCCACCTTCCCTGTGCAGTCACTCCCCCGCAGTCTCCTGCTCAGACCCTCCTCACCCCCCAGGTTCAAGCAGCTTCTCCTGACCCAGGCAGACAAGTTCTCTCCAGCTGAGGTGAGGCTGCCCAGCCCCTTCAATACTCATCCCCAGCACCTTCTCTGGGCCTTCACCCATGACCCAGAGCCCAGTACCAGTGAGGCAGTTGCTGGAAGGGTGAGCCGAGGGCCCTTCTGGAGGAGGTGCCATCTCTGTTGAGACCTAGAGGGTAAAGATGTGGAGTCAGAAAAGAGGGCAGGGTGCGCCAGGCAGGGAGACTGTGCACAGACCTGGGGGGAAGTGGATAGGGAGAGGTTTCGTACACTCGGGGTGGGCCTGTGCCTGTGGCTGGAGGGGCGTCCTTTGCCTCTTGGCCCACATTTGCACTGACTCCTCACTCTGCCCAGAGTCAGCCAAGAGAAAAACATTAACCCAGAGTCTGGGGTCTAGGGTTGAAAAGCTAAGGCAAAAAGCACAGATGCAGGGGGCAGACAGAAAGGCCACAGGACTCAGGTGAGGTCTCTGCCGGGCTGGGCCAGGAGCCAGGGGACTGCCACTCACCAGTGTCCCCTGCAGGTGGAGCAGATGTTCGCCCTGACACCCATGGACCTGGCGGGGAACATCGACTACAAGTCACTGTGCTACATCATCACCCATGGAGACGAGAAAGAGGAATGAGGGGCAGGGCCAGGCCCACGGGGGGGCACCTCAATAAACTCTGTTGCAAAATTGGAATTGCTGTGGTGTCTTGTCTGTGACAGATGGGTTGGGGACCAGCCAAGGGGGATCCCAGGGTCTCAGTGCGCACATCACCATGATCATGGCCACCATCTACCTCCTGGGAGCTGGCCCCTCGCCAGCTCACCTTGATTCACTCCCATGATGCCAAGTGAAGTGTGAACTATGATCATGCCTAGTTTACAGATGAGGACACTGAGGCCCAGAAAGTGTGAGCATCTTACCAAGGCCAGCCCTCTAGAAGAGGAGATGGTGGGATTTACACCACCTCCACCAAGCCCAGGAATGAGCCACAAAGTGGGCACTGCCCAGCTACTTGGGGCTGTGCAGAGAAGAGGCTGCTTGCTGGGCACTCAGCAAACTCTGCCCAACAGCCCAGCGGGTGGGCAGCAGCCCTGGGACCCCCACACCCAACCACACAGCCTCCCCTGGCCCACTGCTCGCACCCCATCTCAATACACTGGCTTGGGTGCCTCCCTGCATGGGCCCTTTGTGAAAGGCAGAGAGGTACCCATTTGAAACACAACCAGCTTCTCATTGCAAATACAGGCAAGGCACTAAGACATGAGGAACATGGACACCAAAGCAGGGGCCAGGTAACATGCAAATTTCTAGAGGAAATGCCCAGAACCTGGCATCATGCCTCCTGAGCCCCTCATGCGCCGTGAGGGGTAAGAGGGTCAGACAGCTGGAGTGTAGGGAGACGACTTCTCAGGAGAGAATAGTTAGTGCTCCCGTCACCCTTCATCTGAGAACCCAAGAGCTAGAGGAGAAAGTGATCCTCATGAGTACCAGAGGAGCAGCAGGGGACATCCAAAGCACCAGAGAGAGAAACAGAGACAGAGAGACAGGCAGTGACAGCTCAAACCTCAGCCAGATCCAGAGCATACAAAGTCTCCTGCCTACAGGACAGCCCAGTAAGAGCTCTCAGCTTGCCTCCTTCCCTCCCCACAAGCCCTGCTGCAATCCCTGTACCTGGGGGTCAGTGGGAAGGAGGTGAGCGAGAAAGGAGGGGCACCCCTTCCTGAAGGCCCCAAGAGGAAAGGCGTTTTCACCCAGACAGGTGTTCAGTTTTGATTTTATCTGGCGCCTGGCAATTTAATTACTAAATTGAAACTTGAGACTTTCTGGAATTATGGCATTTTCTGTTGCTTAGAGAGATTACAAAAGTCACGAACTGCCTGAGTTTCCATCCTGAAAGCAGGCCACCAGCCCACTCCACTGACCATGCTGGAACAGTGGATGAACAAAATCAAGTACCATTAGGATTCTACCACATGAGTCTGCTTGTTCAACAAGCTGATTTCATAAAGTAAGGGATCATGTTATAATCCAAGCTCTACAGGGGTAAATTGTGAAAGACTAAAATGAACCAAAAAGATCATAGGTGTCCAGTTATCTGATTTGATGGGGTGTCTGAACCTTTTGTTATCTTTGAGCTGTTTCAAAACTCTCTAAATTATTATTATTATTTTTGAGACAGAGTCTCTCTCTGTCACCCAGGCTGGAGTGCAGTGGCATGATCTCAGCTCACTGCAACCTCCACCTCCCAGGTTCAAGTGATTCTCATGCCTCACCCTCCCAAGTAGCTAGTATTACAGATGGGCACACCTTGCCTGGCTAATTTTTGTATTTTTAATAGAGACGTGGTTTCACCATGTTAGCCAGGCTGGTCTCGAACTCCTGACCTCCGTTGATCCACCTGCCTCTGCCTCCCAAAGTGCTGGGATTACAGGGGTGAGCCACCGTGCCCTGCCACAACTCTAAATTATAACTAATAGCAAGGCAATGGTTCTTCTCTATTAACGTGCAAATAAATGTTGTCCAGTGGAAGCACAACTGATTTTTCCCTTCTCTGTGGAAGAAGCCAATTTTGCATCTATTAAGCAAATTCATCTGGGCATTCCTAACCGTCTACACATGCACCGGCTCTTTGAATTCTTCTCTGAACCAGGCCCAGGAATAAGCCACAAGATGAGCACTGCCCAGCTCCTTGGGCTGTCACATCTTATTGATTCCCACATGAATTCACAAGTAAATAAAATATTTGGCGGTTGTTCACTTAGTATGCAAGTCAATATTTTGCTTTAAAAATATTATCCTTTCACACTCCTGATATAGTTGTCTGATAAGGTTAGTCCTTCCCACACCAAAACTGCCTGTATTAGTGTTGTTTGGAATAAACTGAGGGTAGAATGTATATGGTGTGTGTATGTGGTGTGTGTGTTTGTGTGTGTGTGTGTGTGAGAGAGAGAGAGAGACAAAAGAGAGAGACAGAAGGATAGAGAGAAACAGATGGGCACAGACCCAGGACATGAGTTCAGCCTACACTGACCAATATGACAGCCACTGGCCACTTGAAATGTGGTGTGAGTTGGGATATGCCAAAAGTGTAAAATGCACACAATATTTTGAAGATTTCATACAAAAAAGAATGCAAACATCTCATTAATAACTTTTATATAGATCACATGTTGAAATGATAATGTTTTGGATATTAGATTATTACTAAAATTAATTTCACCTATTTCTTTTCACTTTTTAAATGTGGCTACTAGAATATTTAGAATTCCATAAGTGGCTTGCATTTCTGGCTTTCACTCCTGTTGGAAAGCACTGAGTTAGACTGTGTAGTACGTCTATTTAAGACTGCAGTTTCCAGGCCGAACACCGTGGCTCACGCCTATAATCCCAGCACTTTGGGAGGCCGAGGCGGGCAGATCACCTGAGGTCAGGAGTTTGAGATAAGCCTGGCTAACGTGGTGAAACCCTGTCTCTACTAAAAATACAGAAATTAGCCAGGTGTGGTAGTGCATGCCTGTAGTCCCAGCTACTAGGGAGGCTGAGGCAGGAGAATCTCTTGAACCCAGAAGGGGAGGTTGCAGTGAGCCAAGATCAAGCCACTGCACTCCAGCCTAGATGACAGAGCAAGACTCCATCTCAAAAAAAAAAAAGTAGAATAAAAATAAATAAATAAATAAAGACTGCAGTTTCTGGGAGACTCTGAGGCAGGCATTAGCCTTCTCTGCAGAGAGTACTTGCAGCAGGGAGCAGCAGTTTTGATGTCCTCAAAAGGAGCCAATTTCATTTGGGTAGGGTTGCCTCTGAGTATTCTAGCAGTACAGACAGAAAGGAGAGAAGGCTGTTTCCAGAAAGCAGAGATCATACGAATTACTTGTGAGACCAAACTTGTTCCTCAGGTGAAGCTCAGGCATCCCTTATGTGGAGTGTCTAACAGTCTACACCTGAGGATGTTGGACATAAGGGGGTGTGAGGTGGGCATGGCTGGGGAGAGCTCTGGGAGGGGGAAAACCAGCTCCATGTTGTCCACCCACTGAAAGGAAAGCTCCCTCTGGGGGAGGTAGATGCCCCCTGGCCAGGCCTGCAGGGCCCTGCTCACTGTGAGCCCTGTGTGGTCCTGGCCTGGGTCCCACCAGCCATTGCCAGGCAACAGCTCCCAGTTGGAAAACAGAGCAAGGCTCCCTCTTAGAAAAAAAAAAAAGAAAGAAAGAAAAGAAAAGAAATACAACAGGTAACTAAGCATGACGGCTCACGCCTGAAATCCCAGCTACTTGGGAGGCCAAGGCAGAGGATTGCTTGAGACTGGGAGGTTGAGGCAGCAGTGAGCCAGGATTCTGCAATTGCACTCCAGCCTGGGTGACAAAGTGAGACCCTAGTAAAAAAAAAAAAAATAGAGACAGAGAAAGAAAGACATGCAACAGGGCCAGGCGCAGTGACTCATACCTGTGATCCCAACACTTTGGGAGGCAGAGAAGGGAGGATTGCTTAAGACCAGGAGTGCAAGACCAACCTGGGCAACATGGCAAAAACCCATCTCTTCAAAAAATAAAAAAATTAGCCTGTTGTGGTGGTGCGCACCTATAGTCCCAGATATTCAGGGAGCTTGAACCAGGTCCAGGCTGCAGTAAGCCATGATCGTGCCACTGCACTCCAGCCTGGGTGACAGAGCGAGACCTTGTGAGAAAGAAAAGAAAGAAGGGAAGGAAGGAAGGAGGGAAGGAGGGAAGGAGGGAGGAAGGGAGGAAGGAAGAATATAGGACCCAAAGGCCTAAATGCCCCTACTGTGCCCCAGTTCTGCGTGACTCAGGACCAGCCTCCTCCACACTCCCACCACCACAACCCTGCACCCTACTTGTTCCTGGGGGCCCCAAGGGGAGCCTCACCAGAAGCCTCCTCATAAACCCACTGCCCCTTACCTTTCCTGTCTTTCTAGAAGCCTCAGAAGCCTTGCCACTCTAAGGACACCTCCATCTGAGCCAAGGCGCTCGCTCCAGATGTCCCAGAGCTCCTGGTCCTGGGTGTCCCTGCCACACAACCCCCCATGGAGCCCTGCTCTGGCTCAAGCCCCCTGACTGTGCATGAGCAGGCCTGTTGCCCTCACTGGGACTGTCCAGAGCCTTCCCATCTCTCTGGAGGGACTTCCATCAGTTTCTGCCCCTTCTCCTCTGCCAAGAACTCACGTTCAGTCTGATAGCAGAAGAATCATCTGGCACCCTCCTGAATGGAACCCAGAGTACCTCCTTTGTGGACCGGTCTCTGGATTTTCCCCACTCTCTCCCTTCAGCCATGCTGATGGCAGAGAAGGTAAGAACTTCCAGCCCACTTCTCTGGCGAGGGGAACTTGTCATCTGGGTCTGCAGAGAAGGTTCCACCTTATGCTCATAGTACATTATCTTTACTATGTACTAGGATATCACATTTAAAAGGACAAAAAAGGCCAGGCAGTGGCTCATGCTTGTAATCCTAGCACTTTGGGAGGCTGAGGCAGGTGGATTACCTGAGGCCAGGAGTTCAAGACCAGCCTGACCAACATGGCGAAACCCCATCTCTATTAAAAATACAAAAATTAGCTGGGTGTCGTGGCATGTGCCTACAATCCCAACTACTTGGGAGGCTGAAGCAAGAGAATCACTTGAACCCAGGAGGCAGAGGATGCAGTGAGCTGAGATCGTGCCACTGCACACCAGCCTGGGCGACAAACCGAGACTCCATCTCAAAAAATAATAATAATAAAATACAACAAAATAAAAGAACAAAAAAAAAGAAATGTAAAATACTTGAAGGGGCTTGTATAACATTAATAGGATTGACAGTATCTGCTTTCCAGGCTGAAGTGATTCATTCATTATTCTAGACGTCTTTAGTCCTTTGCAATTTGTGGTAATTAGGCTTTTCTTTTTAACATTAAAAATATACAAAAATAAAAGGCAAAAAAAGCATCATCCCATTAGTCTGACCTTCCCCTCCTCCATCCCTGCCCCAACACCCTGAAGACCCTGGATGCAAACAAAGGCCCGAGGGAGCCTCTTCCCTCGCAGTGCAGGCCTCACCTGGGGCTCAGAGTCAGAATCTGCATTTTATTCCCTAGGACAACCTCTAGTCAGGGCAGAGGCCGGCTGTGCTGCCCAAGTGCCCTAACCCTAGCTTTGAGGCACCAGAAGGGCAAATGCAAATTAAAAATGAGAATAAGTTTATTCTCCTTGGTGAAAAAAAAAAAAAAAGACTTTCCCCTCTCCTTTTTCTTTAGAAAATCTATCATTGCAAGTTCCTTCCTGGACTTTTTTTATGTAGATCTGTTCAAAAGCTAAATAAGCCTCTTTCAAGTTTCACATCCCAGGAATGTCTCCTTAAGGACCTAGGAGCCACCATTTGAAGTGTAATCACCAAGGGAGATACATCCTTATCTCCCAGTTTCCGTGGGCAAAGGGGAGCCTAACTTTAGCCCGGTGCCTAGCTCAAGTTGCAAACACACTTCCAGTCTTAAAGGAATGAATTTATTTTTTTTCCTTTAGGCAAACCCAGGTAGCCACCACAGTTACCTGGGGATTCACAGAGAACTGTGTGTGACCACTGGTGCTGTCAAGTCCTCTTACCTGAGCACCTGTGACGTTTCCCTTGAGAACGTGTACGGGATGGGTTGCACCTGGTTATATACAAGCGTGAGACTTCTTTCTGCCTTTGTAATTTATTAGCAGATTATCTGTGATGAGCATCGCAATCTGTTTAATGCCTATTCAATAATTAAATTTTTCTTTCTCTTCTTTTGTGGAAAGGTTTTCTGCATTGGCAGGAGATTTTTGTTTTCGATTATGTCCCCAACATGCCTGATGTTCCACCCCTCAAGAGCCTCAGCCTTGCCCAGGGAGGGCATGGGGGTGAGTGGCCTCTCCCACAGAGAGTGCTGGCCAAGTTGGCCCAGGTGCGCAGCAAGGGCTGCTGCCCAAAGGCTCCCTCCTGGTTGGCATGGGTCGGGACCCTGTTGTGTTGTGTTTTCGCTCTTTTTCGTAGAGTTCAAGGGGGTCCTGCTATGTTGTCCAGACTGGTCTTGAACTGACCTCAAGGGATCCTCTCGTCTCAGCCTCCCAAAGTGCTGGGATTACTGTGCCCAGCTTTGTGTTGTATTTTCTGATCTTATCCTGCAACCTCTTGAGCCCCCAACCTGGGCCCCAGTTCCTGCTGTGCCCCAGCCTGCCAGCCCTCTCTCTCTGCATATTCTTTCTTTAGCTGAGTTAACACCACTGATAAGGTTAAAGACAGGCTCTTAAATTTCTGCCCTGGCATGAGAAATATGTGACCCACATGCTTCTCCAGCTTAGCTGTCCAGTGTAACTGTCAGGGACTGATGGGCGCGTGCTGGCCCACAGCCCACCTCAGTCCTGACCCTCCCTGACAGGCTGAGAGAGGCCCCAGCCTGAACCTGGACTCCCCCATGTTCTGATATTCCTGCACAAGAGTGCAGAGGCCTGGTTAAGCTGGAGAAACATAAGGAATAGGTAGGTCTGCACACACTCACCTCTTCCTTTGCAGTGAACCTTCTAGAATCTTCTAGATGGAAAAGCTGGGGGTGTGGAGGTGTAGGGATAGGACAGCTGGGGGAGGCCTTGGCCAAGGTCAAGGAGTAGGCCCAGTCTCCCTCTCTGTGTGCCTGTCTGGGACTCGGTTTCCTGTCTGTGAAGCAGGGCTGGACGGGATATTGACAGCACCTGATGGTCATTGAGCTCCTCTGCCCCAGGCACTCAGCTGCTGGGCACAGTGCACACGTGGCAGTCCGGTGCCCTCTCACGCTCCGTGATGACTGAGTCTGTAGTTACACCCCTGGCCTCAGAATAAAGACTACACTTTCTGCCTCCCTCACTGGCAGGTATGACTAGGTGTGGTGGCAGTTTTCTCCTTAAGAGACAGATGTTTGTGCCTCCCTCCAACCCGCTGGCTAACACCTAGCTGGCACACAGCCTCCTGGGGCTATGAAGATGAGGGCCACAGCCACAGGGTGGGGGAGCCGTGAGCTGGGTCTGGCTGCGTCTCTGACATATGGGGGCATCACACATCACCTCTACCTCCCATCGAATGCTACACGAAGAGAACAAACTCCACCTGATGGAAGCTGCTGTTGTTTGAAGTCTTTCATGCTCACAACAGAACCTAACCCCAACCAATACAGTATGAGTATTGGCCCCACGTGGTTAAGCAAGCTGTCCAAGGTTACACACAGCTGGGAGGTGGTGGAGCTGGGTTTGAGCCTGTTATTGACCTTTGTGCAGACAGACCTCAGAGCAGAGCACAAGGCAGCAAGGCTGTGGGTCTGGGGCTCCCTCTCCAGGAGAATCAACTGGCTGCACACAGCCTGGAGAGCCCATGGGCAACCTGAGTCCTTGCACCTGGAAGTTTCTGTGTCCCACACATATCCAGGAGCTTAAAATGAAGATGTCTGAATTACCCAACCTCTTGATAGCACCAACCCAACCTTCCCAGCCTCCTCTTCTGAGGTCAGCCCAGAGCAAGCCCCTTGCAAAGCTGATTTAACTCAGAACCACTGGGCATACCCACAGGGCAGTGACCCTGCAGCCCTCGATCAAATGTGCAGATGGACTTGGGGGTGGGCTGGTACCCCAGATGGCCTCATTCTCCCAGGGTTGCAGAGCCCCTGAAAGCCACAGCCCTGTGTGCACACCACTGGGGAGTCATCACAGGATACTTCAAGAATTCAGTGCCAGGCAAGGTGGCTCATGGCTGTAATCCCAGCACTTCGGGAGGCTGAAGCGGGCAGATCACCTGAGGTCAGGAGCTAGAGACCACCCTGGTCAACATAGGGAAACCCCATCTCTACTAAAAATACAAAAATTATCTGGGCGTGGTGGCGGGTGCCTGTAATCCCAGCTACTCAGGAGGCTGAGACCGGAAAATCGCTTGAGCCTGGGAGGCAGAGGTTGCAGTGAGCTGAGATTGCACTGCTGCACTCCAGCTTGGGGGACAGAGTAAGACTCCATCTCAGAAAAAAGAGTTCTGTGTATCATTTAATGTGGAGATCCTCCCATCACGAGGATGAGGCTGTTTCTCTACTCCCCAGATCTGGGCTGGCCTGTGGTTTGTTGACCTCAGCCTTGTAGTTCTCACTTTCCTGGAACCTGAATGCCACCACGCGACATCCATAAGACAAAGCCCAGGATAAAAGATCACTTGGAGAGACAGGCCTGGCCTGGCACCACCCCGGCTGAGGCTGGACCCCTGGGAAGGAGACTCTGATGGACCTCCAGACCCAGTCAAATGACCACTTCCAAGGTCAGGCAAGAAGGGACAAAGAGCCACTGGCTCAGCCCACAGCATCTGAGAAATAAGAAACCGCTGCATTTTTTGAGCCAGTAAGATTTGACAGGTTTGTTTTGCAGCAATAGATGAGTGGTACCTCATCTTAGCCCATGTTCTGATGAAGACAAACAGTAGCATTGACAAAGTTTTAAGAAAAGTTAACCAAAAACTGGGATTCCTTTCTTCATTTTGACCCTTTGTTACAAGAAACAGAGGCCCACCCCACCAGACTCACTGTTCACTGGTCCCTGAGTGCCTGTGAGTCTCAGTGGGAGTTACCTTGAGACCAGCCCTTCTGAGTGGAGGGTGCTGGGTGCTGAGGTCAAGTCGAGCTCAGTCCAGGCTAAAAGGAGAGCAGCTCTGGCCAGGCTGTCAGGGCTGTGGCCTCCCCAAGAACCTCCTACCCTGGCCCCTCCAGGCTTTGCTGCTATGGTTGTGTGAGGGGAGTTGCTGTCCCAGCATTCTGGCCCCCTTGCCCCCAGCCCCTCCCTGACCTCCACGGGCTTCAGGCCTCAGTCCAGAGTCACCTCCTCTAGGAAGCCATCCCCCAGTGCAAGTCTGGGCAACATTCCTCCTTGCCTGGCCCACCTGCTCACTCTCATGCTATGGCTTTCTGTAAGCAAACACAAAGATAGGAACAACTCTGTCCCTGGCACAGAGCAGATGCTCTGGCAATATCTCATGAGTGAATGAAGGCACATGACAAACCTCCAGACCTGTGGAGACTGAAGGCTGAGAGCCTTTATAGATGCTGTGGGGCCGAGGAGTTTGCCAACTACAGCAGGTCATGCCCAGAGGTTTCTCTCTGGGTAGCAAGGTGTGTCTCCCACCAAAGGCCATTGGCATGGGGCCCGCCCTGCTGACCCGAGGCAGTGCACAGCAGAGGCCAGATGCAGTGAGAAGGAGCCTCTCCTTGGCCTGCTGTCTGCTGCCATGCCTGTGGGGGCGTGGACACAAGTGTGTGGCATAGAAGGTGGTGTGGCAGGTGAGAGGTTGGGGGTGTGTATGTAGCAGGTGTCTGTGTGTGTATGTGCATGTGGGGGTGTGTGTGCATGCATGTGTGTGTGTGCATATGCACGTGTGTGCATATGCATGTGTGTGCATGGAGAGAGAAGACCTCCTCTTTCTGGCCCCTCTCCTAGCTGCCCCCCTCCCTCCTGCTGCCAACACACTGTCAACCCTTCACTGTCTTTTTCCTTGGGACTCGTTGATCTGTCTCTACCATCCCAGGTGTCTGGAGCAGCCTCTAACCTTCCATCTGCCAAGGTACTTCAGCCCCACCCCTCCCAGCTGTGGAATGTCCCCTAGGATGTGCCACTGACACAAAGAGCCACACAGCTCCAAAATAGAATATTATCTAACCCACTGCTCCCTTTGCTGTCAGCAACACCTCCACCATGCTTCTCCCAGGACCCCCCTTGAACTCTCTGCTTCCTCCCTGAGGCCAAAGGAAAGACAGGAAAGGGGCCACCTTCCTGTCCTTGGGTCCCACAGAGATGTATCCTTGTAATGAAACCTACTTTATGCTTGAGTTGTATCCAGTTAGTTTCTGTGGCTTGCAATCAAGACCCACACCCACCTCAACCCAGGCTCTAGAGAGTAGACCCTTGTTTTTGCCTGGCTTGGGTCGACCTGGCACCTGCCAGGGTCCCAGCCTCTGAGTCAGCCCACCTTGCCCTCATCGGTGCCACCTCCAGGCGGCTGTACATAGACTCTGGCTTCTGCCCTGGCCTGGCCTCTGGGAACTGCAGCTGTCTGCTTCCATCCTATGTGGATGGTGCCTGAAAGTGAATAGGGATCAGTTACCAGCCCAGTATCTGTCCCCTTCTCAATAGCACTGATTCCTATGGGGAACTGCTTTTCTTGGACTATGTATGGGTTTGGTGGGAGGGTAGTTCCTGTAACCAACCCTACAGGGTGTAGGAACCTAGACTCTCAGCAACATAACAGGCAGCAGGCTCCCAAGCTAAGTCTGGCCAGCTGGGCCACCTCTCCCAGATTCTGTTTCATGAGAGCATCATCCAAGAGCAGTGGGAACACTGGGGACGGTCCAGCCTAGGACTGGTATGCAGATCAGAGAATCCCAGATAGAAGGTGATTGCTGTTCTTCCAGTTTCTTGGCCCTCCAGAGCAACCATACTTCCCATCTGCCCCAAAACCTGATCCTCCAAACTCCCACCATTTCTGTGCATCCCCAATATCTAATAGATCAACTGCCTTTCATTTACATTTGTCACAACCAAATGATACACCTGCCCTTCACCCACTACTGAACTGCAGCTGGGTTAGTCCAAATTCAGGGCCCACGTGTCATTTCAAGCCTGTCTTGAATAATGTACACCTTCCTGCAATGTGAGGATGGCCACCACCTTGGTCTTATACCCACGGGTGTCCTGAGCTACATTTCTCATAATCAAAAATAAACTCAACACATCACTCCAGCCTGAGCAACAGAGCAAGACACTAGCTCTAAAAATAAAAAATAAAAACAAACAAATGAAAAACCCAGCAAACTTGGGGAAAGAGGAAGCACCTGATTTCCAGAGTTTCCACATCATGAGATGCAAATGTCCAGTTTTCAACAACAACAACAACAACAAAAAAAAAATCACAAGGCATACAAAGAAATAGGAGACTAAGACCCACTCAAAGGAAAAGAATAAATAAGCAGAAGCCATACCAGAGGAAAACCAGATGGCTGACTTACTAGACAAATACTTTAAAACAACTGTCTTAAAGATGCTTGAAGAGCTAAAGGAAAATGTGAACAAAGTCAAGAAAGTGATGGAACAAATGGAAATTCCAATAAAGTGATAGAAAACTTTTTGGAGTTTTTTTTCTTGGTAGCAAAAAATTATGAAGCTGAAGAATACAATAAATTCCCTAGAGGGCTTCAAAGGCAGATGTAAGCAAACTTGGCCAGGTGCAGTGGCTCATGCTCATAATCCAGCACTTTGGAAGGCTGAGGCAGGAGGATTGCTTGAGCCCAGGAGTTTGAAACCAGCCTGGGCAACATAGAAAAACCCTATCTTTAAAAAAACTTATATAAAATTTAAAAATTATAAAATTTATTTAAAAAATCAGCAATTTGAAGACTGGACAGGGAAATTATCAAATTTGAGGAACAGAAAGGAAAAAGATGGAAGAAAAATAAACAGAGCCTAAGAGACCTGCGGGACACCATCAAGCAGACTAATACCCATTGTGGAAATTCCAGAAAGAAAAGAGAGTGAAGGACCAGAGAGATTATTAGGAGAAATAATGGCTGAAAATGTCTCAAATTTGATGAATGACATGAATATGAACATTCAAAAATCTCGACAAACTCCAAGTAGGAAAAACTCAAAGATACTCATACTGAGATTCATCATAATCAAACTGCTGAAAGCCAAAGACAAGGAGACAATATCAAAAGCTGCAAGAGAGAAGTGACTCATCACATACAAGGGATCTTCAAAAAGATTATCAGATATCTTGGCTGGGCACGGTGGCTCACACCTGTAATCTTAGCACTTTGGGAGGCCGAGGCAGGTGGATCACTTGAGGTCAGGAGTTTGAGACCAGCCTGGCCAACATGGCAAAAACCCATCTCCATTAAAAATACAAAGATTGGTGAGGCATGGTGGTGCATGCCTGTAATCCCAGCTACTCGGGAGGCTGAAGCAGGAGAATCACTTGAACCTGGGAGGCGGAGGGTGCACCAAGCCAAGATCGTGCCACCACTGCACTCCAGCCTGGGTGACAGAGTGTGACCTTGTTTCAAAAAAAAAAGAAAAAGAAAAAGAAAAAAAAGATCATCAGCTATCTCATCAGAAACCTCAGAGGCCAAAAGGCAGTAGATTGATATATTCAAAGTGCTAAAAGAAAAAAATAAATCTGTCAGCTGAGAATCCTGTATCTGTATCTCACTTAACCATTATTTTAAAATAAGGGAAAATGAAGACATTCCCAGATAAACACAAGCTGAGGGAGTTCATTATCACTAGATCTGCCCTGCAAAGAAAGCCAAAGAAAGCCTTTCAGGATGAAATGAAAGGATACTAGACAGTGACTCAAAGCTGAATAAAGAGGCCAGGCATAGTGGCTCACACCTGTAATCTCAGCACTTTGGGAGGCTGAGATGGGCGGATCACCTGAGGAGTTGGAGACCAGCCTGGCTAATATGGTGGAACCCCATCTCTACGAAAAATACAAAAATTAGCCAGGTGTGGTGGCACATGCCTGTAATCCCAGCTACTTGGGAGGCTGAGGCAAGAGAATCACCTGAACCCAGGAGGCGGAGGTTGCAGTGAGCCGAGATTGTGCCACCGCACTCCAGCCTGGGTGACAGAGTGATACCCTGTCTCAAAAAAAAAAGCCGAATAAACGAATAAAGATCTCATCTATGGCCGTACCACCCTGAATGTGTCCAATCTCAGAAGCTAAGCAGAGTTGGGCCTGGTTAGTACTTGGAGGGGAGAAATAACGGTCTATGCTAAAGGAAAATTCAGGTGCAATTAAAGTAAAATTAATTATATAAAAGAGAATACATTAAAAGCTAGTATTATTGTAACTTTGGTTTGTAATTCCACCAAGTGGAATTTGTTCCTGAAATGCTAGAATGGTTCAACATAAAAATCAATAAATGTAATAGACCACATTAACAGAAAAAAAACCCACACGGTCATCTCAATTGATGTCAAAAAAGTATTTGACAAAATTCAACACTCTTTTGAAAGAAGAAAAAGCTCAACAAACTAAGAATAGGAGGAAACTACCTCAAATAATAAAATCCATAGGCCAAATCCCCAAACTCACAGCTAGCAACATATTTAATGCTAAAGACTGAAAGCTTCCCCTTTAAGATCCGGAATAAGACAAAGATGCCCACTTTCACCACTTCTACTCAACATAGTATGGGAAGTTCTAGCCAGAGTAATCAGGTAAGAAAAAAGAAATAAAAAGCATCTGAATTGGAAAGGAAAAAGTAAAATTATTTGTTTGCCCAATACATGTACAATGTTTCAGGTGAAGGCTCAGAACAGTACAACCTTACCAGCAAGAGTCCTGCTGTCTCTGTGTGAATCCCAGCTATTACTCACTAGCTACATGATCTCTCTTGCCCTCCCTGCCTCAATTTCCTCATGTGTAAAGTGGGAGAAAAATAATAGTTCATGCTTCAAAGGTTTTTTGTTTGTTTGCTTGCTTTGAGACAGCGTCTGGCTCTGTCGCTCAGGCTGAAGTGCAGTGGTGCAATCTTAGGTCACTGCAACCTCAGCCTCCTGGGCTTAAGCGATCCTCCCACCTCGGCCTCCCAAAGTGTTGGGATACAGGCGTGAACCACTGTGTCTGACCCAAAGGATTATTTGAGGAGCAGATGAATTAATGTGTCATAACCTCAAAGCAGTTGCAAAGGCGTTTAATAATTAAAATATCACATTTTAAATTAAAATATAAGGCTGGGCGTGGTGGCTCATGCCTGTAATCCCAGCACTTTGGGAGGCTGAGGTGGGAGGATCACTTGAGCCCAGGAGTTCCACACTAGCCTGGGCACCATTGGGAGACCCTGTCTCTACACACACACGCACACACACACACACACACACAAACTTAAAGTAGCCAGGCGTGGTGCTGCGCGCCTGTTGTCCCAGCTACTCGGGAGGCTGAGGCGGGAGAATCACTGGAGCCTGGGAGTTCGAGGCTGCAGTGAGCCGAGATCGCACCACTGCACTCCAGCCTGGGCCACAGAGCAAGACGCTGCCTCAAACAAACAAACAAAAACAAAAATTAAAATATTAAGTAATAATTAACGAGTGTTAATATCCACTCGTTGTGGAGACAAGACCTGGACTTAGGAAACAGGCCCAGGGAAGTAGCAGAACAGTAGCGCTAGAGGACGCCTGGGAGAATCAGCGCGCGGCGGGAAGAGCCCGGGAAGCTTAGTGGGGAAGCGTCTCTTGATGGGGTGAGGAATTCTATAAATTAGTGGAGATGGAAAAAAAAAAAAAAAAGTATTCCCAAAGTGGGAGACAGCACTCAGAAAGACGTGGTGGTAAGAACGAGTATGAGTAACGGGGACAACGAGGACACTGGAGATTGGGGAGTGTTGGGCTGGAAGCTGGTGTGCAGCTGTGGGCAAGCTAGGGAGGACCCCGAAACCGCCAATGCGTTTCCCGGACGCAGACGCTGGCAGGACGGGAGGAACCCCGAGACCCCGCGCCATCCCTTCAGGAAGAGTTACTTCTCCCCGGCCAAGTTAGTGGGCCTTGGGCCTTCTTTCTGTTGGGATCCTCCTCGCGTGTCGCCATCGCTACAAGTGGGCAGCTCTGCGGGGAAAGCTGGGACGCTGGGGGCTTCACCAAGGAGGCTGGCGGCCGACCACTGGGAGGTCTGGCGGGGTGACGACCACTGGGAGGTTTGGGCAGGGCCTGACGGGGTGACGCGGTCAGCCCACTGGAGGCCGACACCCCCCGTCAGCCCAACCCCTGCACGCGCGGCCGCCAACCAAAGACCCGCGGCGCCGGCCTGCGAGCCCCCGCCCCGCGTTGCCCAGGAAACCGAGGGTGTGGCTCCGCGTTCTCTGGGCGTCCCAGGGACTGGGCGCACAGTGGTCGGCGGGATGAGGCGCCTGGTGACGGACGGGGCGAGGAGGGCAGCGATTGGTGAGATTAGGCGATGGGCGGGGAAGCCGCGCGGGGATTAGCGAGTTGCGGCGATGGGCGGGGCAGGCGCGCGGGGATTGGCGGGATGCGGCGCGCCGCGCGGTGAGTGGGGTCCAGGGAAACGGGGTCAGCTGGGGGTGGCAGTTCCAGGCCGCGAGGCCGGGCTCCTGGGTCGGTGGGCTGGTGTCTTGGCGGACGTCCCGCAGCTGCCGCGTGGATCCGAGCCGGGGCACCCGCCGTGACTGGGACAGCCCCCAGGGCGCTCTCGGCCCCATCCCGAGTAGCGCGGCCTGGCTGCTGCCGCCATCAAGCACGTTCGAGCCAAAAGCTCCTAACGAGTCACTCGTTAGACACGTGTGCGGAGCCTGTGTCCCAGGCCAGTGCTGTCCCGTGGAGATAGATTGCAAGCCGCTAGGGAATTTTTTAACTTTCTAGTAGGTGTACGAAAAAAGTAAAACGAAACAAATCAATTGGAGTAAATCCATAAATATATTCAAACTATTATTTCAATTGTATGTGAAAAAATTATTGGGATATTCTTTGTACTATTCTTAGAAATCCATTGTGTGTCCAACCCAAACATCACAGTTGGACTCACCACATCTCCTGTACTTCGTAGCCCTAGGTGGCTAGTGGCATAAGACACAAAAATCTCAGCTCTCCTGGAGCTTATGGTCTAGTTGGAGCAGGCAGACAATACATTTAAAATATACAGTTTGTTAGAAGGTAAATGTTGTAAACAACAATAACAGTTGAAGTACTGGGGAGAGTTGCAGTTGTAAATCAGATGGGCAGGGCACAAGGTAACATTTGAGTAAAGATGTAAGAACTTGAAGGAGATGGGCAAGTGAGCTCTATAAGTATACGGGAGAGGGGCAAGCAAGAGTTCAGAGGCCCCTTGCTGTGGGGAGGGATCCAAGGTGGAGGAGTGGGAACCAGGAGGGGAGAGGACCAGTGGAGCAGATCTCATAGGCAGTTGTAAGGACTTGGGGCCTTATTCAATGAAATGAGGACACTTTGGAGAGTTTTGAACAGAGCAGTGACTGATTTATGTTTTGGTTTTGGTTTAGTTCTATTATTATTTAATAATAGGCTTATTATTTCACAGAAGTTTTATTTAATAAGGCAGACCTCTTGTCTGGAAATGAGACAGGTGCCGGAGAGCTGGATGGAGGCAGATCGGGAATTCCATTTGGGGCAAACTGAACTTGATTGAGACCCTGGTAGTTGTCCAGATGGAACAGGACACCTGAGTCTAGGGTTCGGGAAGAACTCCAGATGGGACAAACACTCCTAGCTTTCCTTTTCTCTTTTTGGATGACCGCTACAGGGTGAGACATCGGTATCCAGGCACGATAAATTTCCAAGTGGACACAATGTCTGGTGTCAACTACAGCTGTTCTCCTTCTTTTCCCAGTATCCTTTGGGTGCAGTGAGACACCAGGAGAGCTGCTGCTTTGGGGGATGGACAGGGGCAGCAGGAATGCCTTTGTGTTTTCGCAGTGAACCTCCTTGGCCTGGGCGAAGCTGTGTGGACCAAGCAAGTCAGGAGTGTGGCCATGTTTTCTGAGCAGGCTGCCCAGAGGGCCCACACTCTACTGTCCCCACCATCAGCCAACAATGCCACCTTTGCCCGGGTGCCAGTGGCAACCTACACCAACTCCTCACAACCCTTCCGGCTAGGAGAGCGCAGCTTTAGCCGGCAGTATGCCCACATTTATGCCACCCGCCTCATCCAAATGAGACCCTTCCTGGAGAACCGGGCCCAGCAGCACTGGGGTAAGTGAGAGTTTGGGAAGGTGCTTCCCCCACAGCATCCCTGAACTTAGAAGTGTTCTGCAAGAGAATGGGAACAGTTTATCTAATTGATCCCACTTCCTGTTACCTTGGGAAAATTAACCTCTTTTTCCCTCAGTTTCTTCTTAAGATAGTAACAAGGATTAAATTAAGTAATTTGTGGGTTTGGAGTTAGTTTTAGTTCAGAGGCTGGTTGGAGATGAGGACTTAGTTCTGGCGGTGATGGCGATTACTTCACTGGCAGAGGAAAATGGTTTTCCTATCTTCAGTGCAGATTATTCAGGTATTTGCCTGTGCTGTAGCCAGAGAGCCCCTCAGTGTGGCAAGCCTGGCGCCAGGCACCAGGAGCCAAGACTGGTGAGGATGCACTCTCTGGTCTCGAGGGGACCCCCTCTGTTCACTCATGTCTGTTTGCCTCTCCTCCTGGCCCCCATATTTGCTGGCCATGAATTTTCCTGTCCCTTGGGCCCTCTGTCTTTCCTAATAAAGTGGCCTGCCCAACACAACCCTTGTTCTTTGCCCCCATTTCTTCCCTGGTGATCTCTCCTGCAGTTGGATTACTCTTGGTGGTGAAGCAGGGACCCCCATCTCCCCCTTTGAGTTTATTTGAGTTTTAGGTGCTGCTGCATTCCCCCATTCCTACCACTTACATAAGAGTGGCTTTCCAGGTAATTTTCAAATCCATCTCCTATTATATTTTTAAACTGAGGATTTAGTAGGTGAGACCAGGTCTTACTCATTTTTACTGTCCTTGGCACCAGGCAAAATGGATCTCAGCCCTAGTTGCACATTGGAATCCCCTGGGGAGCTTTGAGAAGCCCATCTCATCCCATGCCAAGCCAAGATCAATTCTCGTTATAGGCAGGCAGGAGAACCCTGGGCCTAGAAATCTAGCTAGAACCTCAAATTCATTAGGGATATGTATTAGTCCATTTTCACATTGCTATAAAAAACTACCTGAGATAGGGTAATTTATAAAGAAAAGAGGTTTAATTGACTCACAGTTCCTCATGGCTGGGGAGGCCTCAGGAAACTTAACAATCATGGCAGAAGGTGAAGGGAAAGCAAGGCTCTTTTACATGATAGCAGGAGAGAGAGAGCAAGGGGAACTGCCAACCATTTTTAAACCATCAGATCGCATGATGGCTTGATCTCACTCACCATCACAAGAACAGCATGGGGGAAATCCACCCCCACAATCCAGTCACCTCCCACCAGGTCCCTCCGTCAACACCGTGTGGATTATAATTCCAGATGAGATGTGGGTGGGGACACAGAGCCAAATCATATCAGGATGTTTTCTGTTTTGTTTACCTGAGACAAAGTGCTGTTCACCTCTCCTCTCCCACATAATCAGGGGCTCCCTCCTGCGGCTCCGGTAGCTTTTCCTCACTTTCCTTTCAGCCCTCGGGACACCTTCCTTGGCTCCTTTCAGAGCTCAGTTACTACTTGGGCCCAATGTCAATGCCACCTTCTAGATTCTTTCCGGCAGCACCTCCTCTGGTCGCACATTTCTCTTCCAGTTATTGGAGCTGTCAAAAAAGCTCCCCAGTGATGGACGATAGCGATTTCACTGTGCTCACAGACTGGTCAGGAAACCAAACAGCTGCCACAGTGAATGTGTTGATAGCAGCGGGGCAGCAGTAGCACTCGCTCACAGGCCTGGTGGTTGGTGCTGGCCCCCACCCTGAATACCTACATGTGGCTTCTCCATGTGGCCTGTGCATCCTCACTGAAGCTCAGCCTGTCTCTCCAAATTGGTCTTTCCACTCACCTGTTCCCCAAACCTGCCCAGACCTTCCTGCTGTAGGCTTTTCCCTTCACTTGGCACACTCTTTCCCTTGTCTTCCCATGGCCCCATCTAAGCCCCACTGTCAGCTGAAGTGTTATATTCTTTGAGGGGCCACCTGAAGCCACCTTGCAATGAGGGCCTCCGTTTTCTACCTCAGCTCACCATTTGTTCACAGCACTTGTCACTGTGGCGAGTTACTTGTCTATGGCCTGTTGTCGTTCTCCTGCCTAGACCCAGTGGGCTGAGTGGGGGCAAGTGTTGGCTTTTATGTCCAGTTTTGATCTTGGTGCCAGCACATTGCCTGGGTGGAAGCATGTCCTACTATCGGTTACAGGGATGTCATTCTGCCCAGTGCTCAGGGGCATACACTTGGATCCCAGTTGTGTGCCCTTGGACACATTGCTTAACCTCTCTGTGCATCAGTTGGGTGATAATATCTACTCCTGGCACATTTTCAGCGTTGGCTGAGTTACATGTACAGTGCTTAGGCCACCTGGGGGAGAGTAAGAGTGGGATACGTGAGGATGTGGAGTCTGTTGCATTTCTGTCTGCTGCTGGCATCCTTCTTGTCTTGTTTTGAGTTGCTCGCCTCTGTCTGCTCCCTAGGGCGTAGATTTGAGGAATATTCCTGGTTCTTCCCAGGCAGCAGGGGCTCAGGCTGTGCTGGAGTCAGCTAGGCTAAGGGGCTGGTCTGGCATCCGCGTTGTCCTGTCACCTCCTTGGTGTTTTCTCCAGGCCTGGATCTGTGCTGTGTGGGCACCTGTATTCCTCCCTCCTGCCCTCACTGATTCTCCATACCTTTCTTCTCGAGAGTGCCAAGCCCCTCCCATGTGTTCTTGTTCATACCTAGGATCCCGGGAAGGGGCTGGGGAAGACGGTGCCCAGGTGCCCTGGGTAAACAAAGCCACCTGACTCCACGGGAATGGAATGGGTGGAGGGGATCTGAGGTCTGCATTTTGAGTATCTCTGGTCTCAGAGGATGAAGCATTTGGTGGGGGTTGGGGGTGGGGGGTAGGGTGGAAGAATCTAAAGTCTTAAAAGAAAATGGCAGTTATTTGTGGGACAGGGCTGTGTTGAGACTTGGCATGCTTCTTTTTAAGAGTCAGTGTTGTAATTTAGGTATAAGTGAAGCAGTACTTTGTATTAGTTTCCTGTAGGCGCTGTAACAAAGCACCACAAACTGGTTGACTTAAAACAACAGACATGGCCGGGCACGGTGGCTCACGACTGTAATCCCAGCACTTTGGGAGGCCGAGGCGGGCAGATCACAAGGTCAAGAGATTGAGACCATCCTGGCTAACACGGTGAAACCCTGTCTCTACTAAAAATACAAAAAAAAAAAAATTAGCTGGGCGTGGTGGCACACGCCTGTAGTCCCAGCTACTCGGGAGGCTGAGGCAGGAGAATGGCGTGAACCCGGGAGGCGGAGCTTGCAGTGAGCTGAGATCGCGCCACTGCACTCCAGCCTGGATGACAGCGAGACTCCGCCTCAAAACAAAAACAAAAACAGAAACAACAATAACAGAAAAACACAGACATTTACTCTCTGGCAGTTCTGGAGGCCAGAAGTTGAAATCCAGATGTCAGCAGGATTGGCTCCTTCTGAAGGCCCGAGGGGAGGGTCCTTCCTGGCCTCCTCCCTGGTGTTCCTGGGCTTGTGGCCGCATCACTCCGCTCTGCCCGTCTTCACACTCCCTCTTGTCTGTGTGTCTGTCTCTCTGTTCTCATGAGGACACTTGGCATCCAGGGCCCAACCACACCCAGAGTCCCTGGTCTCCTGTGGCTGACTCACTTTTTACTGTCACCGTGAAGTCCAGGGGGTCCTTGTACTTGATGTTCTCTCCTGGCAAGGCCAGGGCCCTGTGATTGGCCTCTCATGGAGTGCTGGGCAGGGCCTCCATGGCCTCTGTCGGGCGGGGGGGCTACTTCATCTCTGAGTCTGTACCCCTCGTGTCCCAGGCAGTGGAGTGGGAGTGAAGAAGCTGTGTGAACTGCAGCCTGAGGAGAAGTGCTGTGTGGTGGGCACTCTGTTCAAGGCCATGCCGCTGCAGCCCTCCATCCTGCGGGAGGTCAGCGAGGAGGTGAGGCAGGGTGCTACACAGTGGGGCCGCCAGGCAGACCTGGCCTCCCACTAGAACACCTCCCTGGAGGTGGGGTTGTGGGGAAGCAGGTTCAGAGACAATGGACTCCAGAGGGGTGGGGGCTGCGGTGCCAGCTCACTAACACCAGAGCTTTGGTGGGCTCTGGCCCCAAGATTATACCTCCTGTCTCTGCATTCCAGCACAACCTGCTCCCCCAGCCTCCTCGGAGTAAATACATACACCCAGATGACGAGCTGGTCTTGGAAGATGAACTGCAGCGTATCAAACTAAAAGGCACCATTGACGTGTCAAAGCTGGTTACGGGTAGGGAGCCCAATGAGAGGATGTGGGTGATGCAGGTGAAGAGCCCAGCGGTGGTGTGTTAGGGATGGTGTGAGTGGGGAGCCTGGGGGGAGTGGGGGGGTGTGGCCTGGGCACACGTGTGTTCTTGAGGAGGTAGGTGAGGCTCCAGGCGGTCGGAGGCCATCAGATTGGGTGAGACCTGGCTGGGAGATGGGTCTCCCCACCTCCATCCAAGGGCAGTGACTCCAGGAAGCAGGCATGCATCCTGGAGTCCTAGGTGAGAATTCACCAATGTGGTTGTGGAGAACTGGCTTGTTTTGCCCGTTGGGGTGACTGGAAGGAGTGGTAGCACCTGGGGCTCCCTGCTCAGGCCTGATGCCACTGCTCCCCAGGGACTGTCCTGGCTGTGTTTGGCTCCGTGAGAGACGACGGGAAGTTTCTGGTGGAGGACTATTGCTTTGCTGACCTTGCTCCCCAGAAGCCCGCACCCCCACTTGACACAGATAGGTGAGCAGCAGTTCTCGGGAGCTGGAACCAGCTCATGGTCAGTGGAATCTTTGAGTTGCACCTAGGAGGGGCTGCCTCCCTTCTCGGCACCCTGGAGGACCCCACCTTCTCCCGCAGGTTTGTGCTACTGGTGTCCGGCCTGGGCCTGGGTGGCGGTGGAGGCGAGAGCCTGCTGGGCACCCAGCTGCTGGTGGATGTGGTGACGGGGCAGCTTGGGGACGAAGGGGAGCAGTGCAGCGCCGCCCACGTCTCCCGGGTTATCCTCGCTGGCAACCTCCTCAGCCACAGCACCCAGAGCAGGGATTCTATCAATAAGGTATGGAGCCCACCTGGCTGCATTCAGCCCCAGCCCAGGAGCCTGCAAGCCTGTAAGACCCTCCTTCCCCAGGGCGAGTAGGGTACCCTGTGAGGTCTCGCAGGTCGGTGGGAAGCGCCCTGCAGTGACTCTGGGGCCTCCTGCAATGGGGCTCCTCATGCCCAGGCCCTCGCTGAGGATGGTGGGAGGCTTGAAGGGAGTGAGGGTCTATGGGACAACAACTGCATCTTCCAGCTGGTGGGGCTCTACTCTCCTCTGAGCCTGGGACTCGCCTGGGCCTGATGGCCTTCTGGGCTTCTATTCCAGGCCAAATACCTCACCAAGAAAACCCAGGCAGCCAGCGTGGAGGCTGTTAAGATGCTGGATGAGATCCTCCTGCAGCTGAGCGTGAGCGAGCTGGGGGCTGGAGGGGTGATGGGGATTGCAGTCTTCAAAGCTGCCACTGGGCAACAGAAGGCAGGCAGGAGGGCAGGGGGAGTGGCCGGAGTTGGTGTAGGGGGCTCCTTCGGGGCCCTGTGAGCTCTCCCTGCCCTGTGCCTTCCAGGCCTCAGTGCCCGTGGACGTGATGCCAGGCGAGTTTGATCCCACCAATTACACGCTCCCCCAGCAGCCCCTCCACCCCTGCATGTTCCCGCTGGCCACTGCCTACTCCACGCTCCAGCTGGTCACCAACCCCTACCAGGCCACCATTGATGGAGTCAGGTAGCTGGCACAGCCACACTTCAGTCTGACCCAGCCTTTTGCCTCAGGAGGCACAAAGAAGGGAGGGGAGGGAGGGCCCAGGAAGGTGGCAGGGCTGCAGAGGCCCACCTAGCATCTGTTCCTTCTCTCTGGGGCATCCCCACAAGAGCGCCAGATGAGCTCTGGGCTGACCACTATGGGTGGCACCCAAAGCCAAGAGTCAGCTGAGCTTTGCCTTGCAGATTTTTGGGGACATCAGGACAGAACGTGAGTGACATTTTCCGATACAGCAGCATGGAGGATCACTTGGAGATCCTGGAGTGGACCCTGCGGGTCCGTCACATCAGCCCCACAGCCCCTGACACTCTAGGTAACAGGCTCAGCCATACAGGGTGGGAGCAGAGGGCCAGGAGGCCTGGCAGGACCCTGAAGTGCACAGGGTCCCCCTGTGGGTTTGCACTTGCCAGCATTGCTGAGAACTGTCTGAGGAGAAGTTCAGAGGCTTGGCACCTGCTCTGGAAGCTACTCTGGAATCTTAATTCTAAGGCCAATGGCTGCCCACCCCAACGGGCAGCAACAGCAGGGCCAAGGTCTTGTGACAATGTCTGGAGGTGCCCCTATTGTCACACTGGGGGTCTCCTACTGGCCTGCAATGGGAGGAGGGGCTGCAGCCCCACATCCTGTGCAGAGTGCTAGTGCTGAGGCGGAACCCTCCTCAGAGCTGCCCCTTCTCCTCCAGGTTGTTACCCCTTCTACAAAACTGACCCGTTCATCTTCCCAGAGTGCCCGCATGTCTACTTTTGTGGCAACACCCCCAGCTTTGGCTCCAAAATCATCCGAGGTAATTTTTGTCTTCTGGGGGCCCAGGCTGATTTGCTGATTTGCTCTCACCTGGGGACAAGGTTCACAGAGAAGAAAACCTGCATTGTGGAGTCCCCCTGGCCCTTGTGGGATGGACAGCTGAGGTCTTCTGCACAGCTGCCATTTCACTGTGGGAGCCAAGCTGCCTCGCCAGCTGGGCAGGGACTGGAACGGCTCCCAGCCTGTGTGCCTCTCAAGGCTAATCTCTGGTCTCCTATTGTCACTGCCCCACTGTGTGCCAATGGGGACTCCTGTTTATTTCTGGCAGCTTCTCTTTGAGGCAGGACTTACTTGGAACCTACAGTGGGTCCTATGTGACTTCTTTGCAGGTCCTGAGGACCAGACAGTGCTGTTGGTGACTGTCCCTGACTTCAGTGCCACGCAGACCGCCTGCCTTGTGAACCTGCGCAGCCTGGCCTGCCAGCCCATCAGCTTCTCGGGCTTCGGGGCAGAGGACGATGACCTGGGAGGCCTGGGGCTGGGCCCCTGACTCAAAAAAGTGGTTTTGACCAGAGAGGCCCAGATGGAGGCTGTTCATTCCCTGCAGTGTCGGCATTGTAAATAAAGCCTGAGCACTTGCTGATGCGAGCCTTGAGCCCTGGGCACTCTGGCTATGGGACTCCTGCAGGGGTGCCCACAGTGACCATAGCCCATGCACCCACCAGCCGGTCTCCCTCCTCCCCATCCCTGACACCTCAGAATGTGAGCAGTCCGTGCCATGAGCTTGTTTTATTGGAGTGACCTTGGCTCCCTCCCTCTGCCCCTACTCCAACACTGCAGCAACCCCATCTCTTACGAGACTGGCAGGTGGAGCAGGAGCCTCTACACAGCCTCTGGCTCTTAGGTCCCAGTCATGTTTGCACCCCCTCAAAGGGGCAGGACCAGCCCTTCCTTTCAGTGTCCATACCAGGGGCCTTCCATGTGCTGATGGGTGATGTGACTGTGGTCAGCAGGCTTGGGAAGTGCTGCTGCTGTAGCTTGAGTTGGGCTGGGGTCTTGGTAGGACGCTGATCTCAGAAGTCCCCAAAGTTCACTGTGTAGGTCTCTACTGTTGTGAAGGGGAATGCCTGGCCAGTGGCTATCTCCTCCTCTTTCTCCTCCTCCTCCTCTTCCTCAAACTCGGGTTCCAGCTGGGTCTCAAACTCAGGCTCCAACTGGGTCTCAAACTCGGGCTCCACCTTGGTCCCAAACTCGGGCTCCACCTCGGTCCCAAACTCTGTCACCACCTCTGTGTAGGTCTCAGTCTCCGACTCCTCCCAGCCAGCGGTGGTTGGCGGTATGAGGCCCCAGGGCTCTATGGTAGTGCTCAGGGTGGTGGCAGGGGCAGGGGGCAGCGTGGGAGGCACAGTGTGGGGGCCTAGGGTGGTGGTGGCGTTGAGGCGCCGCAGCCGCATCTGTGCCCGAAGCCGCAGGCGGTGTTGTAGGCGTCGCTGCTGCAGGCGTCGCTGTTGGGGGGTCATAGGGCGCGATGGGTCTATGTGTGGGATAGGCCGGTTCCCGTTCATGGCCATGATCTCCCGGATGCGCTTCCAGTTGGAGCGAGCCAGGATGAAGTTGCACTGAGTGGCCCCGATGTCATAGTCAACATTGCAGGTCTTGGCGCTCGGGGTGTAGCCCTCCGCGTGGGCTGTCACGCGGTACTCACCCGGGTTCAAGATTCGCCAGTAATCACCACCACTGGCTGCGGAGGGAGAACGATCCGGCTGCCCCAGAGCGCCCCTCCCAGGCCCCCACCCTCCCACTCAGTCCTGCCCCCAGCCCCGCCCTCCCCCTCTGAGTTCCCGCCCCCAGCACCGCCCTCCCTCTCTGAATTTCGCCCCCAGGCTCCCCAGACTCTACCTGCTCGCTGAGTTCCTCAAGCCCCCACCCTCTCTGGCGGGTCCTCCCTCAGAAAGATGGGGTAAAGGTGTGCACACTAGGTACCTGTCTTCACGCCGTGATTAATGCCACTCACAGAGATGGTGGCGTTGGCAATGGGGATGCCTTGCTCGTCCGTCACCACCCCCTTAATGCCGCGGTGCACCTAGGGAAGCAGGTGAGGGCTGCTGGTCCTCAGGAAGGTCCAATGTGGTCCGCTGCTCCCTCCCGCCCATCCAGGAGCCTGTGCAGCCTCCTCTCCCCAGGCATTGCCCTAGCCACCCCACCTGCTCCATGAAGGTGAGCAGCGCCTCCTTGTTGTTCTCCCACTCGCGGGGCAGCTCACTCTCATGAGGGAACTTGTCACAGCCCAGGTAGAAGGAGAGCTCCAGGCAGTTGGTATGCAGGTAACTGAAGTCATTGATAGCTGGCCGGGGACAGATACAGACCCAAAGTCAGCCCCTCTCCGGACCAGGCCCCGCCCACAGCCCCTCCCAGGCTGACTCACTCCCGGTCCGGGGGTTCCACTTGGCCCCGTTGACGATGCCCATGCCGCCGGTGTAGTCCTGGGCTTGGCAGCCTCCGCGGTAGGGCTCGGTCAAGGTGAGGTGTGCGGAGGCGAAGGAGATGGCAAGCCACCGGAAGATGGCGTGGTCTGGAGTCTCCTGGGCCTCGGAGACCTCGTCCTCATCCTCCCCCCGGGCTGCTGCCATGGCTGCGGCCAGCAGCTGCTCCTGGGTAGGCGTGCGGGCCATATCGTAGGGGTAGGATACTAGCCGCTCGCCGCCGTTCAGATTTGCTCCCAGCACGAAGGGGTTCTTCTCCATCCAGGCAATGATGGCCCGGACCTCCGTGGATACCTGGAGTGGCCAGCACGTGTGAGGCCAGGGCTGCAGCTCCGGCCACTATCCCCAACCTAGCCCGATCACCCTCCATGAAGCTTCACACCAGTACTCGCACGATCCCCTGTCCCCCAACCCCCAGAGCCTCAGCGTCTGGAGTTCAGGCACCGTCAGCCCCACCCCCAAGCCCAGAACACCAGGACCCCAGGGTCCAGCTGCTCCCTCCTGCCCTTTCAGCCAGGCTGTAGCCTCACCGTGGCATCTGGCGAAAGGTAGCGTTCAGGGATGGGCAAGTTATTGTTGGGGACCCGGTAGGGGACCCATTTCCTCTCCTCAGCTCCCCAGAGCACAGAGTTGAGATCCGGGAAATCTTCAAAGATGTCAAAGCCCTCCTCAGTCCACAGTCCCAGCGCCCAGTTCCCAAACTCTGAGCCCTGTGGGGAGCCAGCAGGGTAGGCATCGGCTACCCACACCCCCACAACCCCCAGCTGCCTGGACCCTGGCCAGCCTCACCCTTCAACCCACCATCTGCGCTGCCACCTCGTAGCCATCAGGGTTCAGTGAGGGCACCAGGTGGATGCGTGTGTCCTGCACCAGGCTGCGCACACGTGGGTTCCCATCGCGGTACTCTCGGCACAGGTACTGCATGAGCAGCAGCAACAGCTCTCGGCCCAGCACCTCGTTGCCATGGATCCCAGCAGTGTAGCGGAACTCGGGCTCCCCTGCAAGGGCGGGAGCCTCAGTGAGCACTCAGTCTCCCGAGGCCCAGGGCAGCTGAGGAAGGACCCAGACCCACCTCATACCCGAGGGTCTGGGGGACAGCTGGGGCTCCTAGGGCCCTGTAAGACAAGCCAGAATCCCCAGAGAGGCTCCGGAACAGGCGGGAGGCAGTGAGCTCTGCACATCAGCAGCAGAGGCCAGCTGCTGGCCCCCACAGACCCTCACCCAGTTCATGCTCCCCAGGGTTGTCTGAGATCTCCATGGCATAGATCTTGAGGCCTCGTGAGCTCTTGCCCAGGCTGTAAGTGCGGGTGATGGTGGGGCACTCCTCGTTCACCACCTTCATGAGCTGGGGCAGAGGGGGAGGACGTGGAATCAATCATGCAATCCGTCCCCCGCTGACCATGCCCCTTCCACTTCCAGGGCCTGCTCTATGGCGAGGGACGGGCATGACCCCTTCACGCAGCCCCCAGGTACTGGCCTCCTTCCTAAGGTGAGGGACAGCCAGCATCCCTGGAACCAGTAGGGACTGGGCCCAGTGACAGAAGCACCAGGCACACACTCCCGTCAGCCACAGACAGGTCCCACCCCCAGCCCCAGGATATATGCTCCCAACCTGGCGCATGTCCTTGTAGCTGTGGTGCCGGAAATCCAGGTCATCGGTGGCCACCACCTCATTCTGTGCGTAGTAGCTGTAGACAGCTGCAAGGGAGGCGGGGTTGTCTTTAGCTGGGTGCCGGCTGGCCCACCCTAGCACCCCACCTCCACTCAGAGCCCCTGCCAGCCCTCCACACTCACGGGCCACAGAGCACCCCAGCACCTCCAGGCGCATGCACAGGCTGCCATTCCAGGTGAGTGGGTAGATGCGGATGAAACGAGCCACCACCGGCTCTGGGAGCTCACTCAGCACGGGTGTGTCCTTGTCCACGTTCCCATGAAAGGTCTGGGGAGAGGCAGGCCTCAGAGCAGTACTGCCAGCCCCTCTGAGAGCCCACCCCTCGCCCAGACAATGGGAGCAGAGCCAAGAGCCTGGGCATGGTGCCCACCATTTCCTCATAGCCGTTGGTGTACATCACCCATGTCTGGCTGTCATTGCTGAAGCCCACGAAGAAGGTGGTCACAAAATCGTCACTGTGGAGTGGACAGTGGTCAGAGCAAGGGTCTTCCCCCTCCCAGGCCCTCAGGTGGCCTGAGCCTCCCTCTTCCGAGCCCCAAGAATTTAAGAGCTAGCAGGGTGGTGCTGCACGGCCCAGGTGTTGAGCCTGGGTCCTATGCCCGTCACATAGCCATGGGCAGGTGATCTGTCCCTAAACTCATGTGCTATCAGGACACAGGGGCTGACTGACCAGGCTGAGGAGTGGGGATGGGCAGGGTGAGTCCCTCACTGATCTTTTTGGCCTTCTTTGGCTGGGCCAAAGAAGGGCCCACTGGAATCTCCTTAATGGGACACAGAGCCATGCCTATGTAGCCACTCCCCTCTGCCAACTATCCATGAGCCTGGCCACGCACTGGATGCTGGAGTCTCTGCCCTGGGTGATGACGCCTGTGAACCGGGTAGTCCTCCTGGTGTCCACCTCTATCCACTGGGTCCTGGCATCGTCCTCGGCACACCACGCACCATCATAGTAGTCGTCCTCAGTGGCACCGGTCTGTCCAGGGGGCAGGGGAGGCTGAGCATGGGCGGAGGAGTCCCTTATCCCAGTTGGGAGATGGGCCCATCCCAATGCCCACCTGCATGTTGAGCCGGCCGCGCTGTGCCCCCAGGCCGTGGCGCAGCATGGAGGAGGCTCGGATCTGGTTGTCCTCAATACGGTGTGACTCCATCCCAATGGGGGGACACTCTGAGGACGCGTACCCCAGAATGGTGGCTCACTAGCTCCATCCTTCCCTCCACCAAACCCAGAACCAAGGAGCCCAGAGCCCACTCCCGGCACATCGGGGGCACAGTCAGAGGGCAGCTCTGGTCAGCTGGTGGCTCCCTGGTGCCCTGCACCAGCCCACCTGGAATCGACTCAAAGCCAGGCCAGGAGCTGTTTCCAATCCCAGCCTGTGCTTCCCCTCCCTGGGCCTCAGCTGCCCCATCTGGAGAACGGGCTGACCATGCCCAGCTCTCAGGGGACACACGTGAAATCACAGGTAGAGCTCCCCCAGGGCGCAGCCACAGATGTCATCCAGATGGGGACCGTCTGCACAATGGCCCTGCAGGGATACCTGTGAAGGTACCTGAGGTCCTCACTCCCCACCAAGGCCCCAGGTCCTCCCCCTACCACGCCCAGCCACTAGGGGCCCTGGGGAGCTGCCACCCTCCTGAAGCAGGCCAGCCTGGGGTCCAGGGCTGGGGCAGCCAAGCGAGGCTATCCTGGGCTCCCGGGGCCCCTCCCTTCTGGGTCCCAAGAATCTGAGTAGGAAAGGGTTCCGGGGACCTGGGTCCTGTTTGTGACATTGGGCCAGTCACTTGTCCCAGCACCCCCATCCTGTGGCCCCCACCCTCACCCCCTTGTGCCCCCCACTTACTGACTTTCTCCGTAGGCGTCCACTCCTCCTCCAACTCCTCGCCCTTTCGGGGCTCTAGGGACAATGAAGGGAGGACATGGCACCAAGGGCCCGGGAGGCAATCAGGAGTCCAGATGCTGCCCCACAGGGACCCAGGCCCCAAGCCCCAGCCACACACCTTTGTGGTCCTTGCCCTTCTCCACTGCCCACTTGTCGGTCTCCTCCTTGGGGCTGCTGTCCTCCTTTTTGGGTTTCTCTGGAAGGTGCAAGGTAGGAGGGGCCAGTCAGCCTGGCTCTGGGCTTTGAGGACCATGTGGGGTGGATCAGGCAGGCCCCAGGTGGCCTTCAGGGCAGGCCTGGTGTGGGAAGTCCTTGGTCCCACTCACTCAGCTCCTCCTTCTCTTCGTCTGTCTGGCGCTCAGCATCGGGCTTCTGGGGCGGAGGAGGCCCAAAGTAATAGTCCACTATGGGGAGGGAGAGCCAGCTGAGGCTGCCCTGACCCTGCTGCGGGGCCTCAGCTCCTGGGTCCACAGGAGCTCAGCAGGACAGGACCGCGCCAGAGGGGAGGAGGACGGGAGATGGGGGACAGCTGAGTTGGGAGAGGGTCTTGCAGGAGTCAGGAGCAGCCCGAGCTCAGGGGCAGCTGAGCAAGACCCTGCTGAAGTCACCAGCCCGGCCTTCCAGGAGCATCTGGCCTGGGGAAAGGACTCGAGGCCCAGGGCATGGGAAAGGCCTGGAGGGACAACTGGCACCTGTGCCTGGGGTTGCGGGCTGGGGGGTGAGATGGGGAGACATTGGAGGCACTGATGGGGACCTGGGGGCAGGGAAATGGCGATGCACGGGCTGCCACCCAGGAGGAAAGGGAACCTGAGGGCTCCAGGGACGCAGGGGCATGAGCAACAGGGAGGCAAAAGCCCTCGGGCTCCCTGAAGAGAGTGGGGCAGTGGCCACGAGCCAGCGGGAAGCCAGTTAGAGCACAGGACTGGGAGGGCTGGAACCCACATGGGTGACAGGGCAGAGTGTGTGCCTAGGGACACCCCTGTGGGGGTCACAGCCAAGCAGGAACCAGGGAAGCGGCCAAGGAAAGACCAGCCTGAGGGCAGAGGAGACAGGGCAGTGGCTGGGGTGGGCACGCAGGGACAGCAGGGACAGCGAGGTAACCACGGGCACAGGTGGGGTTGCAAGGTGGGTGAGTTGCCCCAGCTGGCTCCTGACCACACCCCAGCCCCGACCCCCACCTGCCTATGTCCCTCAGACTCTGGGGTGCTGGGTACTCACTGTCATCGTAGTTGGGGATCACGTAACCATCACCATAGTCAGGGGGCAGCGGGGGCAGCAGAGGCTTCACAGGAGGCTCTGGGGAGGCGGGGAGGTTAGGAGGGGGCCAGAGCGCCGTGGCCATGGCACCTCCTCTCCTGCCCCCCATCCTACCAATCCTCTCCTCCGGGGCTGGGGCCGGGGCCTTCTCCTCAGGGGGCTCTGGCCAGACCCGCTCGGGCCTCCTCCTTCTGCTTGGGGGTGGCCTGGGTTGCTTCTGGCGCCGAATGTACTCAACTGAGGGGGAGGCTGGCTCAGAGTGGGGCCCAAGGCTGGGATGGGCCCATTGGCACATCCCCCAGGCCAGGGGTCCGACCCAGGTGGGGCTGGCAGGACCCTACTCACAGTCCTCATAGTCCTCCCTCTCGATCTGGTCATTGTAGTCCAGTGTGGGTTGCTCGGTCTCCTCCTCCGGCTCTGAGGGGAAAGCGCTGGTAGCTGCCTGACAACCCCACCCAGGCCTACTCTGGGGAAGCCCTCAGTCCAACCAGCCAGGGCAGCTGGCCCCAAGGCCAGGCGGATGACGGCCACTCACCAGGCTGGTGCTCCCGTGCCTCCACATGGGTCTCCTCTCCTGGATTCTGCCAGTTATTTGAGAGGGGCGCCCCTGCAACACAGGAGTTCCAGAAGCAGGTGGGCGGGAGGCCTGCTCTGACCACCTTGGGAGCCTCAGGCCACCAGCCACCCATAGAGCCCACACAGAGCCTGTGGACACCCTCCTGAGGCCGAGCTCACTCCAAGGAGGCCTGAGCTCCTCTGGCCTTCAGCATCCTGCTGGCATCTCATGGGGCCAGAGAGCTGGGCCCACCTTCTGGGGAACCTACTGTGCTGCTGGAGGCCCTACCACAAAGCTGTCCCCAGCGGGAGAAGGCAGGAGGGAACTCCATGGGCTCAGAGCCCAGGGACATCTGGGCAGGGGCCTGAGGGACAGAGGTCCCACCCAAAAGGCTGCCAAGCCCTCTCCCTACCCAAAAGAGGCTACAGCACTGAGGGAGCCCACCAATCAAATTGTGAAATTTATAGCAAAAGTGAGGTTCCCATCCAGTGGGGAGCTGAAGGTCTATAGGAAGCAGGGCCCCAGAAACCTGCCTCCCACTCCCTGCCTCCACCCGAGCAGGCAGTCAGAGCCCCATCACCCCAGAGGAGCCCGGCACAAACCTCCCTCCTGGGGTAGCTCCTCGGGGCCAGGGCTGGGGGGTGGGGGCAGTGGCCACTCCAGGGTTTCTGAGGGAGCCAGAATGGGGGGCCTCTTCCCTGACGGGGGCTTCTTGGTGGCCTTGGGTGGCTTCTCTTTGGGCTTCTTGGTGGCCTTGGGTGGCTTCTCCTTGGGCTTCTTGGTGGCCTTAGGTGGCTTCTCCTTGGGCTTCTTGGTGGCCTTGGGTGGCTTCTCCTTCCCCTTCTTGGGCGGCCTGGGGGACCCCTCCAAGGACTCCTTGGGCACCTTGGGGCCTTTGTCTTTCTTGCCTTTCTTCCCTTTGTCTTTGGTCTTTTCCGGAGGCACTGTCCAAGATGCAGACTCGTGTCAAATGAACAGAGCCAGCTCTGTGCCCCCATGAGGCCCCTCTCTAGATGCCCAGAACCTGGGCACAGGGACTCTTGTCAGTTCCCAGTGCGGATCAGCAAACTGAGAGGTTAAGTCATTTGCCCAAGTGGCAAACTGGGATCCGGACCCAGATTTTCTGTCTGCAAGTCTGGGGCTGTGACCACCAATCTCAACCTCTCTAAAGACTGAGCGTAGGGTTCCCAGTTCCCAGGGGGAGGCCCTCATCCCCCCACCTGCCAAAACCTCAATAGGGGTTCCTTACTATCCACTCCTCCACTATTCTGTTCTGGGCACAGAAGGGGCAGAGAGGTGACTGAGCCATCCAGGCCTGGAGGAGCATCTGGTCATCCCTGCCAACTGCCATACAAAGGAAGGGACATGGGCCCAAGACCTTCCCCTGGTCTCCTACGGGGCAAGAAAAGCTTCAAAGAAAAGGGACACTTGGTTGAGTATTGAAGCCCAAAGAAGAGGAAGTGGTCTCCTTTCGAGAAGTAAGGGGTTTGGAATTGATTGGAAGGATAGGGAGTCCTGGGGGGTTCAGGGATCACACAGAGGACAGAAAAGACAGGTAGGGAGCTTGTGGCTGCACACTCATTTCAGAGTCTGGGAGAGGGAGCAGGGACTGGTTGTGAGGATTCCCCATGGGAATCCTCCCAGGACCCTAAGCAGGAGCTGCAAGTGCTGTTGAGAACCTGATGAGAGGTGGGGAGCATGAGGGAAGTTTGGCAGAAACACAGGAAAGCTACCAAATGCAGACAGCCAGGGGACGCAGGGCTGCTAGAGCGGTGCCCCAGAGCCAGGAGAGCAAGCCTGGAAGGAGAGCCAGAGGCAGGAGGGGCACAGGCAGCCCAGGGTGTGGGAAGCAGCCAGGAAAGATCTAGAGCTGGGGTGGCAGGGGAGGGGCTGCTGACATCAGGAATGTTGGATGGTGCCTTGGAATCTCCTGGGAGACAGGGATCACAAGACCCTCTGCCACCTTCCAGAGGGCCACGATGAAAACAGCTAAGATTTACTGACAACTGATTATGCAAGAGGCCGTGGGTTAAATGCTTCAGTGATGCATCACCTCATCTAATTTCCTGTACTAATGTAGGACCACCCATTGCTCACCACCACCTGAAGCCCTGTGCTCACCACCACCTGAAACTCTCTCACCTACGTGAGACCTCCTGGAGTAGGAGGGCAAAGGCAGGAGGGAGGGACGACGTGAAGCTGTGCCACCAACAGGGAGAGTGGTCCCATTAGTATGGCAGGGGGTGACACAGCACAGTCCCCTGTGGCTCAAGCCTAGTACCTGTCGCGTACTGGAGGAATGGGGATAAGCGACCCGTACAACCACAGCACCAACCCTAGAGCCACCGGCCCCCAAAAGCGGCCCTGCCGCCCGGGTGCTGGATGTGCCTCCACGCCAGCGCTGACCTCGGCCTAGCACAGGGTCCCTCCAGGCATCTGGGCTCGCGTGCGCATTAGTAAGCCAGCCATTCCTCCCCTAGCAGACTGGGGAGTGGCCAGACCCTACCGAATCCCCCTGTTCCCACCTGAGATGCCAGCCCCCCACACCCCCGCCCTGCCCTGGGCTCTTACCTTCTGCGGCCGTCCCTGGCCGCTTCCCTGGCTTGCCCCCCGCCTGGGCTTTTCGGACCCGCGGGGTGGGCTCGGGAGGCGGCGGGGCCTCCACGTCGTCCTCCCGGGGCTCAGGTTCTAGCTCTGACAGGAAGCCCTCGAGGAACTCCTCGATCTCGTCGTCGGTCAGCACCGTCTGCGGGCGCCCTCCAGGGCACAGGGCCAGCAACGCCAGGAGGCAGCTGAGCAGGGGCGCCCCGCGCACGGCCGCCATGGCCGCGGCACGCGCGGGGGGCTCCGGGGAGGGCGCGGGGGGTCAGGGGCTCTGGGTCTCTGGGAAAGGGCGGAGAGGGGATCGAGACGGGTGAGGGAATCCAGGAAGGGGCGGGAGAGAGGATGGGGTGAGCGAGGGAATCCGGGAAAGGGAGGGAGAGTGGATTAGGGTGGGCGAGGGGACCCGGGAAGGGGTGCTGGGGGGCTCCGAAGCCAGAGGGGCTCAGGGGTGGTCGGGGCGCTCCGAGGTCCTGGCGGCTAATAGGCGCTCCGGCCCCGCGTGGCGCACTCCCGCGCGGATAGCCGTCTCCAAAGCGCTGGCGGGGCCCGGGGCGGGGGCGCCGGGGCTTCCGGAGCCGGCTCCCCACCCCCGGGGAGGAGGAGGAGGAAGAGAAGGAGGAGCCGAGAGTGGACGGAGGGGCTGCGGGGGGGCGGGGGGCGGGGGGCGGGGGGCTAGGGGCGGGGCAGGCGGGCGGGCGCTGGCGGCGAGCGTCCCAAGCCCGGAGACTTGCGCCTAGGACAGAGGGGCAGGGGGCGGGGCGACTGGGAAGACAGAGGGCCTGAGGGAAGGAAAGGTGGTGGGGAGGGCCTGGGGTGCGGGTCTGAGGGGGCCGACATCCCTCCTCCTTCTGCCCTAGGCACCCCCCTTAAGGCGGGACCCCGAGTCCACCGGGGCTCTGAGCCCTCCGCGGGTGACCAGGAACCCTGGACGGAAAGCCGTGGTGTCAGGCCTCTGAGACCTCTCTCAATTCGGAGGGCCACAGAAAGGCCACCCCATCCTTCCCAGGCTCTGGAGCCTCTGCCCATGGGCCCTGCTGCATCCCAGCGTCAATTCATTCAGTCATCCTACCAACCTCTTCAGGTCGGTGTGGGGCCGGGCCCCGTGCTGGGCCCCAGGGAGGGACAGCACAGTGGGAACTCACTTTCCAGCCAGGAGGCAGGTGCAAAACTGCCCTCAGAGTGGCCAGCTGCCCCGCTGGGGGTAGGAGTCCCATGTAAGGGCATGCCATCCCTCCCCTCCGGGTCCCAACGTGGACAAATAGCCATTTATCACCTTCTTCTTACCAGAACTCATTTTTTAAAAAGTGTCTACCATACCTCCAGCTGCCACATGGACCCAGAGGGCCCAGAGGACCCAGAAGGCAGGTGGATTGAGTGTCAACTGATCCCAGGATCCATCAGGGATGTGCACCTTGGTGCCTGGTGTTTGCCATAAGGCTTCTCCAGGGCAAATGTTGGCTGCCCTACAACGGCCATCAACAGGCAGAGTGGTCCCATTAGTATGGCAGGGCGTGACACAGCACAGTCCCCCGTGACTCAAGCCTAGTCCCTGTCTCATACTGGAGGAATGGGGAGCTAAGGACAGAGCTCCGAGGACATTCCCCCTTAAAGGAATGAGGACACAAGAGAAAGCTCACAGGTAGTCCATGGGCCAAGTGCAGAGGCAGACAGCCCTAAGCCACGATTGTCTGCGGGGTTTGGCCCCAGTGAAGTAGTCAGGTAGGGAAGCCTAGGAGCCCCTGGGATGATTGACAGGGCAGAGTTTGGACCTGGGGTCAAAAGGAAAGAGGAAAAGTGGGTCAGGAAGCACCTGGGTCCCCAGAGCAGCCCCGAGTGAGTTGGAGCAGGCAGCAGCCGGGGAGGCCACAGTGGAGGCTGCTGGGCCTGGGATACATGCCACCCCCTGGGAGCAGGACCACAAGGAGGCCTTGCCTCCTCTCACACCTGGTCCTGCCAAGACCCTGCCTTTGCTTTCTCACTGCATCTCCTTGAAAAAGCAGTGGGACTGTGTCAGGTTCTGGCTCTACCTCCCAGGCACCACATCTCGGCAGGTAGCCTCAGTGCCGTCCACCTGTGTCCCTGTTCTCCTTGTCGTTCATACAGGATCATGCATGTGCTGTGCCTAGCACACATTCTTGGCACTCACACTGCTGCCTTTTAGCTCTCATCATTTGCCCTCAGAGATCAACCTGAGCTGTGCCCACTGGGGCGCTCAGAGCAGACCCTGAGCCCCAACACCCAGGCTCCCTGTGCACCTGAGCCTGCCTCTGCCTGCCACGTGCCCCCAGGCCAGTCCTGGTGGCAGCAAGGATCCGCAAGCTCTCCCCTTTCCTCATCCTCTGCAAAGCTCTGAATCATCTTTCTCAAAACTTGTTCTGGGAATTTGCTCCGTTGCCCCAGTTGAGCATGTCAAGCCCGGCGGCCCAAGGCTGGGGTGAAGCAGCGTGGCACGTCACTTCCCTGGGAACAACTCACACATGGATTGGATTTGGGTCCAACATCCTCTGCCAGGGAAAATAGAAGCCATAAGAAAACAAAAAAGGAACAGAAGGAGGCTTTTCTTCAGTCACAGCGAGTCACCAACAAAAACATGTGCAAAAGCTCTCATGGAGAGCTGGGCCACAAGGAGGGCCATGATGTTGGGGGCCCTCTGACACCAAGGGTGTGGGCAGGTGGATGGGAGGCAGCTGCCCTCCATGCCAGGCTGATGTGCCTCCCTTTGGGTGGTGGGGCTGGGACTCCCACTCCACTTGAAGACCTGCACCAAAAAGTCCTTTAGCCCTGTGCCCAGGCTCTGCCACGGGGCCGGTGAGGGGACTTCTCCCCTCTGCTGCCAGAGTGAAGCCAGTCAGGGGGATGGGAGGCTTGTAGCCAAGAGCACCTAGTGGCTTTCAGGGTCCCTTACCCCTGCCACTTAGCAGGGTCTGCACCTGCATCCAAGTGTTCTCCTGGGCTACAGTGGGGGGCTGGTAGACACTCTGGTGATCCACTTTCAGCTTCCCACATGGATGTGGCAGGGACTGCTTTGGCATTTCCCTACCCCAAGGGACAGCCACTGCGGCAGGACTGGGCTGGGGAGGGTGGGGCCTGCGCTGGGGAGGGTGCCCCCTGTCCCTTGCTGCTGCTGGAATGGGAAGGAGAGTTGTTGAGAGAGCCAGAACTGTCCAAGGGTGGAAGCTGGCGAAACTGACCTGCAGGGAACAGGGAGACAGGGAGCATGGCCCAGTGAGTAGGTCCTATGTAGCTCTGAGGCCATCAACCCTGCCATGAGGGCTGAGACCCCAAGAGAGAAGTTGAGGTTGGGTCAGGGGCCTGTTAGTGCCAGCTGAGGAGGGGGACAGGCCAGCCTCCTCCCACTGGGACCCAAGCTATAGCTCCTGAGCCTCCAGAGCTGCCTGGTGCCTCAACCTGGTCAGAGGTGGAAACTCACCTGCCAGCAGGCCCAGTGTGCCTGAGTTCTGACTGTGGGGATCTGCAGGGCACAGAAGGATAAGAGGTCATCAGGGCCTGGGGACAGGCAGGAGTGGCAGGGTCTGGGAGGCTGGGAGCAGACCCTCCCAACCTGCCCCATGGCCTCTGTGGCCCCCAGGACCCCCATGGCAGCAGCTCAGACACGGGTTGTGCCTCAGAAGGAAGTGAAGCTGTGTGTACCGAGATGGCCCAGCAAACCCTTTGTATGTAAACTTCCGCCACAGCCCAGCTGTCCAGCACCAGCATGTGTATCTGGGGGAGGGGGATAAATAGAAGGTCTGGGAGGCCTGGGATCTGGCCAGCAGGCTACTGGGATCACAGATGCCAGCCCCTCCATATCTCCCCTTGAGTCCTGGATCTGCCTCCTGGGACCAAAGGGGAAAGGACCAGGCTAGGCTCCTTCCTTTTTGTTCTTCCCTCTTGGGGGAGGCTCCTAGAAACTCCCCCTTCTCTGCCGCCCAAGTGCCTGGATATTACCAGTGGGGTTAGCCTGTTTGGGCCCACAAGATGGGATGGCTCCCAGAGCCATGGGACCTGAGGTCTCCCAGACAGTGTCTAGCCACCCTCACAACTGGCAGAACAATTTCCTTGGTTTTCAACAACTTGAAAAACATATGTGATTTTCCACAGTCCGGTGCTTCTCAGGCCTGGCTGCTGAGTGAGCAGAGTTCATGCTGAATTCCTTCCACTCACCACAGGGCAGACAGCAAGCCCAGCTGTGGGGACTCGGTTGGGGTGGGGGTCACCACAGCAAGGCGCGGGGAGTGGGGAGGGGGGCAGGCTTCCAGCACTGATGAGTAATTCTGCTGCCCGAAGATCTGGGAAGAGGGCATGTGACAACTTAGTGCAACAATCTGCCCAGTGTTAGGTCAGAAGGAAGGAGAGGTCGTTCAAAATGGAGTCTGGTGGAAAAAATAATGTTTGGCCCCACCTCATACCTCCCTCAAAATTAACTCCAGATTAATGAGGTAGATGTTAGAAGAGGAACCAGGGAAGGACTACAAGAAAATATGGAGTCTTTATTTACATTGTGAGGTTTTCTTTAGGTTTTGTTTGTTTTTGTTTTTGATATGGAGTCTCACTCTGTCACCCAGGCTGGAGTGCAGTGGTGCGATCCCGGCTAACTGCAACCTCCGCCTCCCAGGTTCAAGAGATTCTCCTGCCTCAGCCTCCCAAGTATCTGGGGATTACAGGCACATGCCACCATGCCCGGCTTTTTTTTTTTTTTTTTTTTTTTTGTATTTTTAGTAGAGATGGGGTTTCACCATGTTGACCAGGCAGATCTCAAACTCCTGACCTCAAGTGATCCACCCGCCTCAGCCTCCCAAAGTGCTGGGCGCCCGGCATGTGTGCCCAGCCTATATTGACATTCTTGATGGAGAAGTCTCTTAAGGAAGGACAGAGAAGTTTGGTTGCATAAAAGTTTTTACCTTCTGTACATCAAAATATACTGAAAATGAAAATAAAGAGCAAACAAAATACTGAGAAAGAATGCAGTGCTTAGAGAGCGAACATTCCTGGCCTCCTGTAGTTTTAGGAAGCAGCTGTGGCCTCAGACCCATCTGCTGTGAACCTCTACTCCATATTTATTGCACTTTCTGTCTGTGAGCGTCGGTTTCTCTCCTCTATAACAATAGGATAATAATGACACTACCATGCCTTGCAAAAATGCTACAAGGGTTCACTGAGATAAATCTGGAGAGTCATGCCTGAAAAATAGTAAGTCGTTGATAAAGGGAAGCTGCTATTAATAAATAAAGCTTTTTCTTTTTTTTTTTTTTGAGATGGAATCTCACTCTGGCGCCTAGGCTGGAGTGCAGTGATGCAATCTTGGCTCACTGCAACCTCCGCCTCCTGTGTTCAAGCAATCCTCCTACTTCAGCATCCTCAGTAGCTGGGACTACAGGTGCGCACCACCATGCCCGGCTAGTTTTTTACATTTTTAAAGCTATTAATAGGCCAGCCACAGTGGCTCATGCCTATAATCCCAGCACTTTGGGAAGCTGAGGCAGGTGGATCACCTGGGGTCAGGAGTTCAAGACCAGCCTGGCCAACATGGTGAAACCCCGCCTCTACGAAAAATACAAAAATTAGCCATGTGTGGTGGCACATGCCTGTAATCCCAGCTACTCGGGAGGCTGAGGCAGGAGAATCACTTGAACCTGGGAGGCAGAGGTTGCAGTGAGCCGAAATCATGCCATTGCACTCCAGCCTGGGCAACAAAGCAAGACTCTGTCTCAAAATAAATAAATAAATAATAAAGCTATTAATAATTTTACTTTGTTTCCACTTTTAAAAGTGAGCTGAGAGAAATAAATAGGTGATTCACAAAAGAAGATACATAAGTGGCCAATAAATAGATACAAAAATGTTTAGCTTCATTAAAAGTTATAAAAATGTAAATAAAATATACTGAGTACAACTTTTTCTATATCCGTTTCTCAAAGATTAAAAACCTTCCAGTGTAGGTGTTACTGGGAGATCACCCTCTGAAAGCAACTAGTGGCAAGGAGCTCCACACCATTCAGGCATCTCATTCAAGGTCACATGGCTGCAAAGAAGAGAAGCCCATCAAAGCAGCTGAGCCCCAGTAAGGCATCCCACCATGCATTCGTAGAAAAACCAACGGAACAATGACTAAAATAAGATAGAAATTTATTTCTTGCCAGGTGTAGTGGCTCATGTCTGTAATCCCAGCGCTTTGGGAGGCCAAGATGGGAGAATTGCTTGAGCCCAGGAGTTTGAGACCAGCCTGGGCAACATAGTGAGACTCTGTCACTACAAAAAAATTAAAAGTTAGCTGGGCATGGTGGCACACGCTTGTAGTCCTAGCTACTCAGAAGGCTGAGGCAGGAGGATCACCCGAGCCCAAGAGTTCAAGGCTGCAGTGAGCTATGATTGCAACACTCCACTCCATCCTAGACAACAGAGCAAGATCCTGTCTCTATTGTAGACAACAGAGCAAGACCCTGTCTCTAAAAATAATAATATTTTAAAGGAAATGTATTTCTTGCTCATATAAACAAAATCCAAAGGTAAGCATCTGGCTTTCCATTTTGTTGCTTACCTAGCCTCAATGTATGACTTCTATCTTGTGATACAAAATATTCACTTGAGATCCAGCCATCATTGCATCATCCTGGCCAGCAGAAAGGAGGAAAGGGAATAGTAGAACACAATCTATTCCTTTAAAAACACTTTCTAGGGCTGGGCATGGTTGCTCATGCCTGTAATCCCAGCATTTTGGGAGGCCAAGGCAGGCAGATCACTTGAGGTTAGGATTTTGAGACCAGCCTGGCCAACATGGTGAAACCCTGTCTCCACTAAAAATATAAAAATTCGCCAGGCATGGTGGCAGACGCCTGTAATCCCAGCTACTGGGGAGGCTGAGTAAGGCAGGAGAATCACTTGTTTTTATGTCTGGTAATAGTACTAAAGTATAGGAAGGTGTAAAAAAACAATCAGTGTCTGGTAAAGAGAGATGTAAAAGCTGGAAAGCAGGAAAATACAAGAATAAAAAACCAATCATGGATCATGGCATCAGCAGTATCGTGGCCAGTTTCTGTGTGAGGTATTCACGTTATTGCCTGTTTGTCTGTGGGCCCCATCAGAAGCCCAGCCAAGGAAAAGGAGAGGTGGGCAGCCAGCTGCTTGAGAGGAAGGGGCTCCCAGCAGGCACCCACACCCAGCACCCCAGCTCCTGCCATTAGAGGGAGTACCAGAATGCTCCCAAGGCCACTGTGGACCCAGAGTTTTTTGTGCTATAAAAATGTGTACCTGCCCAGTGTCTATCTCTGACCTCATCTTTAACTGCCAAGCTTCTCAAAGGAGATGTTCACATTCAAAGTTTCCACTTCCTCAGTCCCAGGCAGCTGTTTCTGCACCTGGCACTCTGACTAGGGCCCCAGGGATCACCCAAGACCAACGGGCCTTGCCAGCCACTGCAGCTCCCTTTGTGACCTCCTCCCCCTGCCAAGGTTAGGGTTAGGGTTAGAATTAGGGTTAGGGTTGCTCACACTTCCAGGCTGGCTTCTCTTCCTCCTCCCCCGCTTCCCTGGTGGGGATCCCAGGGGTGGCACCTCTCTCTTCTCACTCTTCCTTCTCTCCCTGGGAGCTGGATGAACCCCTGCTGCAGAGATCCCCACCTGCCAATGATTCCGACATCTCCACCTCTAGCCTGGACCGTGTGTAGCTGCCCTGTCGCCACAAGCATCCGCAGGCCTCCCACACACCTGGGGGTTTCGTTTCTCTTCACACCTCCAGTTCACCACCCACAGGCCACCCCTGAGGGCCTGGAGGGCTCCCTGTGTTCCTCAAGGAGGAAATCCCACCCTCTGTGTGGCCCCTAAGACCCTGCACCCTCTCCACCTTCCCCTCCTCCCTCCAGCCCTGGGGTGAGCCTGGAACCCCGAGGCTCTTACACCTCACTTCTGGGCCTTAGCAATGCTCGTTCCTTCTCACTCCGTAACATGGCTGACCCTCGCCCACAGCAGGCCTGCCCCCCTGCCCCTTCTTTAAAATCACCCACTCATAGTCCTACAGGAAAACACCTTCCCAAAGGGTGAGGAAGTCAGACTCAGTTACTGTGTCCATAAGGTTGGAGCTCACTATCTAGGACCTAAAAAGAACTTGCATTCTGGGAGATCACCGTTCCCTGTGCATCCAAGATAGGCCCTCAGCCCTCCTGGGAGGATATGGCCGTGGCCTGGGGACAGGGAAGAGGGCCATCTCCTGGTAGAAGCACTTCCTAAGGTCAACAAGCATCCAGTGCATGCATTGACCATGAGGATGCCTTGCTCAAGCAGCAAACATTCAGAGATGTGTGCAGGGAGCAGGTGCATCCCTGGAGGGCAGGCACAGACTGCACAAGGAGGGGCACACTGTGGGGGCTGGGGCCGGGCACGTGTGAGGCCTGGGAAGGTGAGCAGGGCCTTAGAGGCCACCTTGAGCTTGGGTTCCAACTTGTGGGCAGAGGGAGGAGTGGAGTGGCCTGCGCTGAGAAGAGGGTGGGACCAACTGGGGCCGATGCTGGGGCAGAGCCCACAAGACCTGGACCCCGGAGCTGAGGAAGAAGCCAGTGAGGCGTCTGGTTGGGAATGGGTGGGTGGGGATCCAAGAGAGGCCCAAAGAAGAGCAGTCACAGGAGTGAGGCGAGGTGGACCTGTTTGGGGCCTGCCTGCAACAGTTTGTCACACATTCCCCGAAACTCTGATGGGGGTGGGGTTGTGACCCCAGCCCATCCAAGTTTGATGGAAGAATCAGAGGTGAGGCAGTGCCCCCCACTTTTTCCTATCCCCACCCCTTGAGGGGCCACTGTGCCCTACCCTTATCACTCCCCATCCTCAAATGAGTTTGTGCTATTGGGACCTGCAGGGTCACAGGCACATATACCCTGTGCGCCTGCGTGGCTGCAGGTGCCCAGCACTGGGCTGGACGCCTGGTCATGCTGCTGACTTCCCTGCAGGGTCTGAATCCTGGCTGTGACCTGCCAGAGTAGGCTCTGCCAGGAGCAAAGCATTTTCCCCACTGTGGGATTCAAGCCTCACTTCTGCCTGCCTCCACTGATGGCCACACTGAGCTGCACCCCTCCAAGCTGGTGGGACCTTGGGCTCAGAATTCCCACCTAGCAGAAGCCCCTCTGTGGCCCATGCTGCTCATGGCCACTGACTGTGGGTCTGTTGACTCCTCTTCCTTTTTAAAAATTCTTTGTAGAAAAATAAGAAAACACAGGCAAAATAACAAAAACCATTATGATAAGTTCCATTAAACTCCACTGTCCCACCTCCCAGAGAGAACAATCACAGTTTGTTACATAACCTTCCAGACATTGTTTTGGAGGCACATAGACCTGGAGAAGCCTGATGGAAGCAGCCTGGGTTCACACCCCAACACTGCTGTTCACCAGCTGTGCAACCTTGGGCAAGTTGCTTGCCCCTTCTGTGTCTCCATCTCCTCCTCAGCAAGATGGGGACATCAGTGTCATCCCCTGACATGAGAGTCCTGGGCATCAAAGAGTTGACATGTGTCAAGTGCTTAGAATAGTCTGGCAGAGAGCACGGAGCAAGTCTTGGCCTCATGCATTTGCTTAAAAAACACTTTATTATGGAAAATTTCAAATATGCAAAAGCAAAAAGATGACATCCTGAGCTGCTTGCCCTGTCACCCACTCCTGCAGTTCAACTCTCAGCCCATCTTGTGTTATCTGTGTTCCACCCTTGCCTCCTCTCCAAGATAAGTTTGAAGCAAATCCCAGACATCATATGATTTCACCAGGAAATACTTTGTTGTGCATTTCTCAAAAGAGGCCTCTGTCCCTACCCGCCTCCCCTTCCCTCTCTCCCTCTCTCTTCTCTCTTAACCTACTATCACTTGTGCAAATCTCAACCATAATTCCTTAATATCCAATATCCAGAGTGCACATTTCCTTTATTGCTTCACACATTTTATTTTTTACAGTTTGTTTGTTTGTTTGAATTAGGATCCAAGAAAGGCCCAGGTGCTGTGATTGATCCATCTCTTAAATCTGTTTTAGCCTACAGGCTCTGTCTCAATCTCTCTCTCTCTCTCTCTCTCTCTCTCTCGTTCTGGCAACTTATTTATTGAAACTAGACTGTTTGTCCTTTGGAGTTTCCCGTGGTCTGGATTTTGCTGATTGCATTCTGTGCTAAATATTTTAAACTTAAATGAAATGATTATATTTTGTGTGTGTGTGTGAACTCAGTCCAAGAACTCAGAATGCCAGAAATGCAACTTACTTTTTCCTTGAGTGGTTTCATTTCCATTTTGAGCACCCCGTTCCACCACAATCATGTGGGGTTCCTTCTTCCCTTTTCCCAGGTCTTCCAGAGCACCAGGAAGGGAGATCGGGGTTGGGGCTGGAGCATCTGGTCCTGGAGGTCACCTGCATACTCAGGCACCTGGCCAGTCATCCAGATCTGACTGCAGAGCCACCATTAGTAACCAAAAGATGCCCAGGTGGTACAGAGGGTCCAATTTGGCATCTGTCAGTTCACTCTGAGTTTGCACATCCACCCTTTGCAGGAGCCTCATTATTTTTATTTTACAAATAAGGAAATTGGGGTTTGGGTTGGTGAGGTGACTTGAATAACAGATGACAGAAGCCAAGCAGCACATTCAAGAAGCTAGAAGATTGGCTGGGCGCGGTGGCTCACGCCTGTAATCCCAGCACTTTGGGAAGCTGAGGTGGGCGGATCACCTGAGGTCGGGAGTTCGAGACCAGGCTGACCAACATGGAGAAACCCCATCTCTACTAAAAATATAAAATTAGCCGGGCGTGGCAGCACATGCCTGTAACCCCAGCTACTTGGGAGGCTGAGGCAGGAGAATTGCTTGAACCCGGGAGGCGGAGGTTGCGATGAGCCGAGATCACGCCATTGCGCTCCAGCCTGGGTGGGCAACAAGAGCGAAACTCCGTCTCAAGAAAAAAAGAGAAAAAGAGGTTAGAAGGAGTGCCATGCTCCTAAGGACACCTCAAGGGCAGGAGGCTCCTTCCAGCCCCCATCTAACAGCAGAACTGTCTGGTCAAGCCTCCAGGGACCAGTCACTTCTCAGTCCTTGTCTTAGGTGACCCATCAAACATCTGATACAGTTGCTTACACCTTCCTCTTTAGAAGCCTTTCCACTTGGTCTGTAAGACTCCAACCTGACCCAGGTTTCCCCCCGCCCCTCTCAGTCTCCATCCTCTAAATTTCTGGGAGGCCCTGGGCTCAGTTCTTGCACATCCTCTGCAGGGCACCCCTCCTTTGGTGACCTCCTTGCCCCTGACAATCCCCTGTTTATAGCTGCAGTCCACACCACTCCCGTGGCGCTGGCCTCTTCTGTCAAATTGGATCCTGTGTTAGTCTGTTTTGCACTCCAATAAGGGAATATCTGAGGCTGGGTAATTTATAAAGAAAAGAGGTTTATTTGGCTCATGGTTCCACAGGCTGTACAGGAAGCAAGGAGCCAGTATCTGCTTCTGATGAGGCCTCAGGAAGCTTCCACTCGTGGCAGAAGGCAAAGGGGGAGCAGGCACATTACATGGCTAGACAGGAAGCAAGAGAGAGAGGAGGAAGTTCCAGGCTCTTAAACAAACAGATCTGTTTAGAGTGAGAGCTCATTACCCCAATGGGGAGGGCACTTCATGAGGATCCACCCCCATGACCCACACACCTCTCACCAGGCCCCACTTCCAACACTGGGGATCACATTTCAACATGAGACCTGAAGGGGACAAACATGCAAACCAGGTCGGATCCTCAACGTCTTCCCTTGATTTCTAGAGAGGTCTCGGGGTCACCTGTTTAGAGCCACACTCCTAAGCCTCCACAAAGGTGGCCCCATCTCAGAATGTGGTAACTCCAGCCTTTCCCCTGCCAGAGTCAATCCTCGCCTCTTTCTCTCTCACAGTCAGAAGCCAGCATTCCTTACCTGGTCTCATCACCGTCCACACTCACCTGAGTCAGTGCAGTAGCCTCTTAGAGGGGCTTCCCTGCCCTGGCCCTGGCCCCTACTGTTAAAGCTGATTGGGGGCTGGGCTCATGCCTGTAATCCCAGCACTTTGGGAGGCCAAGATAGGCAGATTGCTTGAGCCTGGGCACCATGGTGAAACCCCGTCTCTACAAAAAATACAAAAATTAGCTGGGTGTGGTGGCACATGCCTGTAGTCCTAGCTGTATGAGAGACTGAGGTGGGAAGATCACTTGAGCCCAGGAGTTCGAGGCTGCAGTGAGCTGAGATTGCACCACTGCACTCCAACCTGGGTGAAAAAGCCAGACCCTGTCTCAAAAATCAAAAACAAAAACTGAGTGGAATAACACCTGCCTCTGCTCAGAGCCTCCCCATCACAGTCCTTTCAGTGGCTTGTGGGGCACCCCAAGATCTGGCCCCACTTTTCAGCTGCTCAGGCTCCTTGTTCTTCCTTAAACCTGCCAGGCCCAGCCTTGGTCACTGAGGATGTTCTTTCCTTCCTCCATGAAGTCACTGCTCAAATGTCATCTTCTTGGTGAGCCCTGGGCACTCCCTCCCCTTGCCTGACTTTGGATCTACCCATGCACTTGGCCGTTCTCACCACTGTTTCAGTGATCCATGGCTGTGTAACAAACCTCCCCAAAATGGAATGGCTTCAAACAGCAGTGAGAGAGCATTCCTCACGATTCTGTGAATTGGCTGCTCCACACGGTGTCAGCTGGGGTCTCCCATGCAATGATGGTCAGCAGGGAGCTGGACTCAGTGCTGGCTGTCACCTGGGCACCTCGGTCCTCTGTCCACGTGGCCTCTCAGCACCCACAGACCAGACCAGCTTTTTCACATGGCAGTAGCTTCCAAGAGGCAAAAGTGGAAGCTGCAAGCCCTTGCAAGGTTAAGCCCACAAGTGCCAAGATGTCATTTCTGCTATATTCTGTTGGCCAAAGCAAGTCCCAGAGCCAGCCCAGAATCAAGGGGAGGCCTAACCCCATCTCTTGCTGGGGGAAGCATCAAAGTCACTCTGCGGAAGGGTCACAGATGGAAGGGACTCCTGCAGCCATGTTTGCTATAACCAACCATACCCAGCATAGGCCATGTCCTCCCTAGGGAATTGTCTGTCCTGCCCCACAGGAATGTCATGAGGCAGGGGTTTCTGTATGTCTTATCTGCTATACCTCCTGCACTTAGAAGAAAGCCAGGCACACAACACACCTTTTTGTTTGTTTGTTTGTTCTTGAGACAAAGTCCCACTCTGTCGCCCAGGCTGGAGTGCAGTGGTGTGAACTCGGCTCACTGCAACTCCGCCTCCCGGGCTCAAGCAATTCTCGTGCCTGAGCCTCCCGAGTAGCTGGGATTACAGATATGTACCACTACACCTGGCTAATTTTTGTATTTTTAGTAGAGATGGGGTTTTGCCATGTTGGCCAGGCTGGTCTCAAACTCCTGGCCTCATGTGATCAGCCCCCTTTGGCCTCCCAAAGTGCTGGGATTACAGGGGTGAGCCACCGCGCCTCAACACACTTCTGTTGGGTGAATGGTTAGGAGGATGGCTCTGTGGTCAAATATCCACTGTTGAAATCACATTTCTGCCTCTTATGCGTGTGACTACTTTGGCAACATTATTTTAGCTCAAAATCTCAGTTTCCCTATCTGTAAGATAGAAAAAAATGACAGTAGTGCCAATTCCATATAATTGGAAAAAGAACAAAAATACAGCATAAAAAATAATTAGCACAGTCCTTGGCCTATTTCTCGCCCTCCATAAATGTTAGCAGCTGTCACTTCCCATCCCTGTCTTCTACCCCAACTTCCGGTCTGGGTTCCACCCCTGACTAGGACTTTGGAGACTCCCTCCATGGCCATACTCCTGGCTTCCAACCCTCCTTCCTCCTTGACCTTCCATGTACCAGGCAGCACGTCCAGCCTCTCAGGACTCTCCATCCCAAGAAACAGCATCCATGACAGCCTTGGGGCTTCCAGCAACTTTCTAGCCCAGGGCTTCTCCTTGGTGCTAATAAATGGAACTCCCCATGTTTGGATCTATTTTATTTCAAGAATGACAGTGGCAAATGGGAAAATACTAAATAAATGACATTGGGTCTGTTTATCCAGGAATGTAATGACATTATAGTCTTCCCTTAACTTAAATGAAATAATTCATGATGGAAACAGTGGACAATTTTGTCACCTTGTGGTAGAGTTGAGGTCAGCAAACATCCCTCTTCTCATAAGCCTTCTTAGCCCCCTGGACCCTTCACCATTGCCAGCCATACCTGAACTGCTGGTTGAGCCTGGGCTGGTTAAACAGATGAACCCAAACAGCCTTCATTTTAAGGACACTTCGCTCCTCCATAAGGAATTCTGCAGCCAAATCCCCTGGCAGGGAGCTGGGAATTCTTCTCTGGACCTCTGGCCCAGTCTTCCCACTCCGAGTCCTGTCCCAGGCTTCCAACTACCCTCTCCCCACCACCCCCGCCACCACCGGTTCTTATATGGAACCCATCCAGCAAGCGGCAATGCACACACTCCTTAAAAGGCAGTAATGGTTTCTCAAAAATAAAGCGTCTCTTTTTGTTATATAACCAGCCAGGTCCCAGGCAAGCCACTAGTGCATCTACTGTCAAAAATACGAATCCCACAGCTCTGATGGATCTACACAAATAAAGAAAGGCTGGCCACTTGCCCCAGGTCACAGAGTCCAGAATTGATCCCTGGCAAAGTGGGACTCAGGCCAGCGGGTTAAAGGGTGGCCCCCCAAATTCATTTCCACCCAGAATGTCAGAATGTGACCTTATTTGGTGTAAGGGTCTTTTCAGGTGTAATTAAGATAAGAATATTGGCCAGGCACGGTGGCTCATGCCTGTAATCCCAGCACTTTGGGAGGCTGAGGTGGGTGGATCACGAGGTCAGGAGTTCAAGACCAGCCTAACCAATATGGTGAAACCCTATCTCTACTAAAAATACAAAAATTAGCCGGGCGTGGTGGCATGTGCCTGTAGTCCCAGCTACTTGGGAGGCTGAGGCAGGAGAATTGCCTGAACATGGGAGGCAGAGGTTGCAGTGAGCCAAGATCATGCTGCTGCTCTCCAGCCTGGGTGACAGAGTGAGACTCCATCTCAAAAAAAAAAAAAAAAAAAAAGAAAGAAAAGGAAAAAAAAAATAAGAATCTTGAGATGAGATCATCCTGAGTTGGGATGGTCTTTCAGGCAAGGTGGCTCATGCTTGTAATCCCAGCACTTTGGGAGGCCAAAGTGGGAGAATCACTTGAAGCCAGGAGTTTGAGACCAGCCTGGGCAACATAGTGAGACATCATCTCCACAAAAAATACAAAAATTAGCCAGGCATGGTGGCACACGCTTGTAGTCCTAGTTACTCAGGAGGCTGAGGCTGGAGATCACTTGAGCACAGGAGTATGAGGTTGCAGTGAGCTATGATTGTGCCACTGCACTCCAGCCTGGATGACAAAAAAAGAAAAAAAAAAAAGCCTAAATCCAATGACTAGTGTCTTAGTGTCTTTATAAGAAAAGGAGAAGACAGCCAGGCATGGTGACTCATGCCTGTAATCCCAGCACTTTGGGAGGCTGAGGCGGGTGGATCACTTGAACCCGGAAGTTCGAGACCAGCCTGGCCAACGTGGTGAAAATCTGTCTCTACTAAAAATACAAAAATTAGCCTGGCATGGTGGCAGGCAACTGTAATCCCAGCTACTGGTTGGGGCTGAGGCAGGAGAATCACTTGAGCCTGGGAGGCAGAGGTTGCAGTGAGCCGAGATGGCACCACTGTAATCTAGCCTGGGTGACACAGCGAGACTCCATCTCAAAAAAAAAAAAAAAAAAAAAAAGAGAGAGAGAAGGAGAAGACAGACACAGAGCAGGCCCAGAGGGAAGGAGGCCATTGCAGGCGGGGCAGAGGGTGGAGTGATGCTGCCACAAGCCAAGGAGCACCAGGAGCATCAGCAGCTTGAAGAGGCGAGGAGGGATCCCCCCTAGAGCCTTCAAGGAAGGGTGGCCCTGCTGATAGCTGGAGTTTTGGCTGTAGTTTCCAGAACTGGGAGAGAATAAATTTCTGTTGTTTTTACCCACCTAGTTTGTGATAATTTGTTATAGCGGTCATGGGATACAAATATACCAGGTTACTCTTAGCCACAGCAATGTGCAGGAATAGATCAGAGAAGGCCCAGGGCCAGCACTGCTGGGGCCAACAGCCCTCAGGAGCTCAGGGCCAGCAGCATCAGCAGTTTGGCCACACACTCTCCCAAATGCTGCTGGCAAGCAGCCCACGGGAGGGAGGAAACCAGGGCAGCAGGGGCAGGCCCCCAAGCAGGGCCACGTCCTGGTCCCCGCAGGCCTCTGGACAGAACGCACACGGGTGGAAACAGCACCAAAGGGAGCTTGGAGAGAGGTGTGCCACAGCGGGGGCGAGGTGGGGAGGGGGGTGCAAAGGTCGTGGGCACTGAGGTATCTCCCCGAGGGACGTCTAGAGCTGAAAGTGGGAACAGGAAACAGCAAGATGAGATTCATCTTGGAAAAATGCAAACTCAATCTGGGCAAAAATAATCGAAAACATAAGTAAGGGATGGGCAGGAATAGTCATGGCTCGGTGGGAGCAGGGAGGGAGGTTGCAGCCTCAGGGCAGCGGAAAGGGCCCAGCCTGGCCGGAAGGTGTCCCGCCACGAGGGTGGCTGGGCAGCCTCCTGACTTTCTGGGAGGCAGTGTCAGAGGAGGGAGCAGGAGGCTGAGGACTTGGACTTCTGGGAATCCCTAAGCCAAGTTTATTGGAACAGCTCACCCAAAACAGAGGGCTGAGGTCTCTACTTCCTGACAGCAGCCTGTGGTACCCACCCACCCAGGCCAGGGCCCTGCCCACTGCTGCCCAGGCCTGCCTTCACCCTCCCCTCTCTCACAGCATTCCCTGGGCCTGTGCTCCTAGGGGAGGCCATGGAGCAGGCTGAGCAGGCACCGTGGACATCTCCAGAGAGAACTCCGGACTCAGAGCCAGGAGGGGAGGCCGGGTGTGTGTCTTGGCTCTGCCGCTCAGACAGAGGCTCCTCGTCCACAAAATGAGAACAAAAACTTATGTTCCTTCCCTCCCTGCCTGCTTCCAAGCAATCCATGCCCTCTGCAGAAATTTTAGAAAGTACAAACAAAATGAAAAATGTTCAAATCACCCACAATTCTACTAACCACTGCAACCATTTGCTTAGCTTTGTTGCACCTCTATTTTCCATGTATGACATATATATGTGTGTTTTTACAAAAACAGCCTCACATTATACATACAGCTGTCTGCTTTCATCAGGTAACCGTGTCAAATCTTCTCATGCCACTGAATATGGCCATAAAGCACCATTTTTTTGTTGCTGTTGTTGTTGTTGTTGTTGTTTTGAGATGGAATCTCGCTCTGTCACCCAGGCTGGAGTGCAATGGCGCGATCTCGGCTCATTGCAAGCTCCGCCTCCCGGGTTCAAGCAATCTCCTGCCTCAGCCTCTCGAGTAGCTGGGATTACAGGCACCCATCATCATGGCCGGCTAATTTTTGTATTTTTAGTAGAGATACGGGTTCTCCATGTTGGCCAGGCTGGTCTTGAACTCATGACCTCACCTGATCTGCCACCCCGGCCTCCCAAAGTACTGGGATTATAGGCGTGAGCCACTGCGCCCAGCCAGCACCAGTTTTTAAAAGTCAGGCTGAGTGCGGTATAGTTGCCATACTGTAAAATTCACCCTTTTCAGTTCATAATTCTATGAATTTGACAAACACAGTCTTGTAACCTGTAACTCCCACCACAGTCAAGATAGAGGACATTCCATCACCCCCAAATGCCTTCAAACTCTTTGTAGTCGACCCCAGCTCCCAGCCTTGCCCATCACTGGTCTGTTTTCTATCCTATAGTTTTGCCTTTTCCGAGTTGTCATATAAATGGGATCAGAGCATATGTGTCTCCTGCCACTTAGCATGAGGCACTGAAGACTCACCCAAGCTGCTGCATTACCGGTTCCCTTCATCTCAATGTTCCTTAGCATTCCATGGGATGCACACACCAGTGTGTGAAGCTGTTCCCTGGGTCAAGAACATCTGGAGTGTTTACAGTTTTGGGTGATTAAGAGTAAAACTTCACAGAATCATTTTTAATGGCTGCATAATATTCCACAGTATGAACACAGCAACATTTATTCCACCAGCTCTTGGTCACTGGATATTCAGGTGGTTCTCAGCTCTCACTTTTACACGCGTAAGCTTCTTGTCAGGGTCTCCATCTCCCTGAAGGGTCCCCTCCCTCTAGAGCAGTGAATCTCAACCTTGGCCACACATCAGTCACTGGGGAACTTTAAAAATGCCAATGTCGGCCGGGTTTGGTGGCTCATGCCAGTAATCCCAGCGCTTTGGGAGACTCAGGTGGGAGGACTGCTTGAGGCCAGGAGTTTGAGACTAGCCTGGACAACATAGTGAGAGCCCCCATCTCTACAAAAAATAACTTAAAAAAATTAGCCAGGCGTGGGGGCACATGCCTGTAGTCCCAGCCACTCAGGAATCTGAGGTAGAAGTACCACTTGAGCACAAGAGCCAAGAGTGATTGTGCCACTGCACTCCAGCCTCGGTGACAGAGTGAGACCTTGTCTCTAAAAAATTAATAATAATAAATAAAATGCCAATGCCCAAGCCATATCCAGACCAATTAAACTGGATTATTTGGGGAGGGGCCTGGGCCTAAGTATTATTTGGAGCTCTTAGGTGTACCCTGCTCCACTGTACTCTGGAGAGGGGATGGTCTGGACCTGTGGGGGGTGGCCACTGCTGCCCCTGTGGCAGTCCCTCTCCCTCCCCAGACCCACTCCTCACTGCCTTCCCACAGTGACCACCACAGACAAGTACAGGGAAACCAGGCCCATTGAAGATGGAAACTCAAAGACAATTTCCAATGTGCAGGAGATAATCTAACCATCTCCTTTCAGTGGGATCTTTTCCATAGCTCAAGGGCCACCCTCTGGGAAGGGCAACTCCTTCCAAGTGCCTCTTGGACACACCCAAGTCCTAACCTGCCCTCGCGACTATGCCTCTTGTTTAAGCTGCAAAAGCTACCTCCAGTCCTGGGGATATTCTTGGCCCTAGTATGGCTCCCCACTGCGCCCCACCCCCATCTTCCAGTGGGACACCCTCCCTCACCCCTCCTCCAGCAGGTATACCTCCCACATCCTCAAGCAGGGACCCCCTCCCCAACCATCCTCCAGCAGGGACACCCCCTCACCATGTTCTCCAGTGGGGGCACTGTTGCAGCAGAGAAAGTTTTGTAATTGCAGGGCCAGACAAGCAAGGAGGATGAAAGATAATTCTCAAAACCACCTCCCCCAGAATTCAGAGGCTAGTGTTTTTAAGGGTGCTTCAGCAAGCAGGGGACTAGGGAGCTGAGACAACTGATTGGCAGTGGATGAAATCACAGAGGTATCAAAACTATCTTCAAGCAGCTGAGTCAGTTTCTTGGTGTGGGTCACAGGTCCAGGTAGTGTCTCTTGGTCTGCTAAAATTCTAAATCTAGAAAATATCTCAAAGTTCTTTAGGTTTCATAATAGTGATTTTTTTTTTTTTTTTTTGAGACGGAGTCTTGCTCTGTCTCCCAGGCTGGAGTGCAGTGGCATGATCTCAGCTCACTGCAAACTCCACCTCCCAGCTTCAAGCAATTCTCCTGCCTCAGCCTCCTGAGTAGCTGGGATTACAGGCATGTGTCACCACTCCCAGCTAATTTTTTTGTATTTTTAGGGAGATAGAGTTTCACCATGTTGGCCAGGCTGGTCTCGAACTCCTGACCTCCAGTGATCCACCCGCCTTGGCCTCCGAAAGTGCTGGAATTACAGGTGTGAGCCACTGTGCCCGGCCTCTATATGAGCAGCTGGAGAAGTTAGAAATCTTGAGATTTCCGGCTATGTGACTCCAGGGCAGTAAGCATTATAGAAAAGCAAGCCAAGTGAGAAACGGCAGGTCGCTGTTTATGCCCATTCTTTAGCAAAGTTCAGGCCCCACCACAATTCTAACCTTGTCTTATGAATGTGGTTTCAATCTCCAAACAAGGAGGGGGTCAGTTTTTCTTGCCTTTAACTATGAACTAAATTCCTCTCATAGTTATGTTGGCCTCTGCACTACAAGAAGAAGAAGAAAAAAAAAGAAATAAGAAAACCAATTTAGTCTGTGAGGTTAGATGCAAGAGGGAGGCAGTCATGTTAGATTTCTCTCATGACTTACAATTCTGCAAAGGTGGTTTCACCTCCACGGCAGGCCACCTCTCCCTGGGTATAGGGCACATCTTCGTCCTGCAGAGCAGGCAAGTCCCTCTCTCTCCCCACCTCCTCACCCCTTCTTGCCCCCACTGGCCAATCTTCATGAATCCTTCAGCCCCATGTTGTCCTAGCAGACACTTTGCAGCAACCACTCAGAGGGCCTGGCTGATTTCTAAGCTAGGCAGTTTCTTCCACTGTCATTTGGATGAGATTCCTTGCACAAACATTTTTGCACAGTTGCCCAGTGTTTTAAGTATTCAGGTCTCATAGTCTTAAAAACTGCCTCTGCCTTCCCAGGAGAGAACAAGGGCTCCAAGGGGAGCCCAGGTGCTCTGGCCAGACAGAGGACATTAAAAGGAACAGAAATGGTTTTAGACAGCTAGAGGGATCTGCTCAGGGGATATTTGGGCAGAGCCTCCTCCTTGAGAAGGGTAGGAGCCAGATCCACAGACGAAGACCCTTAGAGCCTGCCCATCCCTGCTGGCACAAGGGGAGGATGGGGAGAGAGGGACCATACGCAGGCCTCCTGGCTTCTGTATGTGGGTCCTGAGGCCCAGGAAGCTCTACAGCCCTGAAGAGGTAGATGAATTAGGAGGCTGGGAGATGGTGTAGGAGGTCAAGAGGATGCCTGGGCTGAGCCATCTCCCCCACTCCCCTCAGCCCTGTGCTCTGAGTGCAGAGATGGGGAAGAGCCAGCCCACTAAAGATGTCAGAGAGGAGCCAAAGAAAAAGGATAGGTGCTCAAGGAGTCTGGGGCTCAAGACTGAGGACGATGGGGCAGTGATGAGGAGAGGCATGTGGAAGGGGGTTGCATCTGATCTGGTGTCCCATCAGTTAGGCTGAGCAGTGCCACACTACCGTAACAGAGGTTACAAATGGAGTATATCTAAATAAGATAGACAGAAGACTTGATATTATCAAGACATCAGATTTCCCCAGCTTGATCTATAGATTCAATGCAATCCCAATCTTGGGAAAGGAATTGCTGGATCAATGTGTATTATTTTGTTTTCATTTTGTTGGATGTGGTTGCCACATTGGCTTCCACAGTCCTTCCTATGGATTGCCAATTACCTCGCACCTTCAACATGTGTGGTCAATTTTTTTGAATGTTTGATAAACCCACAACTGAAGATATTCTCATTTAGGTATTCTGTAACGACTGGACAGGTTGGGCACTCTGGTCATAAATTTATTGACCAGGATTTCTTCTAAGAATCATCTACGTGAGTTTTTTTGCTAATTTTTCTATTAAATTATTGTCTTTTTATCTATGGACAATTTGATAAGATTATCATGAGATAATCTTAATTCCAAAATATCTCACACTTTATCCCAGTTTATCTTCTGACTCTAATTTTTAATCAGATTTAAAATTTGTCTGTAGTCCAGTTTATCATTCTTTTCCTTTAGTGTTTCCAAGTTTATTGTGATATTTAGATCATAAAAACATTCACCGACTTTTTTCCAGTACGTTGTTGGTTTCCTTTTTAGATGGAAATGTTTGACCCATCTGGAATTTATTTTGGTGTTAAGGAATGAGGAAGGGCACCAACTTCTATTTTTCCAAATGGCCTGCCAGTTGTCCTAATGCCATTCGACTGAAAAATCTTCCCGCGTGTTTGAAGCGACCGCCCCACCAGCGCATTGGAAACCCGCGTGTCGGTCCTGCGCCCGCCGGCTTCCGTGTGACAGTCCCGAGCGCAGAGGGATCGGGCACAGCCCGCACGCGTCCGCCCCGAGCCGCCGGCTCAACCCTAGACCCAGCCCCGGCGCCAAGGACACAGCCCACCCCGCTCCGCCCGGGCCTAGGTCCCAGTTCACCCTCCCTAGCCGGGGACGCCCCCTTGACCCCGCCTCCTCCACCCCCTCCAACACCCTCCCCGCCCCGCTCCAGCCCAGCCTCTCCTCCCGGAGGCCAATGGGGCCGAACAGCGCTTTCCGAGACATTAATTTAAATAAAAGGCGGGTCCTCTGCCGTTATTTGCATGGAGGCGGGTCTTCCGGAGCGGCCGGGACACCCAATCCTGTAGGAGCCCGGACCCTCCCCAGCGCTCCGACTGGCCCAAGTAGCGAGCCCCACGGAGAGGCCTCATTTGCATAGGGCGGGGCCACGTCCTCTTCCAGCCGGCGGCCGCCCGCCCGCCCACCCGCTTCCGTCAGCCTCACTGGGGCTTCCTTCCGTCTCGCTCGGAGTTTCCCTCTGCGTTCGCTCCGCGCTGCTGGAGGCTGTCGTCCCAATGCTCCCCAAACGGCGGCGAGCGCGGGTCGGGTCCCCTAGCGGCGATGCCGCTTCCTCCACGCCGCCCTCGACGCGCTTCCCGGGAGTCGCCATCTACCTGGTCGAGCCTCGCATGGGTCGCAGCCGCCGGGCCTTCCTCACAGGCCTGGCGCGCTCCAAAGGCTTCCGCGTCCTTGACGCCTGCAGGTGCGGGGCGGCGCGGCGCGGCGAGGGCTTCCATGGCACTTCTGGTTTTGGATTCTAAGTTTGCAGTGGCACTTCGTGGTCTTGTGACCTTTCCCTGAGCCTCCATCTCCTCTTCTGTAAAGGGTGCTATTAATTAGGGCGAGGCGTGTTTTAAAGGATCACTGCGAGAATCAAAACCAGAGGTCAGGGGTAATTAATAAGCAGTAGGCCGGGCGCGGTGGCTCACGCCTGTAATCCCAGCACTTTGGGAGGCCGAGGCGGGCAGATCACGAGGTCAGGAGATCGAGACCATCCTGGCTAACACGGTGAAACCCCGTCTCTACTAAAAATACAAAAAATTAACCGGAGGTGGTGGCGGGCACCTGTAGTCCCAGCTACTCGGGAGGCTGAGGCAGGAGAATGGCATGAACCTGGGAGGCGGAGCTTGCAGTGAGCCGAGATCGCGCCACTGCACTCCAGCCTGGGCGACAGAGTGAGACTCTGTCTCAAAAAAAAAAAAAAAAAAAGTCGTATTTGCTAACAGCCCTTCTGCCTGGGCTATGTCCCACCTGTGAGCGAGACTGACTTCTCAAGAGGCCCGGAGCCCGCAGGCTCCTCTGTCCTCAGGCCTGAGTAAATAACACGACTGAGAAGCTCTTGTAGGAAGGGAACCAAGAGAAGAAAAAATGGCGGCTACAGAGACAACACCCAGAGTAAGGGAGCTGGGGGTGCCCCCTAGTTTGGAGGTTGAGAGAGCAAACGAACCTGGGGCTAGTATTCCCCCACAGTTGTGTTTGATTTTTTAACATTACCAGGGATCAGTAGTGCGCCAGACCCACTCAGGAGAGGATGATAGCAGCTTAGAGTGTACAAGGCACTATCTTTGTACAACAACCCCACAGGGTGGATATGTTATCTCTGCTTTACAGAAGAGGAAATCAAAGTATAGACACGTGGCTTGCCCAAGAGCCAAACAAGTATGTGGCAGGCAGAGCTGGGGTTCAGACCCAAACAGGCTCCTCCATCTCTGCTGAAACCCTTGCTCTTAGATGAAGACCACCTGGTCCTGACCCTAAGGAATTCCTTTCTTTGAGGTGAAGAGGGAGGGAGAGAGCACAAGACTGGGCTGTGCTTGTGAACATAGCCAGGGCAGAGAACTACGGTTCTGAGGGCTGAGTGGTGGAGGTGTTCATCTACCAGGAGGAGGGGCTGGGAAGGCTTTCTGGAGGAGGTGACGTTTGCAGGATGAATGGTCACTTACCATGCAGAAGGGACGGCAAGAGTGAAGGCTTGGAGCCAACCAGGACGGGCTCTGGGCCTCACCCTCCTCCTTCTCTCCCAACTCCCTCCACCAGCTCCGAAGCGACACATGTTGTGATGGAAGAGACCTCAGCAGAGGAGGCCGTCAGCTGGCAGGAGCGCAGGATGGCAGCTGCTCCCCCGGGTTGCACCCCCCCAGCTCTGCTGGACATAAGCTGGTTAACAGAGAGCCTGGGAGCTGGGCAGCCTGTACCTGTGGAGTGCCGGCACCGCCTGGAGGTGAGCTGGGTGGAAGACTAAAGTGGGGGCTACAGTGAAAGCCCCAGTGTAGGCCATTGCTCAGCTGGGACAGGTGACATGGCAGCAATGCCTCAATGTCCTTCAGAGGAGGTGGGCAGTGAAGACTCTACCCAGATCACCAGGGGCCCCCTATAAACCAGTAGAGGAACCACAGAAGGGGCTGAGGGGGCCAGGCCATCTCAGCTTCTGTTCTCACCACTGATGCAAATTCTGGGGTCTGCTTATTTTTACCTTCTTCAGGCCTTTCTTCCTCACCAAGTAGATGACACAGCAACTCCGAGCGGGATGACCCATGGGTTAGCAGGAGCCTGTCCTCTGGATGCTATAAGGCTCCCGGCCTCTGACAGGTGTGGGCTTGGGGCCAGGTTGCCTGCCTTCAAATCCTGGCCCAGCCTGTGAGCCATGGTTGTGGGGCAAGCCCCTAGCCTCCAAGGCCTCAGCATCCCCAGCCCGCTTGGTTGTGAGGATTGGGGTGATGGAGTACATGCATCATGTGCAGCAGCAGGAGAAGTGCCCACAGGGCTGGCAGATGTGATTGCTGCTACCCTGGCATGAGGAGCCCCATGCACAGCCTGTTCTGCAGGGCGGTGCCTCCCTCAGCCTCATGCCGCTGGTGTTTTGTTGCCCACCTCTGTCCCATGAGCTCCAGAGGGCCCGAGTTGGACACCCCAGGAGAAACAAAGCCTGAGTACGGCCTGGCTCTCCTGCCAGCCCTGCAGCCTCACAGTGACCTGTTTATTGCCCATCCCCAGGTGGCTGGGCCAAGGAAGGGGCCTCTGAGCCCAGCATGGATGCCTGCCTATGCCTGCCAGCGCCCTACGCCCCTCACACACCACAACACTGGCCTCTCCGTAAGCCGCTTCTATGAGCCTTGGCCAGCCCTGGGGGTTGGGGACAAGGGTACAGATGGGTGGTAGGTGGGGGATTGGAGCTGCCCACCCTGCCCCTTACCTAGGGCCCCTCCCTGCAGGAGGCTCTGGAGATACTGGCCGAGGCAGCAGGCTTTGAAGGCAGTGAGGGCCGCCTCCTCACCTTCTGCAGAGCAGCCTCGGTGCTCAAGGCCCTTCCCAGCCCTGTCACAACCCTGAGCCAGCTGCAGGGGCTTCCCCACTTTGGAGAACACTCCTCTAGGGTTGTCCAGGTAGGTGCTTACCATCCTAGCAGGGTGAGTGGGTGGGTGGGGAGGCCTTGGGGCCTGGTGAGACAGCAGAGGGTGCTGTGGGGGTGGGTGAGGACAGACAGTCGTGGGTGCTGACACTGCTCCAAGGCCTCAACAAGCCACCCTCTGCGCTCAGATTCCTCCTGTGCACACTAGCCATTTACTCCTGGGTGGCCTAGAGGACCCAGTGAATGGCGCTGTGAGGGGCCTGGCAGGGCTAGGGGTGACACTGTTGTCATTGTCATTAGTCCCAAACTGCCCTCCACAGTGGAATGAAAGAGAGCACCCTGAGTGTGAGCATCTCTTTTCAGTGCCCCAGTGTGTTTAGTTGTCCTTTAGTGCACTTTCATTGCAAGAATACACAGTGACAGAAGATGCTTTTAAATGAAGTAGTATTGAGTTCACATGTTCTGAAAAGCAATTGTTTATGTATCTTGGGACTTATTTGACTGAGAGATGATCCACGTTACCTGGCATCTCAGCTGCTGTAACTCCAGGCCCGAAGGAGCTTTGAGGCTGGAGCCCTGACCTCCCAGCTGTGTGGCAGCAACTTTGGTCACCTCCCTGGGCACAGTCTCCATTTCCAGGTCCTACTGGACCCTGACCTCACAAAGTTGTCTCTGCCGGGTGTTGGAGGGGACTGCCTCAGTCCTTGGGCCCCCAGCCCTGACCCTAACTCCCCGCCCTTCTCTTTCTTCCCACGCCCTCAGGCTTAGAGTTCTGCTTTGTTCCCTCCCCCAGGAGCTGCTGGAGCATGGAGTGTGTGAGGAGGTGGAGAGAGTTCGGCGCTCAGAGAGGTACCAGACCATGAAGGTGCGCAGGGCAGGGCTCGGACCTACCCCAGGAATGTCCTGCCCTGGGAATGACAACACAGTCCACACCATGCACGGGGAGGCAAACAGGGGCAGCTGACCCAGCCCAGGGGTCAGAGAAGGTCTTGCCGAGGAAGTGGCAGCTAAGCTGATACCTGATATGCACAAGGCAGCCAAGTGGAGACAGGCAAGGAAGAAGCTTGTTTTGAGGACAGAATTTTCTAGATCACTCAGCACCATCTGGCTTTTGGGGCTTTTTGTTTTATTTTGTTTTTGAGACAGGGTCTCGCTCTGTCGCCCAGGCTGGAGTACAGTGGTGCGATCACAGCTCACGGCAGCCTTGACTTCCTGGGCTCAAACCATCCTCCCACCTCAGTCTCTGGAGTAGCTGGGACTACAGGCATGTGCCACCACACCAGGTTAATTTTTAAATCTTTCTCGTAAAGATGGGGTCTTGGTAATGTTGCCTAAGCTGGTCTCAAACCCCTATGCTCAAATGATTCTCCTGCCTTGGTCCCCAAAATGCTGGGATTATAGGCATGAGCCACTTCGCTCTGCCTTGACTGTTTTTGATGGAATATTCTCAAGTAGATTACATGCTGTGGCATCTTAAACAGAGCACTGTGAACCAAATGTACCCTTGGGTGCTGCCACTGAGCATGCTGGGCTTGCCCTTGCCCGCCTTCTGCAGGACCTTATGTGTTATTTTCTCAGTGTTGTCAGCCTGCCTGTTTCCATGGCCACCTTCCCTCTGTTTCTGCTCACTCCTGGTCTGATAGGGAAATGCCGTCTGAGTTCTTTTGGATGCCTCGGGTGTGCCTGCTTTGACACCCTTCTGCCAACTGGCTTTGTGGCTGGAGGTGTCACAGCGGTGGCCACATGGATAACTGTCAGTGAAGTGTGGCTTCCTGGGTGGATGGGGCCTTGGGAGGTCACACAGAATGTTGTCAGGATTGACAGGGAGGGCTTCGAAGAGGAGAGACTTGAGCAGTGTGTGCAGGGCAAATGGGCTCAAATATGCAGGGAAGGGGGCAAGGGGCACTGGCAGGGACAGGGGACCAGATGAGTGGGGCCACCGTGGTGAGTGTGGGAGTGAGGGGCCTGAAGATGATGAAATCCCCTTGAAGTGGTGTGAGGTTAGTGAGTACTTTCACTGTCAGCCTCAGCCCCAGCCCTGAAGGCATCTAGGCTGGCAGAAAATTACATTAGTAATGAGAAGTTTATTAACAATATAATTGGGTTAATCTCATCATTTTTAGTCAGGATTCTTTGGGTTGCAAGTGACAGTGACCCACCCCACACCGTTGGTTCACAAAATAAAGGAAAGGAGGGCCAGCAGAGCCCAGGATGGGGAGGGCTGTGGCCGGTCTGCAGGACAACTGGGCTCAGCGACCTGGGTATCACCAGGCCACTCCTCCTCCCCTCTGCCCCTCTGCACGGTGGCTTCGCCCTCTCTTGCGACGCACCAGCTTCTTCCATCGGTTGGAAATGTGGCCACAAAAGGTGCTCGGCTGCCACAGGCTACAGCTTCTGCCACTGTGTGGGCCTGCCCTCAGTCTCAGATCCAGAATTCCTAGGGAGGGACTCTAGTGGCTGACCTGAAGCAGGTGACTTGCTTGGGCTGGGGCCCACCCTCTGTGGGAAGATATGTGAGCACCCCAGCCAGCCCTGCCAACTCTGCTCCTAAATCCACCCTTTTGATTGTTAACTCCTCATTGTTTTTTGCTGTTGGCTAAGGAGGAGAACCACAGAAATTTGTTCCACCTTCTGTTAGGTGGGAGAGGCATGGTTTTTCCAGTGACTTAGGAGCCCCTCGTGCTGATGTGTTAGGGTGACTGTTTTGATTATGTTGGAATCACAGGCTAGAGCTGTGTAAGTCCCTTTCATAGAGGAGAGGAGAGGGGTGTGCGTGGGTTTGTTCCCAGAGACGGCAGGCTGGGTAGTCAGGCTCCAGGTTTGAATCCTTGCCCTGTGGTCTACGGCAGGTTGCGAGTGGGGACGGCGCCTGCCTGGTGCATGGTGCTCCATGGGCCACACCGTCCCGGAGCGGGTGATCATCCGAGTCTAGCCATGAGAGCTCTGCCCAACCGGGCTACGCTCCTTCCCCACAGCTCTTCACCCAGATCTTCGGGGTCGGTGTGAAGACTGCTGACCGGTGGTACCGGGAAGGACTGCGAACCTTAGATGACCTCCGAGAGCAGCCCCAGAAACTAACCCAACAGCAGAAAGCGGGTGAGCCCTCCAGAGAGGCTGGGCCCTGGGCTTCCCTAAACTGCACCCTGGATCCCTCAGCATCAACTCCCTAGAGGGAAGGGAGCAGTCTGGTGCAGAGGGTTTGGTGGCAGCTTTGTGTGGTGGGCTTCCTGGGGTCTCCACCCAGTGCAGTCAGGATCTATCAAAGCCTTTTCTCAGTGGACGATGCTGACCACAGCAACTTCCATGATATGCCAGGGGCTTGTGTCTGCCTACTGGTTAGACTTTGACCAGTGACCAGGGACAGCCTGGGCCTTGGGCACACTGCCCAGTGTGGTGCTTGGTACATGGAGGCCTGCAGAGGTGGCACTGAGCAGCAGAAAGAACATCAGCTTTCAAGTTTGTTAGGCCTGGGTTTGAGTCTTATCTACCATTTGCCAGGTAGGTGACCATTGCCCAAGAAATAACCTCTCTGAGTCTGTTACATTTTCTGTAAAATGGAGAAGGAAGGCTGGGCATGGTGACTCACACCTGTAATCCCAGCACTTTGGGAGGTCAAGGTGGGTAGATCGCTTGAGCTCAGCAGTTCAAGACCAGTCTGGGCAACAGGGTGAAACCCTGTCTCTACGAGAAATACAAGAGTTAGCCAGGCGTGATGGTGGATGCCCGTAGTACCAGCTACTCATGAGGCCGAGGTACAAGGATCGCTCGAGCCCGGGAGGTCAAGCCTTGAGGCCAAGGTGGAAGTTGCAATGAGCTGAGATTGAGCCACTGCACTCCAGCCTGAGTGACAGAGCAAGACCCTATCTCAAAAAAAAAAAAAAAAAAAGGTGGGAAGGAATGAATTCGTAGGCTCCCCTGTGAGAGCCGGCAAGTGGCAGGTGTTGAGCAGATACTCTGTTCTCTCTGCATGGCCTGCCTGGCTACTCTGGCCACACCATCTGGGACCTCCCTTGGGTTGAGGGCTCTGCTGAAGCAATCCCCACAGCCCAGCAGGCACTGCCAGCTCCACTGCCTCTTCGCACATCTTCCCCCGGGCCACTGCCCAGTTCAGCTGACAGGAGGTGAGACCCGCAGAGCTGGTTCCTCTTGATCGCCTCTCCCCATGGCAAGAGTAGTCAGGAATGGTTAGCAGCGTTTACTGAGAGCTCACTGTGCCAGGTGCTGCTGTTCCTCACATTTAAACCTCTCCTTAGCTGGGTGCCATGACTCACATCTTTATGTAGTCCCAGCACTTTGAGAGGCCGAGGCGGGTGGATCACCTGAGGTTAGGAGTTCAAGACCAGCCTGGCCAACGTGGCGAAACCCTGTCTCTACTAAAAATAAAAAATTAGCTGGGTGTGGTGGCAGACACCCGTAATCTCAGCTACTCGGGAGGCTGAGGCAGGAGAATCACTTGAACCTGGGAGGTGGAGGTTGCAGTAAGCTCAGATTGCGCCACTGCCCTCCAACCTGGGCAACAAGAGCGAGACTCCATCTCAAATAAATAAATAAACCTCTCCTTAACTGCGTGTGGGAGGCTGATAGGTGAGGAAACAGAAGTAGGCCAGAGTGAGGTGTTCGTCATGGCAAAGCCATCTTCCATCCTTTTACCACCTCTTGGTCCCACTTTATGCATAAGGAAAAACAGCCATCAAAAGAGATAGCCTGTGGCATGACTGTATCAACATCAGTATCCTTATATTTGGTTGCAAAATTATAGTTTTGTAAGGGGTTAACCTTTTGGGGGAGCTGGGTAAAAGGCACATGGGATCTCCCTCTGTGCTATTTCTTTTAACTGCGAGTGAATCTACAACTGTCTCAAAATAAAAGTTTAAAATTTAAAGGGGGAGAGAAGATAGTGTCAGGCTTAGATTGGGATCTCACTCTGCTCCCTGCCCTAGCCTCACCTTCCTCGGAGGCCTCTCCTGGTCCTGCAATGACGGGGCCCCAGGTTGATCACCTCATGCTGGTGAGGGATGGGGGCTCGGTGTGGTGGGCAGGCTGGGTGAGTCAGGAGGGCCGGTGTTGCCCCCAGGGCTCCAGCACCACCAGGACCTGAGCACCCCAGTCCTGCGGTCCGATGTAGATGCCCTGCAGCAGGTGGTGGAGGAAGCTGTGGGGCAGGCCCTGCCTGGGGCCACCGTCACGCTGACCGGCGGCTTCCGCAGGTAAGAAGGCCCGACGTGCCCCTCTGGCTTGGCTTCAGACCCCTCCCCAGTGAAGGGACCTGAGTCGGGGACCCTGAAGCGGGCCCACTCGTTGGAAGGGATGTGGCCTGGGGCTGGAGTGAGCAGGCCGTGTCCCTGAGTCAGAGTCAGACTGACGCCCTCAGGGGGAAGTTGCAGGGCCATGACGTGGACTTCCTCATCACCCACCCCAAGGAGGGTCAGGAGGCGGGGCTGCTGCCTAGAGTGATGTGCCGCCTGCAGGACCAGGTGAGGGCCTCCCTGCTCCCCAAGAGCCACCGCTGGCCAATGCCACTGCCTCCTGCTCTCTCCACACCACCGGATGGTCTCAGCCACGCCCGCCTCTCCCCACAGGGCCTCATCCTGTACCACCAGCACCAGCACAGCTGCTGTGAGTCCCCTACCCGCCTGGCCCAACAGAGCCACATGGACGCTTTTGAGAGAAGTTTCTGCATTTTCCGCCTACCACAACCTCCAGGGGCTGCTGTGGGGGGATCCACGAGGCCCTGCCCATCCTGGAAGGCCGTGAGAGTGGACTTGGTAGTTGCACCCGTCAGCCAGTTCCCTTTCGCCCTGCTCGGTTGGACTGGCTCCAAGGTAGGCAGTGTGCCGCTGGGCCGCCTGGGGGTGGGGCTGGGCCAGCCCTGCTGAGGACAATCCCTTCCCTACAGCTTTTCCAGCGGGAGCTGCGCCGCTTCAGCCGGAAGGAGAAGGGCCTGTGGCTGAACAGCCATGGGCTGTTTGACCCGGAGCAGGTACATTGTTGGGGACTGGGGACAGCAAACAGCACCCATAGTCCGCTCCCTGACCCACAATCTGAAATGGCCCCAGACCCCTCCAGCCTGAAACCCATAGGACCCGAATCTGGGTCTCCACACACAGTTCCTGGCCCTCAAGAGCACACCCCACCTCGGCGCTGGGCTCTTCCCCACCCTCAGTCTTCCTGCAGGGAAGCAGCAGTGGCAAGACTCCTAGGTCACGGAAGTCCTGCTTCTGTTGCAGAAGACATTTTTCCAAGCGGCTTCAGAGGAAGACATCTTCAGACACCTGGGCCTTGAGTACCTTCCTCCAGAGCAGAGAAACGCCTGAGCCTGCCTGTGTCCCCCACTTCCACTCAGGAAATTGGGCTGCCCCCAACCTGGCCACTGAATGTCTCCAGGCAGATATGCTGCCCCCTGACCCCCACCTTCACCCCTCCCCGCCAAGGCCTGGCTCTTCCGGAGGTCAATTGTGCCTGCAGGATCAGTTGAGCCCCTGCTGGTGTGCTGCAGGGTGTGATGAGGTGGGAGCCCTCAGTGCCAGCCTCATCACTGTGTGACCCTGGGTCTGCTCTTAGCCTCCCCATGGCTCACGTTCCTGCCCTGGATGGGATGTGAGTGGGGCCCACATCGTGGAGCTGTGGTGGGGCCTGCAGTCATGAATGGCAAGTGGTCCCTGATGTGCAGTGTCTCATTAGTTGCACTGCAGTTAACTGTGGCTCCTGCAGGGCACCCTGCCCAGAATGCCCAGAAGAGAACCATGCATACCTGCACTGCATTTGAGAGCCATGAGCTGGAGGCTGTGGTTCGTGCCAGCAAGGAGCCTACTGTCTGGTGTGCTGTAGGCATCTGGAGAGGGAGAGGGCCTGGGTAGGAGCTGGGAGGAAGATAATTTTCAACTATGGGGCTTCAGTACTGCAGCGCCCCGAGCCAGGCTCTGTGCTTCTGCCTTTAAGGCCTGTTCTCAGCACAATGTCTCAAAAATAGGTCATATCCTGCCACTCCCGTCGCAGAGCCCTTTAATGGTTCCAAACCCTAAGTCCACACATAGCCCCTGGCTCTGGCATCTCTCCAGCCCCACTGGCCCCGAGCTGCTTGACTCACCGGCTTCCTATTTGATGCACCCAGGCCCCCTTGTGGCCAACTCCCTCCCCTTCTCACTGAGGCAGAAGCACTGAGGTGGGCTGGACATGGGTGCCCTCCACGTCCCTCATATCCCCAGGCACACTCTGGCCTCAGGTTTTGCCCTGGCCATGTCATCTACCTGGAGTGGGCCCTCCCCTTCTTCAGGCCTTGAATCAAAAGCCACTTTGTTAGGCGAGGATTTCCCAGACCACTCATCACATTAAAAAATATTTTGAAAACATGCAGTAAAGTTGACTCTTGGGGTGCAGTTTTTGCACACGTAGGGCACACCAGGTCCATCCCCAGAACACTTCCCATGCTGTCCTATTGTGGTCATGTGCTTCTCCACCCCCACCCACTTAGCGGTGCTACATCCCTATAGTTTTGCTTTCTCTAGAATGTCATGTAAATAGAACCAAACTATATTTAACCTTTGGACTGGCCTCTCCCCACAGCCTAATGCCTTTGACGTTCCTGCAGGTTGCTGGGTATGTTGAGTTTGTAATTTGTTCCATGCCATGGGTGTTCTACAGTTTATCCATTCAGGTGTTGAATGTCTGGGTTGTGGCCGGATGCCGTGGCTCATGCCTGTAATCCTAGCACTTTGGGAGGCTGAGACGGGTGGATCACTTGAGGCCAGGAGTTTGAGACCAGCCTGGCCACCATGGCGAAACCCCATCTCTACAAAAAATACAAAAATTTGCTGGGCATGTTGGCTCATACCTGTATTCCCAGCTACACGGGAGGCTGAGGCATAAGAATTGCTTGAACCTGGGATGCCAAGGTTGCAGTGAGCTGAGATTGTGCCACTGCACTCCAGCCTGGGCGACAGAGCAAGAGTCTGCCTAAAAAGAAAAAAAGTCTGGGTTGTTTCCAGGGTTTGGAGATGATGAATCGTACTGCTACAGACATGCATGTACAGGTTTTCGTGTAACACATGGGTCTTCATTTCTCTTGGGTAAATAGGCACAGGATTACTGGGTCATTTGGTAAGTATATGTTTATTTCATAAGAGCCAAGTTGTTGTCCCGAGTGCGTCTGTCATTTTGCAGTCCACCAGCGTTGTGAGCACCCCTGTAAGTTAAACACCACAGTAGGCAGTTGCTCTGTATCCCTGTCAGCACTTGATAGTTGCAGTATTTGTTAACTTTAGCTTTTCTAGTAGTAGGTACATAACAGTAGCTCACTGTGGTTTTATTTTCATTTCCCTAATGCCTGATAACGTTGAACATCTGTTCACTGGCTTCTATGTCCTCACTGGTGAAGTGGCTGTTCAAGTCTCATTTTTAAAAATGGAATTGTTGGCCAGGCATGGTGACTCACACCTGTAATCCCAGCACTTTGGGATGCCAAGGTGGGTGGATCACCTGAGGTCAGGAGTTCGAGACCAGCCTGGCCAACATGGCAAAACCCAAAGTGCTAGGATTACAGGCATGAGCCACCATGCCCATCTGTTACTGTTCAATCTTGAGAGTTCTTTATGTGCCACTATGGTGACTGGTAAATATTTTTTCCCAGTGTGTAGACTATCTTTCTTCTTTTAGCACTGTTTTTTTCATAGTAAATGTATTTAATTTTTGTGAAGTCCAGTTTATCAATTTATTCAGTTTACCAGTTTTTTTCTTATGTTTTTGGAGTCCTATCTCTGACCCCAAATCACAAAGATTTTCTTTGCTTTCTTTTATAGTTTGTTTCTTTGTTTTCCCCAGAAACAGGGTCTTGCTCTGTCACCCAGGCTGGAGTGCAGTAGTATGATCATAGCTCACTGCAGTCTCAAACTCCTGTGCTCAAGCAATCCTCCTGCCTCAGCCTCCCAAGTAGCTAGGACTACAGGCACAAGCCACCAAGCCCAGCTAATTTTTTTTTTTTGAGACGGAGTCTCGCTCTGTCGCCCAGGCTGGAGTGCAGTGGTGCGATCTCGGCTCACTGCAAGCTCTGCCTCCCGGGTTCACACCATTCTCCTGCCTCAGCCTCCCGAGTAGCTGGGACTGCAGGCACCCACCACCACGCCCGGCTAATTTTTTATATTTTTAGTAGAGACGGGGTTTCACCGTGTTAGCCAGGATGGTCTGGATCTCCTGACCTCGTGATCTGCCCACCTCGGCCTTCCAAAGTGCTGGGATTACAGGTGTGAGCCACAGTGCCCGGCCTTGAGTTAATTTTTATATAAGTGTAAAGTGGGGATTCATTGTTTTGCACGTGGAAATCCAGTTGTCCCAGCACCATTTGTTAAAGATACTATTCTTTACTCATTGAATTATTTTGGCACCCTTGTCAAAAATCAATTAACCATTGTGTGAAGGATTTTTCCCTGGACTCTCAATTTTTGCATATGTACTCATAAGAGGTTGGTCTGTAGTTTCCTTAGGTTGTTTGTCTGGGTTTGGTATCAGGGTAATACTGCCCTCAGAGAATGAGTTGTTACCTTTTACTTCAACCTACTTGTATCCTGTTATATTTAATGTGAGTTACTTAAAGACAGCATATAATTAGGTTTTTATAATCCAAACTGATAATATGTCGAATTGGCGTGATGAGGCCATTTATGTTTAATGCAACTATTGAAATGTTTGGCTTTAGATCTACCATTATGTTGTTTTCTGTTTGTTCCCTGTTTTCCATTGCTGTTTCTTCTTTCCTTTTTTCCTTCCCTCCTATCTCTCCTTCTCCCTATACACACACACACACACCCCCAACACACACACATAGTGGTTGTTCTAGGGGTTCTAATACACATAGTTTTTTTGTGTTTTTTTTTTTTTTTTTTTTGGAGATGGAGTTTCGCTCTTGTCGCTCAGGTTGGAGTGCAATGGCACAATCTGGCTCACTGCAACCTCCGCCTCCCGATTTCAAACAATTCTCCTGCCTCAGCCTCCCGAGTAGCTGGGATTACAGGCATGCACCACCACACCTGGCTAATTTTGTATTTTTAATAGAGACAGGGTTTTGCCATGTTGGTCAGGCTAGTCCCGAACTCCTGACTTTAGGTGATCCACCCACCTTGGCCTCCCAAAATGCTGGGATTACAGGCATGAGCCACCCTGCCCGGCCAAATACACATACTCTTACAGTCAATTTAGATTAATGTTTTGCCATTTCAAGTAGCATGTAGAAACCTCACTACCATCTAGGTCCCTTCACCCTTCTCCCCTCATGTTCTAGTTGTCTTACATCTGTATACACTGAAGCCTCCATCAGACAGTATCATGACTTAATTCAACCATCACATAACTCTTAAAGAAGTAAAGAATAGTTTCATATTTATGTGGACTTTTGCCATTTATGATGTTCTTCCTGCATTCCCAAAGTTTTGAATTGCCCCCAGTAATCTCTTCTGTCTGAAGAACTTGGTTTAACATTTTTTTAAAGCAGATTCTTTGGTTATGAATTTCCTCAGCTTGCCTTCATTTGAGAATGTCTTTATTTCATTCTTTTATTCCAGTAAAATAGAAATTTTTACTGGATATAGAATTCTTGGGTGACAGTTATTTCAAAACTAAAAATGTTCCACTTCTTTCTGGCCTCTATAGTTTCTGGTGAAGATCCAGTCTTTCAAAGAATTGTTCACCTGAATGAAATGTATCGTTTTTCTCTGGCTGATCTTATTTTTCTTGGTCTTTAGTTTTCAGAAGTTTCTTTATGATGTGTCTAAGCTTGGACTTTTGTTGTTAATTTATCCAGTTGTGTGGTTCACTGAGCTTCTTGGTTTGTAAGTTTATATCTTTTTCCAAACTATCATCTAATTTATGGACTCCATGCTTTGTCATTTCCATTCTGTTTAAGAATATTCACCAATACTTTCTGAAGGCTGGTTATAAATAGCTGCTTTGAAGTCTGTATCTGATCATTCCAATAGTTGAATCATCTCAGGATGGGCATGTATTGATCATCTTCTTTTCTCCCATGTTAAGATTTTCCTGGTTTTCATACACTGGGTTATTTTGGATAACCTGGATATTTTAAATATTATGTTGAGACTCTGGACCTTGTTTAAATCCTAAGCAGAATGTTGACTGTTTAAAGTGTTTGCACTACTAGTCATATTAGTCCTGTATCTACACCGGTCAGTCTGGGACCTGCAATGTGCATCTAGGGTCAGCCCTGTGCGCAGCTTGGCAGCAAGCCAATGACTTCACATATCACTTTATCGGATCACTCACTTCATCTCTCCCTTCTCTGTACTCTCCCTGAAACACAACAGCTCCCTGCAACATCCCTACCAAGACCTCCAGCCACAAATCTGGGGCTCTTTCCCTACCTACCCTGCTGCATACTCCCTGAAACTGCATCCAGGGCCCAGCGCAGGGGGGCAGAAAGGAGCTGCAGAAGGTGGTTGCCCCATGCTTTTGGGGCCATGGCTCCTCTAGACAGAGGGTAGCGTTACCCTCTCAGGTTTCAAGTGCGTACCCAGCTCACACTACCGTCACTGTGCCACCACTGCCACCTCCATGTTACTGCCCAGGAGCTGGGGTAGAGAAGAAAAGAAAAATTGGAGGGATTCCCCCAACTCACTGACTTCGAGGGGCTTCACATCCCACTCCTCTGATTCTTCCTGGAGCTCTTTCTGTTGGTGCACTTGAGGTTTCAAGCCGCCTGTGTGTCCAGGCTAGGCAATACTTGTTACCTCACCACTTCTCTGCGGAACTTTGAATCTGATCTCCTTTTCTTATCTGTCTACTGACAGCTGCTCCTGCATCTGTCCAGGATTGGTGGCTGTCAGTGGGAGAGACATGGGAAGATGCTCCCTCCACCTTCCTGGGACCACCTTGTTGACTCAGCAGCCTTCCTCGCCGCCCACCATGCTATGCCTTCCTGGATGGAGGCCCTGAGGGTGGCTTTTGGTTTTCCTACCCCTGTACCCCTCCAAGAAAGCTCTGGCACACTGCAGAGGCCAGCAACTACTTGTCAAATGAATCAAAGGAAAGTCAAGCCGGAGCCAAGGGTCAGAAGCAGGGGCTTGCTTCCCCGAAGTCCAGCCCTTCTTTGGGCTCCCCTTTCCTTTTTGACACCTCCTGCTTGGTTGGCAGTGAGGTCTCCCAGGTCTGGGGGATCCTTGCCACTGCTTCTGCACCCAGCCCTGGCTAAGCGGCCTTGTTCTCATCAAAGCTGCCGAGACCTGCAGGGTACTCAGCTTCTACTTCCACTCCTACACAGCTGCAAGTGACTTGAAAATATGACCATGCTTCAAAGTCTCCAGTGATTCCCACTGTGTTGGGACACAAAGCCCACCTCTCTGCCATGTGCCCCTGATGGTCGCTGCCCCAGCTTGTTTGCTTTCTGTAGGGCTTGGGTCTTTGCCAACCCCTCTACCTGAATTGCTCTCCCTGTAGGACTCATCATAGCTGAGGCCTTTGCACTCCGCTCTTTCCACTCACATGTCACCTCAGGGCTGTCCCCGGCCTCTCCTTTCCCATCTCTCCCAGTACATTATGGTCCTTCCTTCCTAGCATCTGGTGCTATCTACGGTAGGCATGTTTAGCTGCTGGTACGATCCCTCCTCCACTGAAATATGGGCTTCATGTCTGGCCCCTGTGGGACTGCCAGAGCCTGGTCCTCAGTCATGTTTAGTTGGGCTAGTGAATCAACTCTTGGTCAAAGGGACAAAAGCAGATGAGGAGATGTGGCTTCAATCAGGATCAGTGTGGAACAGTGAGACCTGCGCATGGCACTGCTAGGAGGGATGGGTTCCACCTGCCAGCCTTGGGGGTCCTGGCAGCCGACAGGACTTTGCCCACTGGGACTTGTCTGCCAACCTTTGGGTACAGAGCCTTAGCTTCACAGGCCCCAAGCCAGGAGCCCCTCCCCAGGTAGGCCAGCAGGGATGGAGGGAGGCCTGTCGAGGGTTTCTTGCACACTCAGATCCAAGTCTCAGAGTGGTGGTCCCTCTGCTGGCCTCTCACCTACCCGCTCCTGTTATCAGAAGTGTCGCAGGTGACAGTGTGGTCACTGGGGTGGGAGGAAATGGGAGGCCCTGGATGGGGCCCATGCCCAAGGGTCTGGCCATGGCCCCTTCATTAGGGCCCCAATTGTGACTTTATTGCTCATAGTCTCTTCCCTGCCTTGGTGGCTCTCATCCCCCAAACCTGAATGCAGAAGTCTTGGTCCTAGACTCAACTCCGTGCCACCCTTCAGCCTACGTTGTGGGTTCCTGCTAAGCTGAGCATTTACCTAACAATCAAGACTTCTGACAGTCCTCAGTCCTGCCCCCAAACCCCCTTGGATTTCTCTTTTTCAAGGTGGTTTCGGCTAGGAGAGTGAGCGTGGCTTGGGTGAGGGCAGATAGGGTGGGAGCATGGGGCATGTATGGATGAGACCTTGACAAAGGGACCCCGGAGGAAAGACAGGGGCCCTTTCCCCCTTTGTCCTGGAAACCCGGCTCAGCCCCAGCCCTTGCCCATTCTGCTGCTGCTGCCTGGTACCTTCCACAAGGCCAGACTCCTCTCCACAAAGCTGTGGTCTGCACCAGCTCCTCTGGCTCTCCTCCTCTGCCTGCTGAGGGCCGCCTCCTAGCCTGGCTGCCAATCACAGGAGAAAGGGGTTGGGATTTTGTTTGTGCCTCTGTCTGAGCAGAGAATGGCTGATAGGCCACTGAGCGTTGCCCTGGAGAGCCCCTCTGTCCCTGCTATCCCCATCTCCCCTGGCCCAGACTTCTGCCCTTCACGCCCATCCCTGACCAGCAGCCCCACTCAGTCTGGGCTCTGGGTGCCAGCTGGTTATAGACATGCCACCTGAACCCAGGCCAGGAGCTGGTGGATGCGTGGGGCTATTTTAAGCACAGCCTCTTGGCCTGCACACTCCCCTGGCCCCCAGCCCCCAGCAGCTCAGCTACTGGTCACCTGCCACCGCCTGGAATGCTGATTGGCAGTTGGCTGGGGTGGGTGGGGGCTGGGAAGACACTATTATAAAGCTGGGAGTGTTGGGAAGCAGCCGTCCCCGTCCAGAGTCCTCTGTGGTCCCTGCTGCCACCATGGCCACTCACCGCCTCGTGATGGTCCGGCACGGCGAGAGCACATGGAACCAGGAGAACCGTTTCTGTGGCTGGTTCGATGCAGAGCTGAGTGAAAAGGGGACCGAGGAGGCCAAGCGGGGAGCCAAGGCCATCAAGGATGCCAAGATGGAGTTTGACATCTGCTACACGTCAGTGCTGAAGCGGGCCATCCGCACCCTCTGGGCCATCCTGGACGGCACGGACCAGATGTGGCTGCCTGTGGTGCGCACTTGGCGCCTCAATGAGCGGCATTACGGGGGCCTCACAGGCCTCAACAAGGCAGAAACGGCCGCCAAGCACGGGGAGGAGCAGGTGAAGATCTGGAGGCGCTCCTTCGACATCCCGCCGCCCCCGATGGACGAGAAGCACCCCTACTACAACTCCATTAGCAAGGTGGGCTGCCTTTGCTGGGAAGGCCTCTGGGAAGCTGCAGAGTGGGGAGTCGGGTGGGGGCCCACTGGCTTGGGAGGGAAAGCAGCGTGCCTGTGTCCCCCAGGAGCGTCGGTACGCAGGCCTGAAGCCCGGGGAACTCCCCACCTGCGAGAGCCTCAAGGACACCATTGCCCGGGCCCTGCCCTTCTGGAACGAGGAGATTGTTCCCCAGATCAAGGCCGGCAAGCGAGTGCTCATTGCAGCCCACGGGAACAGCCTGCGGGGCATTGTCAAGCACCTGGAAGGTGAGGCCACCTTCAGGAGCCTGGGCAGGGTGGGTGGGCAGCAGCCCCAGCTGGCTTCTCATCTCAGCAAAGTCTCTCGCCCATGGACCAGGCTTTCTAGGCGTGGGGCTCCACATCATTCACTGAAAAAGGAGGGCTGAGAAGCCATTTTTTAGTTTTGTGAAATTTTCCCCATTTCTGTGTAACTGGGACACACTCCACAGGGGCTGACTGCACTCGAAGCTCGCTGTGTCCCGAGGTGGGGCAGGCTCCAAAGGTGGCATCTGCCAAGGGACACCCAGCTAGGAAACGGAAGGGCTGGGCTTAGAGCATCTGGCTCCAAATCCCAACTTACTGTGGGGCCCTGGACAAGCCACCTCCATCTCTGGGCCTCTCCCTTTTCCGGGGTGGTGGGGAGCTCCCCCTGGTACTGAATTCCTCTTGATGTAGGCTTGGACCCCTCGCAGGGCCCTCCCCCATCAGGTCCTCAGAATCCCTGCATGAGCTTCACCACCTATCTCCCTCTGGAGCCCCTCTCTGGGCAAAGGAAAGACCAATCAAAAGAGGGGTGCAGGACTATGGAGTGGCCAGACTCTGGGCTTGCAGCTGGGCTCCCACTGAAGAGCAAGGGCTGACAAATGGGCCCGGGATGCATGGGCGCAGTAAGGCCTCGCCCAGAGTGACTGGCACCTCCGCTCCGCCTCCCACCTTAGTATTCTGACACAAGGGCAGTCTAAATTAGCATCTGAATGACCTTAAAGCTTGTTGAGTCCTGGAAAGGCTAGAAGGGTGTGCCCCAGACCTCCTGCTCCTAGGGCCGTTGGGCAGTTGGCCAGAGCACCCAGACCGGCAGGCCCCGGAGACCCAGCCAGCCCCAAGCCTGCCCGCTCCAAACACGGACACCTGGCACCTGGCACTGGGGCCAGGCAGAGGGAAGGACCACCTGCCTCCTCTCCCTTCCGGAGACTTCATGCAGCCCCATGACCCTCCCACAGCCTGGTTTGGGGAAAGGGGACGCACTTTTGGTGGTGAATATGAGGGATTTCACTCTGACTCCCCAGAGAACATTTTCTTAAACCCTCCTGCACGGAGCAGGGGTGGAGTGGCGCGAACATCAAAGGTCGAGCTGCTATTCCCAGCTCAGGGGCTGCAGGAGGCAGGCAGGGTCAGGTTTCGACCAGGCTCGGCCTCCCTGTCCCTCCTCCAGCTCCATTCCGCACTTGCTCCTCTGTTCAGGATGTCTAGAATTTAGAGCACTTTAGAAACCAAAGGGTGCTGGGCACGGTGGCTCACTCCTGTAATCCCAGCACTTTGGGAGGCTGAGGCAGGCAGATCACCTGAGGTCAGGAGTTTGAGACCAGCCTGACCAACATGGTAAAACCCGTTTCTACTAAAAATACAAAATTAGCCGGGTGTGGTGGCGCTCACCTGTAATCCCAGCTACTTGGGAGGCTGAGGCAGAATCACTTCAACCCAGGAGATGGAGGTTGCAGTGAGCCAAGATCGTGCCACTGCACTCCAGCCTGGGCAAGAGGAGTAAAACTCCATCTCAAAAAAAAGAAAAAGAAAAAGAAAAGAAAAAAAAAAAACAAAGGGTGAGTGTCCCTTCCTGACCCTCAACTTCAGTCTGGCTGGAGTCACACTGGGCTGAGGGAACTATGGACAGCACCACCACAGATCACAGCCACTTGGGTGGGGCTGAAGTCCCCATTTTTTTCACCACTGGGCTATTTCTGTAGGCTGCTTGGTCTAACTCAGTTACTCCTTGACCTTTGGCAACATTTCTGTGGCCTCGTTCTCAGGGCTGGGAAGGAATTGGTGCCAGGGGAACTGGCTCTGTGGACCATAAAGGTCACATAGTGTCTGCTGTGTAAACAGGCTGGGGACAGAGGGGCTAAGGACACCTATTCCTTCCGGCATAGGGATGTCAGACCAGGCGATCATGGAGCTGAACCTGCCCACGGGGATCCCCATTGTGTATGAGCTGAACAAGGAGCTGAAGCCCACCAAGCCCATGCAGTTCCTGGGTGATGAGGAAACGGTGCGGAAGGCCATGGAGGCTGTGGCTGCCCAGGGCAAGGCCAAGTGAGGGGTGGGCTTGGGCAATAAAGGCACCTCCCCCAACAGCCTGGAGTCCAGCGCAGCCGTGCATGCCAGGCTCACACCGCCATCAGCTGTGGGGACTCCAGAACCAGGGGTGCAGCCACCCACCCTCCCCCACTCCATACGTGTGTCACCAGGGGCAGGAGCCTAGTACCCACACCTAGTCATCAGGACACTGAGCCAGGGCTGCAACCACTCCATGAGTTTGCAGTCAGGACAAGCCTGTGGTGACCCTGAAGCTTCAGAGCCACTTAGTAACCATGCTCCAGAATTGGCGTGCTTGGGGCCAGTTAGAAGAGGCCAAGTGACCCAGCTCTCCCCATGGGGAGCAAGGACCACAGCCCAGGACACGGCTTCCTGGACAGCTTCCTGCAGAGGGCAGGTGGTCCTCTGCTGTCCTTGCAACCCCCGGGTGGCACTTTGAGCCCTGCCTCTTGGGTTGGGACAGGCAAGCCCACAGGGGGCCTCAAAGCTGGCAACAGCCCAAACCTGGGTCTTCCATGGGAGTGGAGGGGAAGTTCCCTCTTCATGGGAGAGGCACCAGGAAGCCCTGGCGAAAAGGGGAGAGGCCTGAGCACAGGAAGGCCAGGAGCAAGGTTGGGCTCCATGCAGCCTTCACCCCAGGCACTAGCAGGTAACACCTTGAGTCAACCGCCTAGCAGTCTGCCTAGCAGCTCTGGGGCACAGGAGGGACCTAATTCCCCGGATGCTCAGTGGGTGCCAGGTACCTGACGCCACACAGTGGGCCATCCCATGTAGGCAGAGGCTCCCTGAAGCTGGGAGCAGGGCAGCCCTTGGCCTCTCCTAGAGGAACTGGAACGCAGGAAGGCTCCAACTTCAGTCCCATCTTAACATTTAGCCTCTTCCTGGTGGCTGATCATCATCAGCCACAGTCTCAGGGTGAGGGTGCTCACCCCAGACACGGAGCAGAGGCAGACACTGGGCAGGTGGTGGGGTGCTATTCCCACATGGGAGCATTCAGGCTACAGCAGGACAGGTGAGAGCTGCGAGCCTGTGTAGACCAAACTGGGAATTCGTGGTCCAAAAGCATATTTGTTCTTCAGAGACACGGATGAGCTGGGACAGAAAATAGGGGAAGACAACAGGCCAAGGCCACTCTGTGTTACTTTTCCTGAAGTCAGAATCAGTTGAGGCACACACTGGGGCCTGCAGGCATCGAGTGAGCCGCGTGGAGGAACATGTTGTGTCTGCCGTTTTTGAATACCCAGGGTGGGAGCTTGGCCATCTGCATCCCCACTTCCCATAGCCCAGGCAGAGGGACAGAGAAATGGAGTGGGGAGCACAGAGCAGGCTCCAACAAGACAAATTCCCTGCTGCCAAACCACCATGATCCACTCTGACTTTGGTCACAAACTCTGCTAAAAACAATTCTCTACGTTCACTGTTCCCAAGGGTCATTCTAAACAGTGGTGGCCACCACCCCTTAGAAGCAAGAGAAAAAGAAAAAAGGCAAATAAATGCAGAAGGCAGCCAGAGCCTCCCAGATGCCCCTGCTCAGGACCCTTCCCCGCAGCTTGGCAGTGGCCACTCAGGGCTTGGCCACAGGCAGGGCTTGGCTCAGTATCCTGTCAGGGGCAAGAGCCAAGCTGTCTGGGAGGGTCGGGGGATGCAGGAAGGATGTGTGGGAATCACCAGGCCATTGCTGCATTTGGGGTGACAGGCTGAGTCTGCCAAGCCGGAGGGAGCCCTGAGGCCTCATCCTCACTGGGGGTCCTATTCCTGGAAGAGTGCTGAATGTCAACTCCCAGGCCTCCTCTTCCAGCAATAAGGAAGCCATGTCTGAGAGGGGAAGGGCAAGATGTGCCCTCAGCCTCACTCAATGAGCTCCACGTAGTTGGCAGGGAACATGCCAAAATGGCCATCCGGCCCATAGCCACGCCACCAGCCTTCGTCGATCACCTCGATGCCCGTGATGAGGTTCTCGGGGTCAAAGGAGATCTCTGTGTCGTCGGCTGCAAAGAGGATGAGCCCAGATGCATATCAGGGGCTCCCTCCCACATCCCACCTGCTCGGGCAGCCCACGGCAGCCCCACACTGCTGCAGCACACCTCGCTGCAGCTCTGGTTCCTCCTCAGAAATATCCCTGCCACCCTGCTAAGCCTTGGCCAACACTGCACCCTGTCCCAATGCGGCTCCAGTGACCACACCCCCAGGGCATACCCTCCTACAGAGCATTCCCAAAAAAGGCTAGAGTAGACACCAGCCTGCTCCGTAGGGGGCCTCCACCCCATTCTCCAAGGCCTCCACCCAGGGACGCCTGGTGAACCAGCATCCAGGCCTGGCCCACCTCCCTGCTCAGAGTCCATGTTCTGTGACAAGGGTGGCAACTGGGATTCACATCAGCGGCCAGCAAATAGCTAATGAGGAACATGTAGGGAGGCCTGGGCTGTGCAGAACACTCTAGTGCCACAGTCACCCCCACTCCAGAGGTGCTTCTACCCCTAAACGCACCGCCCACCCTCCTGTCTTCTCTTCCTGATACCCCCTGGTGCCATCTTCCCATAAAACCCCAGACCCTCTTGTCTCCTAACCTCAGGACCCTGTGGTCTGTGCCAGCCAGGCCAGGGCACCTTACCTGCCTGGTAGTCGTACAGGGCACGGGCACAGAGCCCTTGCCCACTGAGCCCCTGGCCCTGAATGTGGTGGTCAATGTGCTCAGAGCCAGCACCTTGCTGCTGCACCTGCCCAGGGATGACAAAGGTGTTACCCCAGACTCAGCCCTTACACACAATCGCTGCTCTGCCCCACATGGCTCAGGTCAAGCTGGGAGTACGCAGAGGGCAAGCAGTCTACAGGCTCGGGGGCTGGGCTGCTGCTGTCCCCGCCCTACCAGAGTACAGAAGCCACAGGACAGTGCATAAATCCCTCAGCCATAGGCTGCAAGGTCCTCTTCCCACCCAGCACCTCCTATAGAGTGGGGCGTGCCCTGACAATTTATAACACAGGGCTGCTCCAAAAATGCATGTGCTTTAAAACCTGTTGCATGCCCCCAGAAAACTCAGGCGGCCCGTGATAAGTGTTCCTGAGTATGCAGCCCCTTCCTGGCCCCAGCCCCAGTGTAGGAACCCACCAGTGGGGGCTGCTCGTAGAAGGTCTCCTGCTCTGGAGGTTCCTCATACACAGCCTCCTCTTCTGCCTGCACCAGACATGGAGGAGTGCTGGGCGCCGGCTCCTCAGCAGGGAGATCTGCACCAGGGAACACAGCAGGTTCTCACTCCCACACATCCCCCTTCTCCACTGCTGTCCCCCAGGGTCCCCATGGGGTGACAAGCGCCTTGCCTGCCCTGGGCCTTGAGATGGCAGCAGCTGGCTCTCTGCCAAAGTGGGTCTCTGGTTGGGTGAGCTGCTTCTGCAGGAAGGGGCTCCTCAGCTTGCCTGCAAACCCGGGTAAATATATACATCACTTCAGAAACACCACCACACACCCACGCACCCCACAGCACCCTCCACCCTGGTGTGCTCGAGGCAGTCTCATGGGGCTTGCTCTTGCTAGTGCAGGAACAGAGGCCCCAGGGCCATGTGCTATGTGGTGACGTGGTAGACAGCGCAGCCCAATATCTTTTGGAGGCCAAACTGGTGACCAGTGTGGTCACTGATGAGGTCAATGGCCCCAGGTGTCCCTTCTCCTCACTCACTCACCCGTCACCGATATATCTGTCACTAGCCTTGGGGGAGCCCACATAGGACCCCAGGCTCCCCCTCAGCCTGCTGCTGCCTCATGGCCAGGCCCAAAGGGAGAGCTCACCAGGCTGAGGACTGGAGATGGAGGTGGTGGACATGGCCCTCTCCTTCTGCTTGAAAATCTCCCTCGGGTGCACGGCAGACTCCTGGAGGGAAGCACATGTTGACCCCTGCAGTGGGCAAAACCTTCACCACCTCTCCCCAGATCACAGCCCCTCCAGCTGTCGGCCCAGTAGCCCCTCAAAGGTGAGTGTGGGGCCAGGAGGCAAAACATGTTCTCAGGAGAGAAGTCATTTAAAAATAAAAAGTAACGTTAAAAAAGGAAGTAAAACACAGAAGCCAAGGGGCTCCCAGGGCCTCCCCCAGGACCAGGTGTGGTCCAAGCCCGACGCTTCCGCCTTTGGCTTTCCTCTCTACTGCCACCTCTTGAGGTGCCCAGATTCCAACCTGCCCCAGCTGACTGCAGGGCAGCCTCTGCCCAGGTCTGGGCTGGGCCCTCAATCCGAGATCAGGGACTTCTGCGTGTGGCCAGGACAGGTCCAAACAAGTAGAGCACCCCCATCTTACCTGCTCATTTCGGTTCCTTGAAACCACTTCTTGCTGCTGCTCCCACGTCCTGCTGGGAAGGGCCGGGTGGGGCACAGCTGAGGCACAGTCACAGCTTCTCATGCCACACCCCTTAGTCCTCCTCGCCTCCATGGGATGGAGCAGGTGCCCAGCAATGCCTCAGGGTGGGTCCCCCAGGCCAGCCTCCACCTCTGGCTCACCTCTGGGGGCTGGCCTCGCCACCCTGCTCCTGATAGCGCTGCTCCCGGCGTGCAGCCTCACGCAGCTCACGCTCCCGGCGCTCCTGCTCCAGCTGCCGCTGTGCCTCCTCGGCCCGCCGCTTTTCCTCCAGCCGACGGTTCTCCTCCTCCTTCTGCAGGGAGAGCCACTGCCCGCTCAGCCCTATGCTGCCACTTCAGCCTAATCCCCTGCCCAGGACTGAGTTTTAGGCACATGGCCAAAGACGGGCACCAGAGCCAGTCGATCATTAGCCTTGTGGCTTAACTTACCCGAGCCTCAGTGTGACCATCTGTAATGGGCACCAAGGAGAGTGGATGCTGCATGAGCTCACTTGTGAGGAAAGATGAGCCACAGCAAGCAGAACACTCCCACGTGCCCAGCATGCCCCGGGGCAGCACTCACCTCTGCTTTGGCCCAGAAGCTGTCTTTACCAACCCTTTTAATCTCAGACACGGCATTGGTCTTCTGGTACACAGAGCCCTGTAGGGGACAGCACTCATTAGAGACCTGGACCCAGGTGGAAGGCCAGGCCCACAGGCACCAAAGGAGAGAATACGCTAAACTTGCGACAGCACAGGTGAGTGCTGCTAGGACTGGACCCAGCAGAGGCAGCAGAGCACTGCCCAGTGACCCTCAAGGAGACACACACCAAGATGACCTGAAAGAAGCCCAGGACACTGCCCCAAGGGGGATGCTCAATCCCAGACAACACTAGAGGGGTCTCTGGTGGTCTCTCGCCCTCATGGATGGGGGCCAGGGCAAGAAAGGCCCCCATACCCCACCTGCAGACTCCTAGACATTGGGCAGTTCTGAGGCAGGCCTCTGACCAGGGGCACTCAGACAGCTGACTACCACAAGAGCATCCAAGGAATCACGTCCAACCACACGCATGCGGACGCAGCTCCCAGCCATCAGCTCCACACAGCACTGGGGCCACAGGCCCACAGGTATCTCCCGTGACTCCAAGGGGCCTGCTCTGGTTTCAGGCTCCGCCTTGATGCCTCCTTTAGTTCCTCCACGGTGGCTACCTCCAGGGGCAGCCCAAGATGTTCCAGTGCCATGACCTTGAGGGCAGCCAGACTATCATAGCCATGCATGCTGCAGAGCCTCCACTCTGACCACACAGGCTGGGCTCCAGAGGAAGGCTCCAGAACAGCTAGTCCAACCCCTAGGCAAGGTCAGAGGGCTATTCCTGCTCATCTGGTCAGTGGGCAATCACCACAGCTCAGGGGTTACCATCTGCAGAAACTAAGCAGGCATGGGCCCAGCCAGCCCGGGTGCTGGGAAGTGCATATTCCTGGCCCCCTGCCTCAGGCCCTGAGCAACAAAAGGGCTGGCGATGGGCAAGCAGCACTCACCACTGGGGCCTGGGGTCCCACGTCCTGGAAGCGGCCACTCTCCTTGTGAAAGCTGTAGTTGGCACCTGAAGCCTTGGCCACCTTCTCCATGATGCACTCAGGCTCCACATCCTCCTCGGCCCGTGCGTTGATGGTCACATGGGCCCCCTGCAGCAGGAGCAGCACTTGAAAGAAGGGCTTTGCAAGCCCAGGAGATGGGCCAAACTCCTGTCAGTCCATACAGCACGGGCCACTACTATACCACACAGGACTGGAATCAGGAAACTAGAAGGCACCTGTCTGGCTGCTGAAAACTGAGGCACGAGTTCCCCTCAAGGGCTCAAACAAACCAACTTGGAGCAAACCCCTCATTCTTGTCCCAGTTCACGTGAGACCCTTGACCTCCACTGTGCTATCCAGTGGTTCCTTCTGTAGCTGTTCCCTGCTGTGTATCAATAGACAGCCCAGGCATAATTTGCATCAAAGGCCTTCCTTCTAATCAATGAAAACTAATTTTAAATGCCATCTGGAAGCCACAAAAGACCCTGAATAGCTAAAGCAATCTGAAGCAAAAAGTACAAAGCTGGAGGCTTCATGCTACCTGATTTCAAATTAAACTACAAAACTACAGTAAGCAAAACAGCATGGTACAGGCATAAACACAGACACAACAATGGAAACTAACAGAGCACTCACACACACAGCCAACTCATTTTTAACAAAGGTGACAGGAACATACACTGGGGAAAGGACGGTCTCCTTCATAAACAGGGCTAGGAAAATTGGATATCCATATGCAGAAGAATGAAACTAAATCTTCATCTTTTACCATATTAAAAAAAAACTCAAAATGGGTTAAAAAGACTTAAATGTAAGACCTGAAACTATGAAACTACTCAAAGAAAACACTGGGTAGATGCCCCTGGACATTGATCTGGGCAAAGATTTTTTTTGGGTTAAGACCTCAAAAGCCCAGGCAACAAAAGCAAAAATCAACCAATTGGACTACATCAAGCTAAAAGGCTTCTGCACAGCAAATGAAACAATCAACAAAGTAAACAGACAACCTACAGAATGGGAGAAAATATCTTCAAACTATCCATCTGACAAGGAATTAGTGACCAGAATATATAAGGAACTCAAACAACTCAGTAGCAAAAAAATAATAATCTGATTTTAAAATGGGCAAAAGACCTTAACAGATATTTCTCGAAAGATGATATACGCATGGCTAACTACATACAAAAAAATGCTCAACATCACTAACCATCATCAGGGAAATGCAAACCAAAACCATAACGGGCTATCATCTCACCACAGTTAGAATGGCTATTATAAAAAACATAAAAAATAAATGCTAGCAAGGATGTGGAGAAAGGGAAATTCTTATACACTGTTGGTAGGAATGTAAAGTAGTACAGCCATTATAAAAACAGTATGGTTTTTTGGGTTTTTTTCTGAGACAGAGTCTTACTCTGTTGCCCAGGCTGGAGTGCAGTGGACAATCTCGGCTCACTGCAACCTCCACCTCCCAGGTTCAAGAGATTCTCTGCCTCAGCTTCCTGAGTAGCTGGGATTACAGGTGCCCGCCACCACACCTGGCTAATTGTTGTATTTTTTTAGTAGAGACGGGGTTTCACCATGTTGGCCAGGCTGGTCTTGAACTCCTGACCTCAGGTAATCTGTTCACCTTGGCCTCCCAAACTGCTGGGATTACAGGCGTGAGCCATCGCGCCTAGACAACAGTATGGTTTTTAAAACAGTATTTTAGTCCTACTAAAAGCAGAACTACCATATGATCTAGCAATCCAGCTGCTGGGGATATATCCAACTCTGAAGTTCAGCGCTATTAACAATAGCCAAGATACGGAATCAACCAAAACGTCCATCAATGGATGAAAGGGTAAAGAAAATTTAGTATATAAACATGAGGGAATATTATTCAGCCATAAAACAGAATGGCATCCTGTCATTTGCAGCAACATGGATGGAACTGGAGGTCATGATGTTAAGGGAAATAAGCCAGGCACAGAAGACAAGTATTGCATGTTCTCACTCATGTGGGAGCTAAAAAAGTGGGTATCATGGAGGGAGAGAGTAGAATGCTGGTTACCAGGGGTTGGGAAGGGCATGGGGGAGAGAAAATGAAGAGAAGTTGCTTAACAGGTACAAAAGTACAGTTAAATAGAAGGAATAAATTCTAGTATTCAATAGTACAGAAGGGAAATTATAGTTAACAATAATTTTGTGTATTTCAAATTAGCTAGAAGAGAAAAATTGTAATGTTCCCAACACAAAGAAAAGATAAATGTTTGAGGTGATGAACATGCTAATTACCCTGATTCATCGTATACATTGTATACAGGTATCAAAATATGACATGTATGCAAAAAATATGTACAACTATTATATATCAATTTATAAAAACTCTGGGCCAGGTGCGGTGGCTCTCGCCTGTAATCCCAGCACTTTGGGAAGCTGAAGAGGGCAGATCACTTGAGCTCAGGGATTCCAGACCAGCCTGGCCAACACAGGGAAACACCATCTCTACTAAAAATAGAAAACTTAGCCGGGCATGGTGGCAGGCACCTGTAATCCCAACTACTCAGGAGGCTGAGGCAGGAAAATCACTTGAACCTGGGAGGCAGAGGTTGCAGTGAGCCGAGATCGTGCCACTGCGTTCCAGCCTGGGTGACAGAGTGAGACTGTCTCAAAACAAACAAACAAACAAAAAACAAAACAATTAAAAAAAACTCTGATAAAAGAATGCCATGCATGTTTTCTACAAAAAGTAAGCCAATGATTTCTTCATAAGAAGCCAGACCCATGACGTCATTCACTGTTGCTATACAGGTTGAGCATCCCTTACCTAAAATTCCAAAATCTGAACTGCTCCAATGAACATTTCCTTTAAGCATTATGTCAGCACTCAAAAAATCTCAGATTCTGGGCTGGGCGTGGTGGTTCACGCCTGTAATCCTAGCACTTTGGGAGGCCAAGGCGGGCAAATCACGAGGTCAGGAGATCGAGACCATCCTGGCTAACACAGTGAAACCCCGTCTCTACTAAAAATACAAAAAATTAGCTGGGCGTGGTGGCGGGTGCCTGCAGTCCCAGCTAATCGGGAGGCTGAGGCAGAAGAATGGTGTGAACCCGGGAGGCGGAGCTTGCAGTGAGCCAAGATCACGCCACTGCACTCCAGCCTGGGCAACGGAGCGAGACTCAGTCTCAAAAAAAAAAAAAAAAAATTCAGATTCTGGAGAATTTCGGATTTTGGATGCTGAACTGAAAACATTCCCAAATCTGAAAAAATCCAAAACATTTCTGGTCCTAAGCATTTCAGATAAAGGATACTCAAACCTGTATATCGATAAGCTGGGAATTCTCTTATCAGCTCCTAGATGGAAACTGAGGTATAGCTGAAGAAATGTTGGCAGAACGAGAAATCAAAATTCTGAGTCTCCTTTGCCAGAGAAATGCAAAAAGTTACCTGACAAGTGACCAACAAATGCTTTTGTTACAAATAGTTTTTAAAATTTAAAAAGGTTCTATTATAGGACTGACATAACTCCATGTAGAGGGGGCTGGAAAGGAATGCATCAAAAGGGCACATGCGTGCTAAGATGGTGGGCACTCTCCCCTTCCTCCAAATCCTGACGGTATTACTAAACTGTTTAGAGGGATCATAAAACAAAACAGAACCAGGGCCCACCCTTCTCACGGCACCAGCTCCAGCATAGTCCTTTATCCTGCCCCACTGAGGCAGGCCTGTAGGTGGCCCTGGCAACATCCTGACCTCCCATGCACTCACTGACCGAGAGTGAAGCAGCCTCTGGTCATGCCCTCAAAGGCAGGCAGAGAGCATTAGCTATGAGCACACTCCCAACTCCAGTTCTGATTCCCACTTGCTCGCACCCAGGAACCTGCGAGACCTCAAGCCTGTGAGGCCTGTTCCCAGTGAAGCGGGCCTCACCTGGCCTTACCTTCAGGAAGCTGGCCATGGTGCTGACGTGGCTGGCACAGGCTCCCTTCCGCACATCGTTCACGCCCTCGCCTGTCTGCAACACAAGGATGCCCAGGTTGACCCAGGCCTCCCCCAAAGCCACTTCCCTTCCCTGGGGACCCAACATCTACCCTGTGTCCCAGAAAAGAGAAAACTGCAACCCCCAAAGCAGAACCTATTCTTCTGACTGCATCACATGGGTGAGGTAAGTTCCCATGCCTCCAAGGGGCTCATGGATTCTCCCTGGGCAGGATGGCTACCGGCTTTCGCTGTGGGGGCATTTCATGAATTTTCTTTTTTTTTTTTTTTTTGGAGATGGAGTCTTGCTCTGTGGCCCAGGCTGGAGTACAGTGGCGCAATCTTGGCTCACTGCAACTTCTGCCTCCTGGGTTCAAGCAATTCTCTTGCCTCAGCCTCCTGAGTAGCTGGGACTACAGGTGCACGCTGCCATGCCCAGCTAATTTTTTGTATTTTAGTAGAGATGGGGTTTCACCATGTTGCCCAGGCTGGTCTCAAACTCCTGAGCTCAGGCAGTCCACCCACCTCGGCCTCCCAAAGTTCTAGGATGACAGGTGTGAGCCACCCCACCCAGCCTTCAAGAGTTTTCTTGATCCCCACCAAGGGATCAAGGAGGCCCTGTCCCTGTACTCCCAGGCTCCTAAACACTCCCTCAGGCTCTCTACTCCATCAGAACAACCACCCTCAAGAGCACGGAGCAAGGACTCCCTGTGACTGCTTTTAATCCATTTTGCAGGAAGAACTCTAGGCTTGGAAGGTGAATTCTGCATAGCAAAGCCACAGTTATTCTTTGGGCCACAATGAATCTGTCAACTATTCTGCTCATTCACCAGCTCAGAGCTGTTCTATTGATCTACTAAGTCATGCCAGTAAAACACTTTGTTCCTGAAGTCAAGTCAAAACAGGAAAGAAGACAATGGGGTTTCCTGGGTCACACCTAGATGAAACAGGCTCCACATACCCAGTTGATGAGGACAAATTTGGGCAGTCCAGAGTTGGGGTCCTTCACTCTGCAGAAGGCGTACATCACCTTCCCGCTGTTGAGCTCCTCCACCATCTCCTCCAGGCCACCCTCTGCAGCAGAGTCACAGTGAAGGTCAGGGGTGGCCCTGACATTCCCTGCTGGCCCTGGTCCCACCATGAAGGGAGGCCGAGCTGCTTCTAAACCAGGGCTTCTCACCTCTACCTGTATCAGAATCTTTCTAGGGGTATGTTTAAAATCAGAGTCCTGGGCACCACCCTCACTAAACTGATTGATGAGAGCTGGGTGGGACCTAGAAGTCTGCGATTCTGACAAGTACCTCAGGTAATTTTTTTTACCCACACTCGTTTAAAAACCACTTCTCTAAACCCAGAGGTAATTCTGGAAATAAAAACAGGGTCATTTCCACGGCAAACCAGCCACCAGACTTCCAAATGGAGGATGGCTACGTCAAAATTTTATTGTTGCCACAACGTTGCAAAAGGGCCCGGAATAGCAGGGCCTGTAGAGTCACCACTGCCTGCACCTGTGTCTGCTCAAGTTCCAGGGCCACCCAGACGGCCAGACCAGATTGAACATCCTGCAGTGGCGTAACTGGCTCAGTCCTCAGACTCCAGAAGAGAGGGTGATGGGGACAGGGGGAGCACAGGAGTGGGCAGCTCTAAACAATTCTCCCTGACACTGAGGCTTAGCCCTCACAAACTTTTCCAGGTTATAAGGAGGAAGAGCTGATCAGGTATTTCATCTACAGGGCTCCGTATGAGTGGAGGCAGTCATGAGCCCCACTCTGGGGACAGCAAATTGTTGCATTTGTGGCAGAGCCCTGTCCTGTGCCACTGGGGATGACAGGAAACTCTCAAGTTGTTGATCTCTGCAACTCCCAGTCACCTGCCACACCACATGTCTACTGTTCAATGGCAATCCTTCTAGAAAGGGGACACCTCCCAGAAAGATTGTGAAAGGAAGGGGCTTTCTACCAACAACAGACATCAAACCGTGGAGAACCACTCCGAGTGTTCATTGAACAATGAAGCCATGTCCAGCTCAGGACAGAGGGAGGGGTCAGGCAACTTCTGGAGGAGGAGCAGTCACGGGTGTCAGCTGAGGGGCCCACAGGTCACACTCTGACGAAGCCTACCCTGACAACCTCTGCTCTGTGCTGGCCAAGAGCCTGTCCTTCCTGTAGAGACCTCCAGAGCCTCCCCCGTGACTATCTGCAGTGATACTGCCTCTCCCAGTGAGGATGGGGCCCCTGCAAGCACTCGGCACAAGACCAGGGCAGGACAAAGGGAGAAGAAGATATGTCTGTGGACTTTCTTTCCACCAGCACCAGTTCTGGGACTGGTGAGCTTCCCACCGCAGCTCCCAACGCAGGCTGCCCACAAGCTGGAGAGGCCTGTTTCCCTCTCAGCTCTCCCCAAGTAGACAAAGAGAAAGCACTCCCCTGCACCCAGAGGGAAGGAGAACCAAGGAGGAATGTTTTCACTTACACATATCTGAAACCTAAGGCCTGCCAGAAGTGGCCAGTGAGCACTGGAAGCCCCATGTGGCTCAGTGGACCAAGACAGCTGAGTGCGCTGACCCCTCGTCGTCACCCTCCTACCTCCTGGTGTCCCTGAGTCCATTTGGAGTCATACTCACCCCCTGTGCCAGCCACGCGGATGTCATTGCTGTTGCCTTCATAGGTAAAGAGAGCCCTGAAACGAAACACAAGTGAGCTCTGTAGCCAGCACCTTGGGTTCCATCTCTCCTCACCGTATCCACCATGACTTTCCACTACATCCCAAAGAGCTTGGGCTGACAGTAACACTGTGGGTGGGCACAGGCCCGTTCTCACTTTGCTCTGACCCACTAGGCAGGTTCTCAGTAGGCAACTGTGCAGCCTTCTCAGCTCTGCAGCTGGGAGGACACTGGCCTGACTTACCATGGGGTGGGGGTTGTGAGGGACAAAGCCATGGAGATGGGAGCACACATCTACTATGAGGAAAACATGAGCTGTGGAGTTTCCCAATGACTGCTATACATTCATGTGTCAAATACTCACCTGGCCACTAGGTATATGGATTTGAAGAGACAAAACATATCTACATATTCCTGAACCCAGAGCACCCAAAAGGAGAAGCAAGTCGGAGAAATACACACACTGGGCCCCTTGGAAGGCTGCCCACCACTCCTGTGCACGTCTGCCCTGGCTCCAGTGAAGCCTGGTGGGTAGGGCAGCAGGTCCTTCCAGGCTTGAGACTCTTTGGTAAACACAGACTACCACAGGTTGTGTTTATCAGAAACCACAAAGGAATGACACGACATGAAATCACACAGTTAAAGCCATGAACCTGCCAAGCCCCTCACGGACAGGTACCCATGAGCAAGTTTTCTATCTAGCAGAGCCTTATCTCTCCATGGGTGACATGGGGCCATGGCTTTCTTTTCCTGAAAGATTAATTATTCATAAGAACTTTGGGCTGGGCGCAGTGGCTCACGCCTGTAATCCCAGCACTCTGGGAGGCCGAGGCGGGCAGATGTGGATCACGAGGTCAGGAGATCGAGACCATTCTGGCTAACACGGTGAAATCCCATCTCTACTAAAAATACAAAAAATCAGCTGGGCGTGGCAGCAGGCACCTGTAGTCCCAGCTACTCAGGAGGTTGAGGCAGGAGAATGGCATGAACCCGGGAGGCGGGGCTTGCAGTGAGCCAAGATCGCGCCACTGCACTCCAGCCTGGGCAACAGAGTGAGACTCCATCTCAAAAAAAAGAACAGAACTCTGGGCCAGGTGGGTGGCTCGTGTCTGTAATCCCAGGACTTTGGGAGGCTGAGGCAGGAGGGTCGCTTGAGCCCAGGAGTTTGAGACCAGCCTGGGCAACATGGTGGGACCCTGTCTCTACCAAAAATACAAAAATCAGCCAGGCGTGGTGGCATATGCCCGTAGTCCCAACTACTCGGGAGGCTGAGGTGGGAGGATTGCTTAAGCCTGGGAGGTCGAGGCTACAGTGAGCCATGATGATGCCATTGTACTCCAGCCCAAACAACAGAGTGAAACCCCAACTCTTAAAAACAAAAACAAAAACAAAACTCTGGTAAAGATTCATTCTGGCTTGCTAATAGCATGAACCTTGCAGCAACTGAACATCCCCAGCAGGGCTGCTGGACATGGGCTGGAGGCACTGACCCACTGGACTATAAGTCAAAGGCAAAACCCAGTCCAGTGTGTGTCATCTCCCCAGGCTCTAAAGCACAGGCCTGCTGAGGCAGGCCAGACAGAAGCTCCAGGGATAAACAGTCGGACAGGAACCAAATCAGCTTCAACTTGGCTTCCCCAGGGCTTTGCCAGTGCCACTGGGCAGAGATACTTATGCCTCAGAAAAATGGAAGAAATTAGACCCAGGCCCAGTGGATCTGGTTGGTAGGGAGGAGACAGGCCTCCGGGAAAAGGCACTCCTTACCAGGAGGGGAGACAGAATACAGGAGAGAAACACTGAATGAGAAACACTCAGAGAAAAGGAACTAGAGAAAAGAACACAGAAAAACAAGAGAAAGATTTGGGAGGTGGCACACTGCCAGCATGAGCTGGGGGGAACTCCCTGGAGGAAAGAAGCCCATTCCTCTTGATGGCCACAAAGCCCTGGCTCCCAGAAGATAGCAAGCTGGCACAAGCAGCAGGTAACAGAAGATGGCAGCTCAACCCAGCTCTTGCAAGAAGGGACTCAACCAGCTGCGATGGCTCATGCCGGTAATCCCAGCACTTTGGGAGGCCAAGGCGGGTGGATCACCTGAGGTTAGGAGTTTGAGACCAGCCTGGCCAACATGGGAAACCCCGTCTCTACTAAAAATACAAAATTAGCTGGGTGTGGTGGTGGGTGCCTGTAATCCCAGCTACTTGGGACGCTGAGGCAGGAAAATCACTTGAACCTGGGAGGCAGAGGTTGCAGTGAGCCAAGATCGTGCCACTTCACTCCAGCCTGGGCGACAGAGCAAGACTCTTGTCTCAAAAAAAAAAAAAAAAAAAAAAAGGGACTCAGCAGCTAATATAATAAGAGCCAAGCTCAATGCCTGCCACCTATCCCTCTGACTTGATCCCTCTCTACCCCAGGCCACCTTTAAGAATGTTCCCAGCGCAGAGGCTCATTCCCAGTTCAGAGGCCTTTTGAAAGAAGGGCGAAGGAAGTTTCAAATCAACATGAAAAAACATGGTGCACTGGCCTCTGAACAGCAAGGCATATGGAGTGTCAAGCATCTTATAATTCAATAGTGCCTTTGAAAATAAGTACTGAGAGCCTACTGCTTATTAGTTACAGGAATGCAGCTATGAACAATCCCTAAAAGGTCCTGCCCATGGAACTTACTTTCTAACGGAAGAAAAAACACACACCTAACACTAACGTACTATTAGAGAGTGAAGCAGGTGCTGAAGGTGACACATGAACCAGGTGAGAACAAACCATGCCAAGATACGGAGTAAGCAGGGGCGGGAGACAGATCCAAGATGGAGAGCTGATGTCATGGTTGCTCCCCACTCTATCTGCCCTCCCCAATGCCAGCACTGTGTGTGTGAAACCTCTTATGACCCACCAAACTAGAGACCACCTCTTCTTCCTCTGATATCTCTACCACTTTTTCTGTATGACTTGGTCCATCCTTCATCTAAGCATCTGCCACATGTAACAACCGTGCCTCAAGCACCGAGGACAGAGACAGAGCCCACCCCACCCCTTCTAGTAAGAGATAAAGGTGACAAGAAAATCCATAAGGATTTCCAGCATATTTTGTGTCTGGCATGTGTCTGAAGGAAGTCAAACAGAAAGATGGGAAAAAGTGCCTACAAACAAGGAGCTAGGAATCAAGGAAGGCCTCTCTGAGAAGGCAACCTCGGGGCCAAGAAGTGAAGGCTGGGGAGCCACCTGGGACGATGTGGAAAAAGTGTGCTCCATGCAGAGGAAGCAGCAGAGCAAGGACTCTGAAGAGGAACCAGCTTGTAAGTTTGAGGAAGAGAAAGACGGCCAGAGTGGTGACAAACAGGTGTGGCCACAGTGTGGTAAATGAAAGGGGTGGTAGGTTCTGGGTCATGCAGGGCATCAGCAGGGCAAGGAGTCTAGGCTTTATTCAACATGCAACAGGAAGCCACTGTAGAGTTACAGACACGGAAGTGACATGGTCCAGATATTTTTCCGCAGTGTGCAGGAATCTGCCACATAGTATCTGCTGAGTAACTACCTTAATGGCTGTGACGATGAGGGTGGAGGTCAGTGGGTTATGCTGCTGAGTGACACAACCTGTAGTGCTGCAGGAGCCTGGAGGTAGGGAGGGAGCATAGCATGGCTGTCTGGGCAGATGAGTCCAGTGAGATGGGTGGGTTCTGACTTCATGAGGGGAAAGAGGAGGCTCCACAACCCTCATGAGGGACAGAGAGTAGATGGGGTGGGTAAGCACCGGGCCAGGAGTGGTAGCAGACAGCTCTCGTAAGCAGCCCAAGGAAAGGCTAGGAACATAGGAGGTCTGAAGAGGGAAGCCCAAACTGCCAGGTGGGCTGGGAGGCATCATCCCAAACCAGTGATGGTTCCTGAGAAGACTGATGATGAAGAGAGACCTGGAAGGGAGATAGATGAGGAGTGCCAGGAAGCTCCTAGGTAAGTCTGCCAGGGTAAACAGAGTGATCAAGAGCATGTTAAGAAGCAAAATCTTTAATTTGGCAGGGCTGAAGAGGGGCAAAGATTCTTCTGGGTTCTAAAGCCAAGTGGTATGATGTGGACATGAAAATGGGGCACTCATTGCAGAGATACTTTTGACTGGGTTTGAAGTAACAGGAGAGGTCTAAGAGAAACACGAACAGGAATAGGAGAGAGGCAAAACAGAGGGCTGACATCTAGAAACTCTCCTGAGAAAAATAACACTGACTGACGTGGGTAAATCTGAGGGATTATAAAGCAGGCAGAAAACCCCACCAAGGAAATGACGAGATATCCTTCTTTAGATGCCTCCAAAACAGAAGATGTGCTGTTTGGCATAAGTGCCATCCAGGGCACTCAGACCTGACAGGAGAGTCTACAGAGACCCCATAGAACCAAGCAACTGGTGTTCTAAAGCTCTTCCCCTAATGGCCCAGGGCTGAGGAAAAAGCAAAGCCATAACATCCTCAGGGTCACAATAGTACACTGCATAAAAGCCGCTCTGTGCTGGGCACTACGGAGAGCAGAGGAGATGAGAAAGCACTTACACAAGTGGAGATGGCCCCCACACAAGGGGAAGACAGTTGGGAGGGCCTCAGTGCTGACCACAGTGTGGCCCCACCACGACTCAGACTCCAAGGCCCAGTTTCTATTCCCCAAAGTTGGTCACCTTAGCCCACCATACTCAGCATATTTCTCAGAACTGGGATTTCTCAAAACTGGTCAGTAAAAACAATTTAAGCAAAGAGGAAAGTGAGGATATCTTGGGTGGTAGAGGGAAAATGGGACCTTTTCCCAAATAGATAGCGAGCATCCTACTTTCGTACATCTTCCCATGGCTCAGGCACAAGAAAGAGTACACTTTTTGGAGAAACGAAAGTTCTGAAGTCCACGTTCACAGACAGCCAAGAACCCAGATCCCTGAGCTCCTCGTCTGAAGCCCCCAGGGCAGGGCTCACATTCACAGCCCGGCTGCCAGGCCGCTCTCAAATGCCCATCCCCGAACACAGCGTTTGCAAAAAAACCGGGCGTGGCTTCCGCCTTCTCAGAGAGGGCTGTGCAGGAACCCCTTCTCCAGGGAAGTCCCAGGACTGGAAAGAAGAACCTGGCGAAGCTAGCAAGCACGACCAGGCCGAGGATCCAACATGGAAGCCCGCGAAGCCCACAGTGGGTGGCGAGCGACAGGGGGAGGGGCGGGGACTCACTGGGTCCCCCCAAGCCGGGTTTAACCTGTCCACGATCGGCGGGGCAAGGGGTCACGAGGGTGAGACAGCACTCCTGCTGCGGTGTGGAGGGGCAGACAGGTAAGCCCCAGGCCACCTGCCTGGGCACCGCTCCGCGCTCGCGCTCCCGCTCCCCCCGAGTCCCCCGCTCGCCCCAGACAGACCCACCCCTGAGGCAGCCCCTGGCCCGACCCTGGCCCGTCTCGCCGCCCACCAGTCGGTCGGGGACTTCTCGGTGACCACCCGCACGTAGGCCTCTTGCAGCGCTGGCCCGTTCCGGCTCAGGTTCGCCGCCATGGCCCGCCCCGCAGTCTCCGCGCCGCTGCTGTAGCTTCCGGGCCGGGCCGGGCCGCCCCTTTGACAGCCGACAAGCCTCGCCTCCGACAACCGGAAACCCCGCCCCACGGCAGGAAGCGGAAATGGTAGGGGCCAGCCGCACCCGCGGGTCCTAGCGAGCTGTCCGGCCAGCTGGTCTAGCATGCAGGTCCCGCGAATGCCGAAGGACAAGCGGGAGAAGGGAGGACCCGGCCTTCTGTTTGTCCTCAGGGAGGGATCCTGGGGCGCAGACTAGCCCGTCTTCTGGTCCCACCCAAACGGCAGCTCGACTTGGAAGCCTGGCCGCAGGGACCCAGTCCAGCCCCCGCTAGCTGCTCTCACAGCACCGTGCTTATTCTTTTCTAAATCTTGTTATGTCGATGCGCTTATTTGAACGATCTTGGGTTCACTGCAGTCTCCCTCCAGACGAGGTCTTCAGCCTGTTTGTGGACCCTCAACAGTTTGATCTGTGAAAGAAACATGCATAAATGTATGAATACACGAATAAATGAGTGCTAAGTGACGATCACACCGCTACAAACCTAACTGAAAGTGACTGTGCTTTCTCACTCTCACCTGAGTTTTTCCCTCTGCAGTTTGGTCGAGGCCAGGATAGTGGAGGCATGAAGAGAACCTGTCTTGTGCTTCACCTGCACATCTGGCTGGTCGCCCCTAGAAGGTGTCAGTAATTCCTCAATCTGCTCCCCTCCTCCTGGGAGCACCAGTTTTTCCATCCACAAATCTGCATACACTTGACTGAACTAGCTTCTTATCTGTATGATAGAGAAACATGCCAAAGCGCAAGGCAGCTCACGGCTTATTTCCTCCCATGGAGAATAACTCCCCTGCCTCCTTAAAATATAAATCCTGCCGGGCACGGTGGCTCACGCCTGTAATCCCAGCACTTTGGGAGGCCGAGGTGGACGAATCAAGGGGTCACGAGATCGACACCATCCTGGCTAATACGATGAAACCCCGTCTCTACTAAAACAAAAAATTAGCCAGGCGTGGCGGCGTGCGCCTGTAGTCCCAGCTACTCGGGAGGCTGAGGCAGGAGAATGGCGTGAACCAGGGAGGCAGAGCTTGCACTGAGCCGACATAGCGCCACTGCACTCCAGCCTGGGCTACAGGGCGGGACTCTGTCTCAAAAAAAGTATAGTATATATATACATATATACACACACATAGTATATATATGTGTATATATATACACACACACATAGTGTATATGTATATATACTATGTGTGTATATATGTATACATATATGTATATATATGCATATGTATAGGTATACATATATGTATATATGCATAGGTATAGGTATACATATATGTATATATATGCATAGATATAGGTATACATATATGTATATATATGCATAGGTATAGGTATACATATATGTATATATATGCATAGGTATAGGTATACATATATATGTATATATATGCATAGGTATAGGTATACATATATGTATATATATGCATAGGTATAGGTATACATATATGTATATATATGCATAGGTATAGGTATACATATATGTATATATATGCATAGGTATAGGTATACATATATGTATATATGCATATGTATATATGCATATGTATATATGTGCATATGTATATGTATATGTGCATATGTATATATGCATATGTATATGTATATATGCATATGTATATATATGCATATGTATATGTATACATATATTATATATGCATATGTATATGTATATATGCACATGTATATATATACACATATGTATATATATGCATATGTGTATATATATACATATAGTATATATATGTATATATCCACAATCCCTTAAGTCCAGATGTGCTTTGGAATTCAATCTAAGATTTCAGAAAAGTTATACCATGTATGTCCTGGGTAAGCCCTTATCACAGGATCTGGACAGGAACTGGTAATCAGACATGTTCATGCTTTTGCTGTGATATGTGTGAATAATCAGCTAAGTGTGTGATATGTGTGAATAATCAGCTAAGTGGAATATAAGACGACTCTAAATATCCTCATGACAATTAAGGTCAGTTTTTGCTACCAAATGAACTACCAAAATCTTAAGGTGTTTGAGTCTGGATGGTGCAGATAAGGGCTTGTGAACCTAATTTGGACAAAAACATGGTTCATTTGTTATGCCCATTTTTCTTTCTGTTCACATGATTGTTGCTTGTTGTCTTGTTTGTTTTGTGCTGCTATAACAAAGTACCACAGACTATGTAATTTACATAGAACAGAAATTTATTTTCTCACAGTTCTGGAGGCTGGGAAGTCCAAGGTCATGGCACTAGTATCTGATGAGGGGCTTCTTGCTGCATCATAACATGGTGAAAGGCAAAGAGGATGAGAGAAAGACAAAAAGGGGCCAGACTCATTCTTTTTTTTTTTTTTTTTTTTGAGATGGAATCTCACTCTGTAGCCAGGCTGGAGTGCAGTGACCACGAACTCGGCTCACTGAAACCTCTGCCTCCCAAGTTCAAGTAATTCTCCTGCCTCAGCCTCCTGAGTAGCTGGGACTACAGGCACGTGCCACCATGCCCAGATAATTTTTGTATTTTTAGTAGAGATAGGGTTTCACCATGTTGGCCAGGATGGTCTCGATCTCTTGACCTCGTGATCTGCCCACCTTGGCCTCCCAAAGTACTGGGATTACAGGTGTGAGCCACCCTGCCCGGCCCCAAACTCAGTCTTTTCTAATGAACCTGAGGCAGGAGAATAGGGGCTGGAAGCAGGCAACAGAACGCCAATGCACACTAACCTCCTAGAACCAAATCAAAAGGAAAACGCCTACTTATGACCAAGTAACAAAAGACCAACACCCTGTTCCGGAGCAACTCTCTGGCCTCAAAGTCCATGGAGTCTTTTCTGAAGGTGAGGTTGCATGCTATATTGTCCTCATCTTGCAAATGACAACACTGAGCTTCAGAGAGAGCGACAGAGGGGGCTGGGACTTCGACTCCAGTGTTCTATCTCCATATTGAGAGCCCTTTAAGGTTAAGAATGTGGCTGGGCATAGTGGCTCATGCCTGTAATTCCAGCACTTTGGGAGGCTGAGGCGGGCGGATCACTTAAGGTCAGGAGTTCGAGACCAGCCTGGCCAACATGGCGAAACCCCATCTCTACTAAAAATACAAAAATTAGCCTGGCATGGTGGTGGGCACCTGTGATCCCAGCTACTGGGGAGGCTGAGGCAGGAGACTCACTTGAACCAGAAGCCAGAGATTGTAGTGAGCTCACGCCACTGCACTCTAGCCTGGGCCCCGTGCTAGACTCCGTGCCCCGCACCCCCCCCCCCCAAAAGAATGTGTGTGTGATTAAAATTTAAGTTAGAGACAGTCTCACTATGTTGCCCAGGCTGGTCTCAAACTCCTGGCCTCAAGTGATCCTCCTGCCTCGGCCTCCCAAAGTGCTAGGATTACAAGGGCTAAGAATTCTAGTCATTCATTCACTCACTCATTCATTCATTCATGAATAAACAGTTTGCCCTGCTTGTGTACCTGTCCCCCTCCTGGGCGGATACGGCAGGCAAACGGTGCAAGGGCGGCTGCCGGGAGAAGGTGGGCAGCTGGAGTGGGACTGGGGGAGACAGGATCAATGTGACCTGCGGTGGTCCCCAGGTGGCCGGGATGCAGTACCTGCACGGCGTCCTGGGCCCCATCATCAACAAGGTGTTTGAGGAGAAGTACGTGGAGCTGGACCCCAGCAAAGTGGAAGTTAAGGATGTAGGGTGAGGCCGGGGGTAACTCCGGGGGGGTGCGGGGCGCAGCGGCAGCGGGTTGGGATCAGGCCCTGTCAGCATGTGTGTTTGTGCTTCTGCCCACCCGTGTATTGTCCCCTGTGTCCGTGTCCCGGCTGCTGTGAGAGCCACTGTTCCTGTCGTGGCCCTGGCGCTGACCGTGACCTCCTCTGCCAACCCGCCCCGTTCCACGCAGGTGTTCCGGGCTGCACCGCCCGCAGACCGAGGCCGAGGTGCTGGAGCAGAGCGCGCAGACGCTGCGCGCCCACCTGGGGGCCCTGCTGAGCGCGCTCAGCCGCTCGGTTCCCGCGTGCCCCGCCGTGGTGCGCGCCACCTTCCGCCAGCTCTTCCGGCGCGTGCGCGAGCGCTTCCCCGGCGCCCAGCACGAGGTGCGCCCTCCACCCGCTGGGCTAGGCTGGGCCGGGTTGGACTGGGCTGGGGCGAGGGGCGGGCGAAGAGCGGTGGGGAACCAGGGAGCGCTGGGGAGGACCAGGGAGGCTGTGTCCCGGCGAGGGTCAGGGACGGAGCCTAAGGGGAGGGGGCTGCCAGGAGCCCTGGTCTGGGGGACTCCAGCCCGCGCTCTTCCGCACCCCTCCAGAATGTACCGTTCATCGCCGTCACCAGCTTCCTGTGCCTGCGCTTCTTCTCTCCCGCCATCATGTCGCCCAAGCTCTTCCACCTGCGGGAGCGCCACGCGGACGCCCGCACCAGCCGCACCCTGCTCCTGTTGGCCAAGGTGCGGGCCTTGCGGCCACGGGCGGGATGCACAGCTGGGTGTCCTACCGGGGCCCTGGCCTGGACTGCAGAGTGTTCCCTACCGGCTCCGGCGAGGCCACTGGCACGCCCACGTAGGCACTGCACTTCACAGTTTGCAAAGCCTTCCTGTGGCCACCTTGTCCGAGTTCCATCTCATGGATAAGGGAACAGGCCTGCGAGGGGTCGGGGGTTGCCAAGGCCGCCCATCCTGTCGGTGGTGAATCGCGGGACCTTCCAACCCAGGTCTGCTTACTCTCAGGCTGCACCTATGTGCCCGGCACCGGGGTGGGGTATCCAGTGCAGCAGCGTCAGTTAAACCTACAGAGGAAGGCCCAAGTGGTCTCAGTTATCATAAGGCATCAAACTTCATGATCCTCTCCTCCCTGATCCCTAGTGGGGCTGGAGGGGGCCCGTGGGCATGGCCTCTGTCGCCTCTGCCTCCATCGCTACAGCTGAGTAGCAAAGACTTGGGGAGGGGGGGTGGGAGGGGGTGCAGTGGCTAGGCCCCTAACCTAGCAGAACCTGGTCCTTCCTGCTGTCACCTCCAGGCAGTCCAGAACGTGGGCAACATGGACACGCCGGCTTCCAGGGCCAAGGAGGCTTGGATGGAGCCGCTGCAGCCCACCGTGCGCCAGGGCGTGGCGCAGCTGAAGGACTTCATCACCAAGCTCGTGGACATCGAGGAGAAGGACGGTGAGCGCCGCCCTGCACAGACCCGCCCACAGCCTACTGCTGACGTTTGCTCCGCCCTTGAGCCCCACGGCCCCACCCACCGCTGTTTGTTCCTCTCGTGGCCCCACCCACCGCCTGCTGTTGACATTTGCCAGGCCCCCAGGCCATAGACCCACGCACCACTGTTTGTGCTTCCTGTGACCCTGCCCACTGCCTGCTGTTGACGTTTGCCCCACCCCTAGACCCATGGCCTCACCTCCCATCATCTGTGCCTGTTGACATTTGCTCCATCCTTGAGCTCCATAGCCCCGCCGCCACCTGCTACTGACGCGTGTCCCGCCTCCAAGCCCATGGCCCTGCCTTCCTCAGTCCACCTGTCACCCCGCTCACCACCAGCTGTTGATGTTTGCTCCGCCCTTGAGCCCCATGACTACGTCCACTGCCTGCTGTTCAGATTTGCTCAGCCCTTGAGCCCCATGGCCCCGCCCACTGCTCCGCCCCCCCCCCCCAGTCCCGCCCTCATTCCCTGGGCTCTCTATTCCCCTCCCTCCCTGGCCTGGCAGAGCTGGACCTGCAGCGGACGCTGAGTTTGCAGGCGCCACCTGTGAAGGAGGGGCCACTCTTCATCCACAGGACCAAGGGCAAGGGCCCCCTCATGTCCTCCTCCTTCAAGAAGCTCTACTTCTCCCTCACTACCGAGGCCCTCAGCTTCGCGAAGACGCCCAGCTCCAAGGTGGGTAAGGAGGGAGGCCGGCAAGTGGGGCTCTGAGAGGCCGGCAAGTGGGGCACCTTAGAGGCACCTGTCCCCTTCCTTGGAGCCCACTTGAGGTACCCCCGGGGTCAGAGAAGAAAGCCAGGTGTGTGGCATCTGTACTGCTTGTCAGAACCTAGGAGGGCCGGGCACGGTGGCTCACGCCTGTAATCCCAGGACTTTGGGAGGCCAAGGCGGGTGGATCACTTGAGGTTAGGAGTTTGAGACCAGCCTGGCCAACATGGAGAAACCCCGTCTCTACTAAAAATACAAAAAATCAGCCGGGTGTGGTGGTGGGTGCCTGTAGTCCCAGCTACTCGGGAGCCTGAGGCACGGGAATCGCTTGAACCCGGGAGGCAGAAGTTGCAGTGAGCCGAGATCGTGCCACTGCACTCCAACCTGGGCAACAGAGCAAGACTCCGTCTCAAAAAAAAAAATGAATATGGAGGAAGTTGATCCGACCTTACCAGGTTGTTGAGGATTAAATGAGATGATCTCCCTAAGGGTCCTGACCCAGGGCCTGGCAGGTAGTACTATTTAGGCAAATGGTATTATTAAAGATAGTACATCACCTGGGCTGCTAGATGAGTAGGAGGCTAGGGCAAACAGGGGAGGCTTCCTGGAACGGGCAGGAATATAGAAGCATGGAATCTTGGTGTGGGAGGGGATCTCAAAGATCACCTTGTACAGCCCTCTCTGAGTCATGGGTCACCTCTCCTGCAAGCTCTCTTCTCCCAGGAAGGGCTGAGGACATACTTCCTCCATGGACCTGGTGACTGCTTGCTGTACACCTGCCCCTAGTCATGCAGGCTATGGGGATGATCTTCCAGGAGTACCCAGCCTAGCCCTGGGCAGGTGAGAGCAGGCTAGGAGTAGGTGAAGGAGCTCATCACCCACCCTGTTCTCAACCAGCTCAGGGGTCCCACCAGATGAGGGGCCCGCCCCTTCCGACCAAAGACCCCTCAGATGATGATAATTATTTTTTGAGACAGGGTCTTGCTCTGTCACCCAGACTGTAGTGCAGTGGTGCGATCATAGCTGACTGCAGCCTCAAACTCCTGGGCTCAAGCAATCTTCCTGCCTCAGCCTCCTGAGTAGCTGGGACTACAGGCACGTGCCACCAAGCCCAGCTAATTTTCTTTAACATTTTTTTTTTGCAGAGATGGGGTCTTGCTATGCTGCCCAGGCTGTTCTCAAACTCCTGGCCTCAGGCAATCCTCCTGCCCCAGCCTCCCAAAGCACTCAGATGATTATTATACATCTTCCTTGCCAGGGTTGAAAGATTTGACTACATGGGCATTATTTAATTCTGGTCCCATTTTTTTTTTTTTTTTTGAGATGGAGTTTCACTTTTGTTGCCCCGGCCAGAGTGCAATGGTGCGATCTTGGCTCACCGCAACCTCCGCCTCCCGGGTTCAAGCGATTCTCCTGCCTCAGCCTCCCAAGTAGCTGGGATTACAGGCATGCACCACCATGCCCGGCTAATTTTGTATTTTTAGTAGACACGGAGTTTCTCCATGTTTGTCAGGCTGGTCTCGAACTCCCAACCTCAGGTGATCCGCCTTCCTCGGCCTCCCAAAATGCTGGGATTACATGTGTGAGCCACTGCGCCCGGTCAGGATATGACTGTTAGAGCTTGGGACTACAAAAGCAAGTTGGAAAATTAATAAATGCAAAGTCACAAAGCCTTGGCCACGGCTGGATTGACTTTGTAGCCCAGGGAATGCTGGCTGTCCAGACACTACCCCAAAGCTCACACCTCCGAGGCCTTCTGGGAGTGCCCCCCAGAGAGGCCAGGTCCTCCTCTCCCAGTTGCTGGGCACTTGGTCACCATCAGTCTGTGCTCTGCCCTGGCTGAGGTCACTCTGGGTCTCCCACGCCTACCCCTGGTGCTGCAGAAGGGGAGACTGAGGCCCAGAGATGGGGAATGGAATGCCCCTGGCTAGGTCCCTGAGCCTCCTCCTCCCTGACTGCCCCAGAAAAGCGCCCTCATCAAGTTAGCCAACATCCGGGCAGCAGAAAAGGTTGAGGAAAAGAACTTTGGCAGCTCGCACGTCATGCAGGTCATCTACACGGACGACGCCGGCAGGCCCCAGACTGCCTACCTGCAGTGCAAGGTGCGGGGAGGGGAGCGGGTGCTGTGGGAGTGGCCTGAACACTGTGGGAGTGGCTTGGGTGCTGTGGGAGTGGCCTGGGTACTGTGGGAGTGGCATGAGCCCTGTGGGAGTGGCCTGAGCTCTATGGGAGTGGCCTGGGTGCTGTGGGAGTGCCCTGGATGCTATGGGAATGCCCTGGGTGCTGTGGGAATGGCCTGGGTGCTATGGGAGTGGCCTGAGCTCTGTGGGAGTGGCCTGGGTGCTGTGGGAGGGGCCTGAGTGGACTGGATGAGAAAAGAGTTGATTGAGCCTCTCGCCCCGCTACCAGCTACATCAGGCACCGCAGGGTGTGTCTAATCTGGGAGGTGTCAGGGACAGGTGTGTGTGTGTTGTCCAGGGGCCTGAGCCCCCAGGAGGCCATGGCCCATGTCTTTCCCTGGGCATCCATGTGTAGGTCTGTGTGTGGGCCAGTGCACAGACAGGTGCATCCCCGTGATGTGAAATTTGCACGTTGCACCCGTTTGTTGGAAACTATTTCCAGATAACTGAGATGGGGGCCAGGCACGCTGGTTCACGCGGATAATCCCAGCATTCTAGCCGGGGCAACAGAGCAAGACCCTTTCTCTAAAAAAGAAAGTCTGAGCTGGCACCTGTGTGGTTCTGTGTCTGTATCAATGCCTAATAATCAAACATTATGCTCTGTGTGGCTCTGGGTGCATGTTCTCAAGTAACCTTCTCATCTGTTCCTTCATTAACTCATTCATTCATTTATTTAAAAAATACTTACTGAGCACCTCCTAGGTTCCAGGCATGATTCTAGGTGAGGGGATACAGTGACAGATGAGGCAGAGTCCTGCCCTCATGGAGCTGATATCCCAGGGAGAAGATGGGCCAATAAATACATGTTTCAAATGTCGGCTCATGCCTGTAGTCCCAGTACTTTGGGAGGCTGAGGTGGGAGGATCACTGGAGGCCAGGAGTTTGAGAACAGCCTGGCCAATGTAGCAAGACCCCATCTCTACAAAAAAAAAAGTAGCCAGCCATGATGGCATGCACCTGTGATTCCAGCTACTTGGGAGGCTGAGGCAGGAAGATAGCCTGAACCCAGGAGTTGGAGGCTGCAGTGAACTATGATCACACCACTGCACTCCAGCCTGGGCTACAGAGTGAGACCCTGTCTCTTAAAAAAAAAAAAAAAAGCAAATTGTGATAGTGACTTGAAGGGAACCAGAAGGGACTAAGGGAGCAAGGGAGGGAAGAGAGTGGGGTATAGCAGGGAGCGGTCTGTCCTATTAAGAGTGGTCAGGGAGAATACAAAAATTAGCTGGGCGTGGTGGCGTGTGCCTGTAGTCCCAGCTACTTGGGGGGCTGAGGCAGGAGAATCACTTGAACCTGAGAGGTGGAGGTTGCAGTGAGCTGAGATCGAGCCACTGCACTCCAGCCTGGTGACAGAGCAAGACTCCATCTCAAAATAAATAAATTAATTAATTAGTAAATTAATTAAAGAGTGGTCAGGGAGGACCTCTGATGGGTGGCATTCGAGCAGGGACCTTGTAGGAGGGTGACCCAGATGTGTATCTAGGGCAGGGACATGTGGGACAAGTAGGAAGCCTGCAGCTGGAGGGGGGTTGGTTTCTTCCAGGCTTGACCGTCCTGGCCTGTGGGGAGGAAGTCACAGACCTGTCCCTCTGTGCCCTTCCCTCTAGGAGTTCCCTTTTGTGTCAGGGTCCAGAGCCACTGGGAAAAGTAGTGATATCAGGGCCACCAAATATATTTGGCGGGTTCTGGAATACCTACGAGCGTGGCCAAGGGGCCAGCGGCGGCTGAAATCCAGCCCACACCAGCCTCCTGGGCTCCTACCATCCCGGTGCCTTCCGTGGGGACAAGTGGAGCTGTTGCCACCAAAAAGACAAGACAGGTGGGAGAGGAGAGGATGAAGTCTTGCTGTGTTGCCCAGGCTGGTCTTGAATTCCTGGGCTCAAGCGATCTTCCCACCTCGGCCCCCTATAATCCCAGCTGTAGTCCCAGCACTTTGGGAGGCTGGGGTGGGAAGATCACTGGAGGCCAGGAGTTTGAGAACAGCCTGGCCAATGTAGCAAGACCCCATCTCTAAAAAAAAGAAATTAGCCAGCCATGATGGCATTATAGGAGTGAGCCACTGGGATTATAGGAGTGAGCCACTGCACCTGCTCTCCAGGCCATGCGCCCGGGCATGGGTCATGTTCCACTGGAGGAAGGGCAGCTTCTCCTAATTCACTCAAAGCTGCTGGGTTGGTATGGTGGGGAACATGGTGTCTGGCATGGTACAGGAGCTCCGGGTTAGGAGGGCTTCCTGGAGGAGGTGACGTCTGAACAGGCCTCCCCCTCTGTGTCCCCTGCAGTGTGTGAATGAGCTTAACCAGTGGCTGTCTGTGCTGCGGAAGGTGAGCATCAACAACACCGGACTGCTGGGCTCCTACCACCCTGGCATCTTCTGTGGGGACAAGTGGAGCTGCTGCCACCAAAAAGAGAAGACAGGTGGGAGAGGAGGCCTGGGTCCCGGGCTCTGCATCCGTCCACTGCGAGATCGGGCCTCTGGCTGAACGATGGGACCGTGAGCCCTGCTGTGCACCTGCAGGGACATAACCCAAGGAATGCTGGCCCCTCCAGGAGCTCTGGGCAGAAAGGGTCCCGTGGACCAGGTGGTTTGGGAAATGCCACGTGATGTGTGTGAAGCACATGAGTGAATTCGCTGAAGGCTCTAAGGAGGCCCGAAAACACGTTAGAATCCCATTTCTTTTTATTTCTTCTTCTTTTTTTTTTTTCAGACACAGATTTTCACTCTGTCCCCCAGACTGGAGTGCAATGGCACGATCTCAGCTCACTGCAATCTCCACCTCCCAGGGTCAAGCAATTCTCCTGCCTCAACCTCCCCAGTAGCTGGGATTACCGGCACTCGCCACCAAGCCTAGCTAATTTTTTTGTATTTTGACTAGAGATGGGGTTTCACCATGTTAGTCAAGCTGCTCTTGTTTTTTTTTGTTGTTGTTGTTGTTGTTGTTTGATACCAAGTCTCGCTCTATCATCCAGGCTGGAGTGCAGTGGTGCAATCTCGGCTCACTGCAATCTCTGTTTCCCAGGCTCAAGTGATTCTCCTGCCTCAGCCTCCCAAGTACTACAGGCGCAAGCCACTGCACCCAGCTAAGTTTTGTATTTTCAGTAAAGACGGGGTTTTACCATGTTGGCCAGGCTGGTCTTGAACTCCCGACCTCGTGATCTGCCCTCCTCGGCCTCCCAAAGTGCTGGGATTACAGGTGTGAGCCACCACGCCCGGCCTAGAATTCCATTTCTAACGTGGTTTAACCCAGCACTTCCCAAACTCTTTTGACAGGGAACCCTTCTCTTCCCCAAGGAGCTTCTTACAGAACAGGTGTTCTCAGGAACACATTCGAGGAGCCCCCTGCTAATGAGAGCCAGAGAGCCCCTGGGTTCGCACACTCCAATGCTGGCCATCTGAATCCGGAGCTGTGGGTGGGAGGGGACCCTGAGCCTTGGGCACTAGAGGGATGGCATAGAGGAGCTTCTAGAAGGACGCCATACTGTGTAGTACTCTAGGTTCTAGCACCTGTGGTTCTTGAGCACTTGAAATGTGGCTTGAGTTGCTGAGGGGTTTTTTTTGTTTAATTTTTTAAAACAGGGTCTTGCTCTGTTGCCCAGGCTGGAGTGTAGTGGCACGATCATAGCTCACTGCAGCCTCCAACTCCTGGGCTCAAGCAATCCTCCTGCCTCAGCCTCTGAGTAGGCTGGCACTACCGGCATGCATCACCACACCTGGCTCATTTAAAAAAAATTTTTTTAGAGGTGGGATCTTGCTATGTTGTTCAGGCTGGTCTTGAATTCCCAGGCTCAAGCAATCCTCCTGCCTCGGCCTCCCAAAGTGCTGAGATTGTAGGAGTGAGCCACCACATCTGGCCTGAGTTTCACATTTTTAAAAATGTTGTTTTGGCCGGGTGTGGTGGCTCACGCCTGTAATCCTAGCACTTTGGGAGGCCAAGGTAGGCGGATTGCCTGAGCTCAGGAGTTAGAGACAAGCCTAGGCAACATGGTGAAACTCCATCTCTGCTAAAATACAAAAAAAAAATTAGCCAGGCATGGCGGCGTGGGCCTGTAGTCCCAGCCACTCAGGAGGCTGAGGCAGGAGAACTGCTTGAACCTGGGAGGCAGAGGTTGCAGTAAGCCAAGATGGTGCCACTGCACTCCAGCCTGGCGACAGAGCGAGACTCCATCTCAAAAAAAAAAAAAAAAAAACAAAAACAGAAAAGAAACAAAAAACGTTGTTTTAATTTTAATTAACTCAAATAGCTTCATGTGGCTAGCTGCCGCCCTGTAGAACAGCACAATTCTAGAACTTTCGAGACCTTCTCCCTGTTATCCACACTTACTTTACAGAGGAGACTCAGCACTTCGAGTCCCCTGTCCTTCAGGCCAGGCCAAACCTTGGTCCCCAGAGCCCAGTGTGGCAGAGGCCATCGAAAACTGACCCACGCACTCTAGCCCAGCCCTGGATTTACAGCCAAGCACTGTATAGGGATGGGTGACTCTTTTGTTTTTGTTTTTGTTTTGAGTTGGGTCTCTCACTCTCTCACCCAGGCTGGAGTGCAGTGGCATAATCATAGCTCACTGTAGCCTTGACCTCCTGGGCTCAAGCCATCCTCCTGCCTCAGCCTCCTGCAGAACTGGGACTACAGGCACATGCCACCACACTCAGCTATTTTCTGTTTTATTTTTTTGTAGAGTCAGGGTCTCACTATGTTGCCCAGACTGGTCTTGAACTCCTGGCCTCAAGCTATCTTCCTGCCTCAGCCTCCCAAAGTGCTGGGATTACAGGTGTGAGCCACTGTGCCTGGCCTCTTGGTGACTCTTTGCAAGGGCATTGCTGGCTGGCTGATATGGCCTGCAGCCTCTGCCTGTAACCATCAGAGCGATACTCTCATTATCGGCAAGGTGGGACCCACCCTGGCCCAAGAGACAGGGCCTGTTATTCCACTGTATGGAGGAGAAGCTGAGGCTTAGGGAAGGCAGATGACTTGGCAAGGTCATAAAGACAGCAAGCTGCAGGACCAGCTCATTCTAAGGCATGAACCCCCTGTGGCCCACCTCACCATGATGTTAACGTTTCAGCCTGCTCCCTTCCAGGCAGACAGTTGTCCAGAAAGTTACCCGGCTCCCTGGCTGTGCGCGGTGGCTCACGCCTGTAACTCAGCACTTTGGGAGGCCGAGACGGGCAAATCACGAGGTCAGGAGATCGAGACCACCCTGGCTAACACAGTGAAACCCCGTCTCTACTAAAAATATAAAAAATTAGCTGGGCGTGGTGGCGGGCATCTGCAGTCCCAGCTACTCAGGAGTCTGAAACAGGAGAATGGCGTGAACCTGGGAGGCAGAGCTCGCAGTGAGCCAAGATCGTGCCACTGCACTGCAGCCTGCGCGACAGAGCGAGACTCCGTCTCAAAAAAAACCAAAAGTTACCCAGCAACCCGAGTCATATCCTGATGATATCCATGCTCCTCAGTCACGCATCCCGTGGTGCAGGGGCTGACCCCAAGAGGAGCTGCTGCCCCCAGAGGGTGGGGAGCCGAGGCAGGGCCTGGGTCAGACTTACCAGGCTATGCTCCCAGCCCAGCCCTCACCAGGGACCCCCGAGTGCATCTCTCTCCTCTCCAGGCCTCTGTTTCTCCATCTGTGCAACCACAGTGTTGGACATGGTAGTCCCAAGTGTCTGCTTGTAACTTTGCCCTCTCTGTGCCCCCAGGTCAGGGCTGCGATAAGACCCGGTCACGGGTGACCCTGCAGGAGTGGAATGACCCTCTTGACCATGACCTTGAGGCCCAGCTCATCTACCGGCACCTGCTGGGCGTGGAGGCCATGCTGTGGTGAGTCCCACCCAGGAGAGCCTGTGCAGCCTGGGGAACGTGCCAGGCTTGGGGCTGCTCCATGGTGGCTGGTCACCTCTCTTGTAATTGGCCACATCTGGGGAGGGCACCAGGAGTACCTCTCTGCAGCACGAGGCCAGCTCAGGTTAGGACAGAGGCCCCAAGGGTCAGGGCCATGCCTGCTTCATGCCATGTGCTGACTGAGCCCACCTTGCAACCTGCCCAGCTGTTCCCCTGGGCCCTTGGAGTACAGGCACAGCCTCAGCCAATTCCCTGAGTTCCTTGGCCATCTTGCTTCGTCCAGTGGTTCTCAGCCTTGGCAGAAGCTTAGAAAAAACAGGATGCTTTTAAAGATCAGCTTTAAAAAACAGGATGCCAAGGCCCCATCACTCAGGGTCTCTGGAGATGTGGCTGGTGCCAGGATACTTCAAGGTGATCCAGTGCTTCCCATGCGCTCAGCTTCCCCTGAGCCAACTGGAGCTGGAGCTCATTCATCTGTCACACCCCTACACTCTGCAAGGAGGAAGGGTGTGGTCCTCCCCATTCCTCATCGACTCTTCCAGGGTTTATCTCTGCCCTCAAAGCCCACAAAGGTGGGGTGCGGTGACTCATGCCTGTTATCCCAGCTCTTTGGGAGGTGGAGGCAGGCAGATTGTTGGAGATCAGGAGTTTGAAACCAGCCTGGCCAACATGGCGAAACCTCTTCTCTACTAAAAATACAAAAATTAACTGATGTGGTGGAGGGCGCCTGTAATCCCAGCTACTCAGGAGGCTGAGGCAGGAGAATTGCTTGAACCCAGGAGGTGGAAGTTGCAGTGAGCTTAGATTGCGCCACTGCACTCCAGCCTGGACCGCAGAACAAGACTCTGTCTCAAAAACAAAACAAAACAAATGCAAAGGGCCTTCTGGTCAACCCACAGTCGGATGGGGAGGAGGAGGAGACACGGGGAGGGAGAAGGTGGAAGGTGCCCTGGTGGGCCTTGGCCCAGCCTCTTCATAGACTGAAAGAGTCAGCCCTGCCATCACCCCCAGAGCCACCTCTAGCCCAGGAGGCCCATGCTGGGCCACCCCCAGCCTTCCCACAAGGACACCAGAAGGTCTGGCAGGGAGAGTGGAGGCTACTGGCCCTCACTCTGACCTCCCCCACAGGGAGAGGCACCGGGAGCTGAGCGGGGGTGCAGAGGCAGGCACGGTGCCCACGAGCCCTGGCAAAGGTAGGTCTTGCCCACCTGGGACTTGCTCGTGGCCCGAGCCCCCTCCAGAGATGCACGGGTGGGGTCCTCGGGCTCACTCCCAGGGGCCCTCACGGCTGCCTCTGCCCACAGTCCCCGAGGACTCATTGGCCCGGCTGCTCCGGGTGCTGCAGGACCTCCGCGAGGCCCATAGCTCCAGCCCGGCCGGCTCCCCACCCTCAGAGCCCAACTGCCTCCTGGAGCTGCAGACGTGAGGCCCGCCCTACGCTCCCTTGCTGAGTCCCCTGCCAAGCGCTCGGAGCCCCTCCAGGACACTCTGCACCCCCTCACCCCGGTCCTCCTCATTAGGGTGCAGGGCCTAGGTCTCTTCCAAGTGGGGGAGGGGGGAGAGTCAGGAATAAGGGGATCCCCAGAAGTGCAGAGCTGAGCAGGCTTGGGCCTGTCATGGCTGGCCTGAAGTGTCCCCAGCTCCCTACAGCCGCTGTAGCCATCACTGCCTCTCCAGGGACCCTCCTCTCCTGCCTAGGACAGACCCAGCCAGAACCACTGCTAGGATGGGCCACACCCAGGGGTCTGGCCTCCAGGGACCTAGAGAATGGGAGGGAGAACGGGGCCCCAGGAGACCCGGCCGCCACCCCACCCGCTACCCTTGGGTGCCACAGGGCTGTGCTGTTGCCAACAGTAAACCTGCTGTTACTGTCCAGGCTCTGGGGTCTTGTGATGAGGGTCTGGGGAGAAAGTGGGCCCGGGGGGACCCCGGAGGCTGTCGGTGGATGTGCCGATGATGGGGCTGACAGTATGGGCTCTGGGCATCCCTGTTCCCCCCTCTTTCTTCCCCCCACTCTTCTGGGGTCGGGGGTTCCTTTCCCTTCCCAGTTGCTGTCCCTGGGTCCCCTCTTTCATGTCCCACAGGCCACAGAGCCCAGTGTGTCCAACCAGCTGTTCTCTCCTCAAAGCAGCCCCCAAGCAAGTCCCTTCTCTAGGGTGTCCCTGAGGACAGCACAGATGCGGGACTCAGAGACCCCATTCCTCTTCACGCAGCCCTTACCCCAAGCCCTCTAGCTGTGTGGCTGGCAGTGTTGGCCACGTAGGGGCTCCCATCCCCCCACCATTGTGTCACATAGGCTGCCAGGCTCAGCTCCCAGCTGCGTCCACAGTGACCTGGATCAGGGTGGGGACAAGGACTGGACCCTCCTTCTCCAGAAGGCCTTCAGCTCTTGCCTTGCCATGCAGTCACCTCCTTCCCCCTCTGACCCCAGATCCCAAAGGTGCACCGTTGCCCCAGCCCCTTTCTGGCCCCATGGGGTTTCTCTGATGCCTTCATCATAGAGGCCCGGGGCTGGTCCGATGGTTGGCAAAACTTGACTCCGGCCCAGTCCCCACTCTTGGGGACTTAGAACCCCTGGTGTCCTGGGATCTGGCCTGCCTTTCTTTGGTCAGTCCCTGTGGTCCCCCACCAGCTCCCCCTCCCATAGGGCTGCCCACCAAGCCCTGCCCCCAGCCCAAGAGGAGCCCCCACTGCCTGCGGGGCAGTGATGTCTGGCCACCGGCTCACACCAATGACTTGGTCCTGGGGTGGCAGAAGCAGCAGGTGACAGGAGCAGGGCCCCTGTCCCTCTCTTCTGGCCCTGTGGTACCCAGGCCACACGTTGTGCCCGCTCTTAGGGCTGACCGGCTGCAGGGACCACCAGCCGCTGCTACTGTGGGCCGCCCCGGGGCAGGGTGGGCAGGGCTTTTGTGGGTTATGAGGACACAGAAGTCCCTGAGGCCCCCAGACCTGGCACAGCCAACCTCCTTCCTCCCCCGGTTGCCCCCAACTCTAAAGCCTCCTCCCTCCCAGTGTCCACTGGCTCCAGGCTCCTCACAACAGCAGCTCATAGACACAGGGCGTCTCCAGGTGTCCCAGCCCTCCAGATGTTTCTAGCTCTCCAGATGGGCGCTGTTTTCACGTCTGCCTGCATCCATTCATTCCTTCATTCCTCACCTTTATCCTGTTATCTCTATTTTTTTAAGCTACCAGGAAGGAAAGGGAAGAAGAGATCACGAAACTGGGACCCCCAGAAGGGAGGAGTGGGCTTTGAACTTAGACATCTACCTCAGAGCTCAAATAGGTTGTTTAAAATCACATTCAATTTTCAGATGAAGGGGAACTTTATAGTTTTTTTTGTTTGTTTGTTTTTTTGAGACAGAGTCTCACTCTGTTGCCCAGGCTGGAGTGCAAATGGCTTGATCTTGGTTCACTGCAACCTCTGCCTCCCAGGTTCAAGCAATTCTCTTGCCTCAGCCTCCCGAGTAGCTGGGACTACAGGCGTGTGCCACCACGCCCAGCTAATTCTTGTATTTTTAGTAGAGACGGAGTTTCTCCATGTTGGCCAGACTGGTCTCGAACTCCTGACCTCAGGTGATCTGACCGCCTTGGCTTCCGAAAGTGCTGAGATTACAGTTGCGAGCCACTGTGCATGGCCAGAACTTTATAATAATTAAAAGAGACTTGAAGCTGGGTGTGACGGTGCACACCTCTAGTCCCAGCTACTCGGGAGGCCAAGGCAGAAGGATCACCTTGAGGCCAGGAGTTTAAGGCCAGCCTGGGCAACATAGCAAAACCTAGTCCCTAAAATTAAAAAAAAAAAAAAAAAAAGGAAAATAAAGGAGACTTGAAATTTTTGAACTAAATAGTGGTGATGGCTATACATTGTGAATGTAATTAACACCACTGAGTTAAACACTTAAAATGGTTAAAATGGCAAATTGTATGTTATACCTATTTTACTACAATAAAAAGTATAAAAAAGAGGCAAGATATTTAGGTGACTTACAGCAACCAATTGCAACAAAACAAAATGTTAAGAAATGATCTTTTTATGAGGCAATTGGAAATTTGAACACTGATCAACTATAGGATGATTGGAATTATTAATTTTGTAAAGGTGTGATAAGATACTGCACTTGGCTGGGCACAGTGGCACATGCCTGTAATCCCAGCTACTTGGCAGGCTGAGGTGGGAGAATCGCTTGAGCTCAGGAGTTCGAGACCAGCCTGGGCAATGTGGCGAAATCCCCGTCTTTACAAAAACAAACAAACAAACAAAAAAGATATTGCAGTTGTGTTGTAAGCGTCCTTATCTTTCAGAGCTACATAGTGGAATGTTTATGGAATATTTAGGATAAATGATATACGCATTTGGGATTTGCTGCAAAATGACCCAGAGTCAGGGGTCAGGGGGAGAGGTAGAGATGAGACAAGAGGTAGAGGGGAGAGGTAGAGGTAGCCACGAGCTGATAATTACAGACAAGAGATGCGGAGTATGTGGGGGCTCATTATCCTGCATAGTCTATCTTTGTATATCTTTGAACTTTTCAAGAATAAAAAAGCTTAAAAAGTATACATGGCCTGGTCCTACCAGAGACTCACCCAATGCCAGCCTCCAGCCAGGGAGAGCCAAGTTTGCATTTTCACACGCATCTCACACTCCTCTGCACTCTCAACTTGGAGAGCTCCAAACAGGGAAACCCCAAGCCTTGCTGGCTTCTGCCAACCCCCTGAACAGAAGCATGGGTCCCCCTGATCACCACCTCACCACCCTCATCCTGATCTCACTGTACACAGCAAACCCCAGTGTAATTAACAAGACTGAGGATACCTGTAATCCCAGCACTTTGGGAGGCTGAGGCCGGCAGATCACCTGAGTTCAGGAGTTCGAGACCAGCCTGGCAAACCATGGCCAACATGGCGAAGCCCAGTCTCTACTAAAAACACAGAAATTAGCCAGGTGCGGTGGTGCGCAGCTGTAACCCCTACTACTTGGGAGAATCGGATTGAACCCAGGAGGCGGAGGTTGCAGTGAACTGAGATCGCACCACTGCACTCCAGCCTGGGTGACAGAGTGATTCTCCATCTCAAAAAAAAAAAAAAAAAAAAAAAACCAAGACCGAGGAGAGGAGGGGCAGAGTCTTCCAGAACATCTTTTTTTTTTTTTTTTTTTTTTTTTGAGACAGAGTCTTACTGTGCTGCCCAGGCTGGAGTGGAGTGGAGTGATCATAACTCACTGCGGCCTCCAACTCCTGAAAAGTGATCCTCCTCCCTCAGCCTTCTGAGTAGCTGGGACTACAGGTGTGCACCATCATGCCCAGCTAATTTTTTGTACTTTTGGTAGAGACAGGGTCTCACCATGTTGTCCAGGTTGGTCTCCAACTCCTGGGCTCAAGCCATCCTCCCACTTCAGCCTCCCAGAGTGCTGGGATTACAGGACCACCGCACCCAGCCACAAACACATTCTCAATGCTCATCCAAGCAAGCTCTGAGCCTCCCCTCTTTGTCCTTAGCCTAGGACAGCCCCCAGTGTCCCAGGGCTCAGACATGACCCCTGACCTGGCTGCCCAGCTAGGTTCTGGGGCAGGGCCAGTGGGGCATCTTGTATACCTTGGCTCTTCCAGGAATAGTAGGGAAAGGCAAAGAGGGCTGGGCACAGTGGCTCATGCCTGTAATCCCAGTACTTTGGGAGGCCAAGGTGGGTGGATCACCTGAGGTCAGGAGTTAGAGACCAGCCTGGTCAACATGGTGAAACCCTGTCTCTACTAAAAATACAAAAATTAGCTGGGCATGGTGGCAGGTGCCTGTAATAACTACTTGAGAGGCTGAGGCAGGAGAATTGCTTGAATTCAGGAGGTGGAGGTTGCAGTGAGCCGAGATCGGGCCACTCCACTCCAGCCTGGGTGACAGAGAGACGCTGTCTCAAAAAAAAAAAAAAAAAAAAAAAAAAAAAAAAAAAAAGGTCAAGGGGAAATTAAGATTCAAGGGGCCTGCCCTCTCCCTCTTCCCTATGGCTTTTGGGGCCATACCAACCTTTTCTCCTGGCTGTGGCCTTGGTGGATACCATTTCCCCCATAGGCAGCCCACCAGCCCGACCCCTTAGAGCTTCATAGCCTGCTGTGCTCTGCCGTCCTATGGGCTCCTAAGCCTTTTTGCTGGATTGGGTCCCTCCCCTCCCTTCCTGGCCCAAGGCCCTGGGTCCAGGGACAGCTGAGCCTGATGCAGCCCCTACCCCACCCCAAATCACCAGCACCTGGTTCTCTGGCTACTTCCTTAGGGGTACACAAAAATCCTCATGCCTGTTGGATCTCCTTGGGTTCAAGGACCTACTCTCTAGGAAGTATGGCCTCCAGGGTCTCCTGAGCCTAAATGCAGGCAGTGAAAGGGAAGGAGCCGTGGACTTATTAGGGCTACAAGTGGAAACCTGGATCTTGAGTGCACACACACAGCCACCCTTCTGGCAGCATCCACCATGCCTCTCCTCCCCTCCCCAGATCCTGACCACTGCAGCTGGAAGGGAAGTTAACATCAGTGCATGCCTGGCACTGCCCCCTGGTTCTCCTCTCAGGCCCTGAGCAGAGCTGCCCATAGCCCATCATGCCACATTGTTTCTGGAGGCCACCTGGAAAAGCGAGAGGAGCAGGAGAGGATATACCTTCCATCTGTCCCACAAGTCTATACCACCCCCTCCCAGAGACTTCAAGCCCTGGCATTCAACTGGGTCCTGGGGCAGGTTCCCAGATTTTTGTTTGTTTGTTTGTTTTTGTTTTTGTTTTTGTTTGAGATGGAATCTGGTTCTGTCGCCCAGGCTGGAGGGCAGTGGTGTGATCTCAACTCACTGCAACCTCCACCTCCCAGGTTGAGGCGATTCTCCTGCCTCAGCCTCCTGAGTAGCTGGGATTTACAGGCACACGCCACCACTCCCAGCTAATATTTTGTCTTTTTTTTTTTTGGTAGAGATGGGGTTTCATGGAGTTTCACCATATTGGCCATGCTGGTCTTGAACTCCTGACCTCAGATGATCCTTCTGCCTTAGCCTCCCAAAGTGCTGAGATTACAGGTGTAAGCCACCGCACGTGGCCTATTTTTTTTTTTTTTTGAGACAGAGTCTCCCTCTGTTACCCAGGCTGGAGGATAGTGGAACATTCTCGGCTCACTGCAACCTCTGCTTCCAAGTTCAAGTGATTATCCCACCTCAGCCTCCCGAATAACTGGAATTACAGGTGCCCATCACCACGCCTGACTAATTTTTGTATTTTTAGTAGAGATGGGGTTTCACCATGTTGGCCAGGCTGGTTTTGAACTCCTGAACTCAAGTGATCCGCCCACCTCATCCTCACAAAGTGCTGGGATTACAGGCATGAGCCACCATGCCCAGTCCCAGATGTCTTGAGGATCTGATTGGACCCCCAGGCAGATATCTGCAGCCCAGGGGGCTGGTGTTCACCACAGGGCAGGGCAGGCACCCTGGGAAGGCTTGAGTGGACCCAGCTCACCCAGTACCTGTTTCTCTCAACCTCTTAGGAAATCTGAACAGGTATGCAGCAACCACCTCCGGACAAGCCCTTTTCAAAGTATAATTTTCAAACATGTAAAAAAGATGACTCATATATATCATGAACACATATCAAAGATCTACTACGCACCAATTCAGAAAAAGAGTGGGAACTCTGATTCATGGATCATTCTGAGAAGCTGGGTACATGTATTTCATGTATTTGTAAGCATTCTTTTGTTTCGTTTTGTTTTGTTTTTGAGACGGGGTCTCGCTCTGCCACCCAGGCTGGAATGCAGTGGTGCAGTCATAGCTCACTGTAGCCTCTTCCTCCTGGGCTCAAGCAATCCTATTGCTTCAGCCTCCCAAGTAAATGGAACTACAGGCACACACTACTATGCCCTGCTGATTTTTTAAATTTTTAGTAGAGACAAGATCTTGCTATATTGCCCAGGCTAGTTTCAAACTCCTGGGCTCAGGCAATCCTCCCTCAGCCTCCCTAAGTGCTGGGACTACAGATGTGAGCCACTGTGCCTGGCCTGTAAACACTTTAAGAGAAGAATGCTAGAATAAGATTGTGATATTACATACGAAAGTGGTTAATTAATGAAGTTTTCTTTTCTTTTTTTTTTTTTTGTTTTTTGTTTTTTTTTTGAGACGGAGGCTCATTCTGTCGTCCAGGCTGGAGTACAGTGGTGCGATCTTGGCTCACTGCAACTTCTGCCTCCCGGGTTCAAGCAATTCTCCTGCCTCAGCCTCCCGAGTAGCTGGGATTACAGGTGCTCACTGCCATGCCCAGCTAATTTTTGTATTTTTAGTAGAGATGGGGTTTCACCTTGTTGGCCAGGATGGTCTCCATCTCCTGACCTCGTGATCCGCCCACCTCGGCCTCCCAAAGTGCTGAGATTACAGGTGTGAGCCACTGCGCCCGGCCATGAAGTTTTCTTTTCTACGGGATAGAAACCCACAAGCTAATAAGTAACTTCAGTGTCTGGGCTGTAACCAAACAATAAATAGCAAAGTCAACACAGGCACAATCCCCAAGATTAGGATCAGCAAACGTTTTCTGTAAAGGACCAGACATGCAGCTCTCAGTCACAACCACCATGCCATGTAGCATGAAAGCAACCACAGCCAATGTGTAACAAATTAGCATGGTATGTGTGGCCAGGGGCAGGGCTCATGCCTATAATCCCAGCACTTTGAGAGGCCAAGGCGAGAAGATTGCTTGAGGTCAGGAGTTCGAGACCAGCCTAGGCAATAAAGTTGGACCCCATCGCTACAAAAAGTAAAAAGAAAAAAACTAGCAGGGCGCCATGGTGCCTGCCTGTGGTCCCAGGTACTGGGGAGGCTGAGGCAGGAGGACTGCTTGAGCCCGGGAGCTTGAAGCTGCAGTGAGCTATGATCTCGCCACTGCACTCCAGCCTAGACAACAGAGCCGAGATCATGCCACTGCACTCCAGCCTGGGCGACAGAGCGAGATGCTATCTCAAAAAAAAAAAAAAAGTGATAAGGGTAATAATTCCCTGAGGATATAACCTCCACACTTCTGGGTCACCCTGGAAAAGCTTGGGTCAAGGATGCTACCCTTGGCTAGGAACAGTGGCTCACGCCTGTAATCCCAGTACTTTGGGAGGCTGAGTGCAGTGGCGCAATCTCAGCTCACTGCAACCTCCGCCTCCCGGGTTCAAGCGATTCTCCTGCCTCTGCCTCCCAAGTAGCTGGGATTACAGGTGCCCACCACCACGCCCGACTAATTTTTTGTATTTTTAGTAGAGATGAGGTTTCACCATGTTGGCCAGGCTGGTCTCGAACTCCTTACCTCAAGTGATCTGCCTGCCTCAGCCTCTCAAAGTGCCAAAGTGCTAGGATTACAGGCGTGAGTCACCGCACCCAGCCTACCCATATCACTTTCTGTTCCTCAGCAGTTAAAGAGGTGCCCACCCACTTCGCCTGGAAAGTCAGATTCTGTGTGGGGCTGTTGCAGAATGAGATTTCCTCCTGCCAGGGTGCAAGAACTCAAGTAGGAAATGGGCCTTCCCAGAAGGGGTAGATGCTCCAGATTTCCTCAGCACTGTAGCTGCTGCCCAGCCTTGGAGAAACAGCTGCCAAACTGTTAGGGCTCTGGTAGCTCCCCTGAGACCCCAGTCCCTGTTGCTTCAAACAGCTTAAGGAGGGCCTTTATGCTAAACTGTAGTCTGCAAAACAACCAAACCAAAAAGGGTAAGATACACTTATCCACCTGTAGGGTCCAGCCCCACAGGGTCGGTGGGTTTCTCTCCGTGTGCAGAGACGAGAGAGTGCAGAAATGAAGACACAAGACAAAGAGATAAAAGACAGCTGGGCTGGGGGGACCACTACCACCAAGATGCAGAGACCGGTAGTGGCCCTGAATGCCAGGCTGCGCTGATATTTATTGGATACAAGACAAAGGGGCAGGATAAGGAGTGAACCATCTCCAATGATAGGTAAGGCCACATGGGTCACGTTTCCACTGGACAGGGTGCCCTTCCCTGCCTGGCAGCCAAGGCAGAGAGAGAGAGGAGAAAGAGAGAGAGAGACAGCTTACACCATTATTTCTGCTTATCAGAGACTTTTAGTACTTTCACTAATTTGCTACTGCTATCTAGAAGGCAGAGCCAGGTGTACAGGATGGAACATGAAGGTGGACTAGGAGCGTGACCACTGAAGCACAGCATCACAGGGAGACGGTTAGGCCTCCGGGTAACTGTGGGCGGGCCTGTGGAGGAGCAGAGTCTTCTCTAAACTCCCCCGGGGAAAGGGAGACTCCCTTTCCCGGTCTGCTAAGTAGCGGGTGTTTTTCCTTGACACTAACGCTACCGCTAGACCACGGTCGGCTTGGCAACAGGTGTCTTCCCAGATGCTGGCGTTACTGCTAGACCAAGGAGCCCTCTGGTGGCCCTGTCCGGGCATAACAGAAAGCTCGCACTCTTTGTCTTCTGGTCACTCCTCACTGTCCCCTCAGCTCCCATCTCTGTATGGCCTGGTTTTTCCTAGGTTATGATTGTAGAGCGAGGATTATTATAATATTGGAATAAAGAATAATTACTACAAACTAATGATTAATGATTCATATATAATCATATCTAAGATCTATATCTAGTATAACTATTCTTATTTTATATATTTTATTATACTGGAACAGCTCATGCCCTCGGTCTCTTGCCTCGGCACCTGGGTGGCTTGCTGCCCACATCCACCAACTGCACTTTGGGAGGCTGAGGCTGGAGGACTGCTGGAGGCCAGGAGTTCAATACCAGCCTGGGCAACATACGGAGGCCACCCCCCCACAACCATCTCCAAAAAAAAAAAAAAAATAGCTAGGTGTGATGGCACATGCCTGCAGTCCTAACTATCGGGAGGCTGAGGCAGGAGGATCTCTGGAGCCCAGGAGTTGGAGGCTGCATGATGGCGCCACTGTACTTCAGCCTGGGCGACAGAGGGAGACACTGTCTCTAAATAATAATAATAATATATAAAAAGATATACGTAACCCTACGGGCTCCCCTCTCACTGCTGTATACACCTGCCTCCTTCTGCATCCCTCACCCAATTGTCCCTCCCGGCTAACAAGCCAGCTGCACCCCCCAGGCAGAGGTCCTGCAGCAGTCGGTATAGGCAGCCTGGGCAGGGGGCTTATCATAGATCTGCCTCTAGCCACGAGATCTTCTGCTCCCCCTACGGCTGCTAGCGGCAGCTGTCCACTACCCCTTAGCTTTATTCTCTCTATTCAGGGGCCTCCTGCTGCGCACTCCAAGGGGGTGCACGTTTCCAAAGAGAGATCAAGGGACATGGGGAAAGGAGAAAGGTACAGCTTGAGGTTCCCGCTCAGCCAGGACTAGGAGGCCTCTGTAGGGGCAGAACAGCCCTCCCGGCGCTCTGAGCATGCGCCGAAAAGCGCCCACGGGGGAAAGCCAAGCCGGGGTGCGGGTGGGGGCGGTGCGCTCGCCACTGACGCATGCACAGAGGCACTGGCCTCTCTCGGGGTTTTCTCGCGCCTGCGCAAGATCCTCCAGCCCGAAAGGGGGCGATGAGCCGATCCTTGCGCGGGTTTGCCCCGCCGGAGTAATCCGGAAGAGGCCTCTTATTAGGGCTCTGGTGGCGGCGGCGGCAGACACTTGGGGTCTGGACGCAACGGAGGCGGGAGCGTGAACGCCCCTCCAGCCTTCGAGTCGTTCTTGCTCTTCGAGGGCGAGAAGAAGTAAGTGACGCCGGCTGCGGCGGGCCGAGGTGCGCGGGCCTGCGGCTGTCGCATTCTGGGGTGTCTCCTGCCCATCTCTTGCCCCTGGAGGGAAACAGCTTTTGCTTGATCGTCCGCTCGGCCTGTGTCAGCCAAATTTAAGGCCGTTCCGCGAGGCAGTCGCGAGTGTGTCCATTTTGCAGATGAGGACACTGAGGCTTGGAGGCGAGCAAGTTGCCCCGGACACAGGAAGTGGCGGCGCTTGTATTCGAACCCAGAGTGTCTGGTTCTCCATAGCCCTTTTCCTCTGGGATCTGGCAGCTTCCTCTTTTGTCTCTCGCCCTCCACCTCCATCCTTCATCCCCTCCGATCTGTCAGCGGCCTGCGTAAAAGCCGCAGTGGCTCCTCGCTGCCTGCGGGTTGAAGGAGTCCAGGGGAGAGAGCTTGGGCTCACTCTGTATCTGTGGGCGAGTGGCTTGATATGTCGGAGCCCTGTTTCCTCATCTGGAAAATGAGTTTATTACTGTACTTAAACGTGGGATTCAGGCCGGGTGCGGTGGCTGACACCTGTAATCCCAGCACTTTGGGAGCCCGAGGCGGGCGGATCACCTGAGGTCGGGAGTTCAAGACCAGCCTGACCAACATGGAGAAACCCTGTCTCTACTAAAAATACAAAATTAGCCGGGCGTGGTGGCAGATGCCTGTAATCCCAGCTACTCAGAAGGCTGAGGCAGGAGAATCACTTAAACCTGGGAAGTGGAGGTTGAGGTGAGCGGAGATCACGCCATTGCACTCCAGCCTGAGCAACGGGAGCGAAACTCCGTTTCAAAAAACAAAAAAAGGGATCTGGCCAGGTGCGCTGGTTCACGCTTTTAATCCCGGCACTTTGGGAGGCTCAGGTGGGAGGATTGCTTGAGCACAGGAGTTCCAGGCTGCAGTGAGCTTTGATCGCATCACTGCACTCCAGCCTGGGCGACTGAGCGCAATCCTGTCTCAAAATAAAAAGAATTGGATGAGGTAATTTGTGTAAAACTCTTGGTCCAAAGCTCAGCACCTGGAAAACCTCATAACCATTGGCTCTTATTGTTCCCAGGTTGGCATGCAGAGGTCTTGGTCTGGCCCTTGCCAGCCACTTCGGCCTCCTTTAGAGCAGACTCTCAACTGGGGACCATTTGGTCCACAAGGGACATGTGGCAATAACTGAGAACATTATTGGTTGTCAAAGGGGGTTATGACTGGAATCTACTGGATAGAGGTCAGGGATGCTGCTGATGTCCTACAATGTCCACAAGACAGCACCCCACAGGAAAGAATGATGCACCCTAAAATGTGTGTGGTGTCAGCCTGGAGAAACCACCTTAGAAAAAAGGATATTCAACTTGATACCTCTCACCTGTGTGAGATTTTACTGTCAGCATAGTTGCCCTCAAATTGAGTGTGCATTAGAATCACCTGAAGGGCTTCTTAAACCATAGATCCCTGCGCCCCACCTCCAGAGTTCTGGGTCCAGTAAGTGGGAGGTGGGAGACTCTAACAAGTTCCCAGGGGATTCTGATGCTGCTTATCTGGGAACTGCACTCTGAAAACCCCTTGTCTTGGAAAATCCAATGGAAGTTTCCTGTCTTTGTCCATCTAAGCGTTCACTAAAATCATAGTAAATGCCAGAGCATGACTTGTTTTGGGGAATGGATGGAAGGACTGCACACTCCAGCCAGGGGGATGGTTGCTTTCGGAACTCACAGGGTCAGGACCAGCCTCACCGTGTAACTTCAGGGCCTCTCTTCTTCACCTTTTGGTTGCTTCATTATGTTGGCATAAGAAAAAAGGAACAGGCCAGGCATGATGACGTGTGCCTGTGGTCCCAGCTACTCAGGAGGCTAAGGCGGGAGGATCACTTTAGCCGAGGAGTTGGAGGCTTCAGTGGGCTATGATCACACCACTGCACTCCAGCCTGGGCAGCAGGAGAGATCATTTGAGGCGAGGAGTTCAGGACCAGCGAGGACAACAAGGCAAAACCCCATCTCTACCGGAAAAAAAAAAGGAGGAATTCAGAAAAGGCCAAGGTTCCATAGACCTGGGGTAGCAGGAAGTAGGGGACCGGGTTGGCGAGGCCTTTATGGGATGAAGAGATTGAGAAAGGCCTTCAGGAAGAGGCAGAGCTTATTTTTCCTTTTTATTTTTATATTTTTGATACAGAGTTCCACTCTGTTGCCCAGGCTGGAGTGCAGTGGCATGATCTCGGCTCACTGCAACTCCACCTCCCAGGTTCAAGTGATTCTCCTGCCTCAGTCTCCCAAGTAGCTAGGACTACAGGCATGGATCACCACACTCAGCTAATTTTTTTTTTTCTTTGTATTTTTAGTACAGACAGGGTTTTGCCATGTTGGGCAGGCTGGTCTTGAACTTCTGACCTCAGGTCATCCATCCACCTCAGCCTCCCAAAGTGTTGGGATTACAGGCACGAGCCACCACACCTGGCCGGGAGGAGACAGGGTTTAGACTCAGGGTGGGAGGAGGGGAGCCCCTGCTCCTCATCTGTGGCCTCTGTGTCTTCCTAGGATCACCATTAACAAGGACACCAAGGTACCCAATGCCTGTTTATTCACCATCAACAAAGAAGACCACACACTGGGAAACATCATTAAATCGTAAGTTTCCCGTCACAGGCTCTCAGGGGCTGTGTTTAATGGGCCCCTCTGGGCAAAGCACAAGTTCCAAGTCTTCCTCAGTCTCTCTGAGCTACAGGAAGTCCTTCTGGGGGCTTGCTCTGGGCATTTTATAACCTTGGTACCTTTTTATCAAAATGACACCGACCTCCATGTCTTCACATAAGCCACGCTTCTGTAGTGGCTTATTCTGTAGATGAACACGTGCATTTACATTCACTGTTTTTTTGTTTGTTTGTTTTTGAGATGGAATTTTCTCTCTTTGTTGCCCAGGCTGGAGTGCAATGGCACGATCTTGCTCACTGCAACCTCCGCCTCCCGGGTTCAAGTGATTCTCCTGCTTCAGCCTTCCTAGTAGCTGGGACTACAGGCCCACGCCACGATGCCCGGCTAATTTTTGTGTTTTTAGTAGAGACGGGGATTCACTGTGTTGGCCAGGCTGGTCTCGAACTCCTGACCTCAGGTGATCCACCTGCCGGCTTCCCAAAGTGCTGGGATTACAGACGTGAGCTACTGTGCCCGGCCTTACATTCACCATTAAGTGCACATTCTGTAAATGAACGAGCAGCAGATTCCAGCACAGTAGGCCTGTGTGTTATTCATGCTGAGGGACATTGAAAAGCAGTCAAGATTAGCTCCCCTCATGCCACCCGTTTGTGACCTCAGTGCCACCTGGGCCTCTAAGATGTATGTGGCAGAGACTAGAACTTCTATTTAACAAGAGAAAGAAGTAGGAGTTCTGTGGCTATCCAGTGCCCCTAATGGGCGCCCTGCATTGGTTGGTGGGTGTTTGTTTATACCAGTGAGGTCCTAGCCAGGTGGTTGGTCAGGGATGTGTCTGCCATTCTGGCCTAGGGACTTGTCATTTTACTGTAGACTTGGCTCTTCCCTCTGGTGCCACCAGCGAAGCCAGGCTTTTCCCCGTCTGTGAGTGGGGTCTGCCCAGTCTCCTGGTGTGGTCAGGCACGGGGATGGAGGACTCCTGCCCGGAGCCCAGCCAGTGGGGCACCCAAGCTCTCCTGGGGCCCTGCTGCTCCCCTGCTCTTGAGCTCAGTGTTGCCACCTATGCACGGGTCCCCCTTGTGGTGCTCACACCACTCTGAGCCGCTCTAGAGGAGACCCCTGCATGCCCAGGGCACAGTACACGACGCAGCCCCATGGCACAAGGCCCAGTGTGCGTGGCCAGCCGCTGGCGGCTGTGCTGCTCGGAGGGCAGAGTTCCATTTGCATTCCACTCACTGCCGGGAGCTGGCCCTCCTCTCCTGCTGCCTTTATTTGCTGCGTGGAGGCTCTTTGTGGGCTTTTTGGGTCTGAGTCACTGAACACTGGCTGGACATTCACTGCCTGGGAGATCTCTTTGCCAGCACTGCGGTGCCCGGTGGGAAGAGGTTGCTGGAATCTGTTTCCAGCTCGGGTCCTTCAACCTCATGGATGCAGGGTGTGTGTGTGTGGCGGGGGTAGGGTGTCCCCACATGAGGTATCTTCCTAAAAGTGTTACTTTCCTTGAAGACTTTTGGGAAAAAAAGTTGGGGGGGATTTTTGGCTAGAAAGTCTGTTCTTCTGCTCTGATCTGGCTGCTACCCAGCTTGGGCATGAGGCTAGACCCTCACACTGTCTGTCCCTGGACCTCAGACAGTGTGACCTAAAGGACCCGCAAGTGCTATTTGCTGGCTACAAAGTCCCCCACCCCTTGGAGCACAAGATCATCATCCGAGTGCAGACCACGCCGGACTACAGCCCCCAGGAAGCCTTTACCAACGCCATCACCGACCTCATCAGTGAGCTGTCCCTGCTGGAGGAGCGCTTCCGGGTGAGGGCGGGGCCTGGAGGGGCAGACGGGGTGGGCTGGACACTGGCCCGTGTGCCCAGGCCTGGGACAGCCCTGGCCTGTTTCTTCGGAGGTCCTGGGGGAGAGGCGGCGGTGATGGAAGAGCAGGGACTTCCACCACAGGCTCCAGGACATGTGGACTGAGGGGCTGTGGAGTCTGGGCCTGTGGCTCCCGTCTGCCCCATGGGACTTCTGTAGTGCTGCAGGGTCCCTCGGGTGCTGTGGGCCAGATCAGGGCGGGGACCTACTGTCCTTTGGGGGTGCTCTTCTATGTCCCTTGTCGGTGATTGGCAAGGCCTGGTCCTTCCAGGCCTCTGGGAGGCAGCTCACACCAGGGTGGCCCACACCTGTTCCTGGCAGGGCGCCTGGGAATCTAGAACAGTTTAGAGGGGAAAGAGCCACAGCAAAGAAAAGCCGAGGCAGGGTGATCACGAGGTCAGGAGTTCAAGACCAGCCTAGCAAACATGGTGAAGCCCTGTCTCTACTAAAAATACAAAAATTAGCTAGGCATGGTGTCATGTGCTGTAGTCCCAGCTACTCAGGAGGCTGAGGCAGGAGAATCGCTTGAACCCGGGAGGCGGAGGTTGCGGTGAGCCGAGATTGTGCCACTGCACTCCAGCCTAGGTAACAGAGCAGGACTCCATCTCAGTCAATCAATCAATCAATCAATCTCAGCGGTTGAACTACCCTTGACATGGTTCAGCTCTGTATCCACACCCAAATCTCATGTCAAATTGTAATTCCCAGTGTTGTGGGAGGGACCTGGTGGGAGGTGATTGGCTCATGGGGGCCGACTTCCCCCTTGCTGTTCTCGTGATATTGAGTGAGCGCTTGTGGGATCTGGTTGTTTAAAAGCTTGCAGCCCTCCCACTTCACTCTCTCTGTCTCTCCTGCTCCAACATGGCCAGACGTGCCTGCTTCCCCTTCGCCTTCTGCCGTGATTGTCAGTTTCCTGAGGCCTCCCCAGCCACGCTTTCTGTACAGCCTGCAGAACTGTGAGTCAATTAAACCTCTTTTCTTCATAAATTACCCAGTTTCTCATAATTCTTTATAGCAGTGTGAAAACAGACTAATGGACCCTTCTGGTTGAAGGAATGCAGCCATTCTGCTTGTTTGACTATGTCCTTTCTGTTCATCTCTATTTCCTGGGAGGTGTTTATCCAAGTGCAATAGGAGGTATTGGTGACCGCACAGTCCCCTCAGTGTTCTGCTAGTAAATAGTTGAAGGTTGATCCTTGATCTCCTGCGTTTTCAGTCTGGCATGGAAAAGCCCCCGTGCAACTGGTAAAGATATCAATAAGCACCAGGAGGTATCTAAATCCACCAGGAGCCATAGGCATCACGTTGACGTCCATTTACCAGTCTTCCCTGGCAAGATTCTTCTGAATTGTGCTGCCTTGGCCAAAAGAGGTATGGGAGGGGCTGGGCGCAGTGGCTTGTGCCTGTAATCCCAACATTTTGGGAAACCAATTCAGGTGGATCATTAGAGGTCAGGGGTTCAAGACCATCCTGGCCAACATGGTGACATCCCATCTCTACTAAAAATACAATAAGTTAGCTGGGTTTGGTGTTGGGTGCCTGTAATCCCAGCTACTCGAGAGGCTGAGGCAGGATAATCGCTTGAACCTGGGAGGAGGAGGTGGCAGTGAGCTGAGATCGTGCCATTGCACTCCAGCGTGGGCAACAAGAGTGAAACGTCGTCTCAAAAAAAAAAAGTCCGGGCGTGATGGCTCACACCTGTAATCCCAGCACTTTGGGAGGCCAAGACGGGTGGATCACGAGGTCAGGAGTTCAAGACCAGCCTGGCCTAGATGGTGAAACCCTGTCTCTACTAAAAATACAAATATTAGCTGGGCATGGTGGCATGCACCTGTAATCTCAACTACTCAGAGGTCTGATGCAGGAGAATTGCTAAAACCCAGGAGGGAGAGGTTACATTGAGCCGAGATTGCACCACTGCACTCTAGCCTGGGCGACAGAGCAAGACTCCATCTCGAAAGAAAGAAAGAGAAAGGAAATTCCCCAGGGAAGTACCTTGGCTGATTTCATAAACAGGTACTGAAGGAAGCAGAGGCATGTGGAGGACTTCCCCAGCTCATGCAGCTATTTGGGCCGTGGCGTCTGAAATTTATTATTTCAGAGTCACCCCTTTGATGACCTTAGCAGTGGACTGCAGTCATCTGTTTAGGCCTCTCCATGGCCCACGTCAATGCCGCTATTTCTGTTTGTTGCACATTTGATTTCCTTGTTGTTGGCATTTAGAAGGCCCCCTGTTTCCCAGATCACACCACGGGCATGGACCACAGAGATTGCATCTTGTGAGTCTGTAGAAATGGTCAAGGCCTTGTCCTCTCTTAGGTCCAGAGCTCAGGTTAATGCAGATTTTCCCGGCCGTCTGTGCTGAAGTCCCTGTGGGGAGGCTCCTGGCTGGTTTCCTGTAGGTAGACAGCTACACGTCCTGCCCTTCATTGGCTTCTTTTCATGAAGCTCCTGCCATCTACAAAACATGTCTCCCTTCTTGAATCACATCTCTGTTATTGAAACTCTAGAAGTCGACCGGGCATGGTGGCTATGCCTATAATCCCAGCATTTTGGGATGCCAAGGCGGGTGGATCACCTGAGGTCAGGAGTTCAAGACCAGCCTGGCCAACATGGCGAAACCCCGTCTCTAATACAAATACAAAAATTACCCAAGCATGGTGGCCACTGTACTCCAGCCTGGGCGACAGAGCAAGACTCCGTCTCAAAAAAAAAAAAAAAAGAAAAAAAGAGAAAGAAAGTATCATGCTTTTCTGCATTCTGTGAATTGTTTTAGTGAGTTATCGAACTTGAGGGCATGGTGGGAACCTCCAAATTTGCAGCCAGTTGGTGAGAAGTACATGTGGTCTGAGGACACCCAAGCCTGCAGGTGTGTCTAAAGCGAGGGCAGCCTAGTGGGGGCTGGTGGCCTTAACCTGTGGCATTTGAGGTAACATCAGGGAGTTGACATCAGAATTGCATCACATAGGCTGGGCGCGGTGGCTCACGCCTGTAATCCTAGCACTTTGGGAGGCCAAGGTGGGCAGATCATGAGGTCAGGAGATCGAGACCATCCTGGCTAACACAGTGAAACCCCGTCTCTACTAAAAATACAAAAAATTAGCCAGGCATGGTGGTGGGCGCCTGTAGTCCCAGCTACTCGGGAGGCTGAGGCAGGAGAATGGCGTGAACCCAGGAGGCGGAGCTTGCATTGAGCCAAGATCACGCCACCGCACTCCAGCCTGGGTGACAGAGCGAGACTCCATCCCCAAAAAAAAAAAAAAAAAAGACAACAGAATTGTGTCACAGGCCAGATGCAGTGGCTCATGCTTATAATCCCAGCAATTTGAAAGGCAAGGTAAGAGGATCGCTTGAGCTTGAGTCTGAGGCCGCAGTGAGCTATGACCACACCACTGTACCCCAGTCTGGGTGACAGCACAAGACCCCAACTCCAAAAAGAAAAAAGAAAAATCACAAAGAATTGCATGGCAGAGTGCCTTTCACAGCTTTAACTGCTGCAGGAACTTTCTTTTTTTTTTTTTTTTTTTTGAGAGGGGGTGAGGAGACACAATCTCTGCTAGTGATTCTCCTGCCTCAGCCTCCCAAATAGCTGGGATTATAGGCGTGCACCACCACGCCTGCCTAATTTTTGTATTTTTAGTAGAGACAGGGTTTCACCATGTTGGCCAGGCTGTTCTCAAACTCCTGCTGAGATCATGGGCGTGAGCCACCACGCCCGGCCACCTTTAGAGTTTTCTTACCACCTGGTTTTCCTCTCTCAATATCTTTCTCTCATTTCCTGCCTTAAAACTCTAGCTTGGCATCTGGGCGCAGTAGCTCATGCCTGTAATCCCAGCACTTTGGGAGGCCGAGGTGGGTGGATCACTTGAAGTCAGGAGTTCGAGACCAGCCTGGCCAACATGGTGAAACCTTGTCTCTACTATTTTTACAAAAGTTAGTCGGACGTACAGACGGGTGCCTGTAGTCCCAGCTGCTTGGGAGGCTGAGGCAGGAGAATTTGTTTGAACCCAGAGGTGAAAGTTGCAGGGAGCCGAGGTTGTGCCACTGCACTGCAGCCTGGGAGACAGAGCAAGACTCTGTCTCCAAAACAAACAAACAAACAAAAAAACCCTGTAGCTTGGGATCAGCCTTCTCTTCTATTGTTTTTCTTTAAAAAATAAAAATTAAAAATAGATGTAGATGCTATGTTGCTGAGGCTGGCCTCAAACTCCTGGCCTCAGGTGATCCTCCCGCCATGACCTCCAAAACTGCAGGGATTGTAGGTGTGAGCACTGCACCCAGCCTTATGTTTTTTTCTACATAAAAAACGGCACAGGATTATCTTTCAGAGCTAATAAATATGTTCAAATAACCACAACCCCATTAAGGAAAAATATCACTGGGCAGCAAATAATCAATCCAGACCAATATGATCACAATTGCTGTGAAGGTGAGAAAAGTTCATTTTTATTACGTTTCCCCAAGAGACACACTCTATTGTTCTCTTGAAAACACACAGCTCATGTCCTCCTTTAGAACACACATCCTCTTTAAAGTAACATACAAACATGCCAAATCAAGGTAAAAAATTACATCTGAATTCTCACATTTCAAACATAGATGAAATATCAAATAAAAATTTATTTTTACAAGAATTTAGGGGAACTACTACATAGCTATAAATGTAATATATATGTTAACTAAGTATCATAGATAAAAACCATGCTCCCTTCAGCAGCACGTGTAATAATAGATACAAAGATTGAAAGGTAAAAGATTTAGGATGAAAAGAATCCTCTCTTAAAAAGGAAAACAAAATTATATGTATGTGTATATAACAGTTATAATACCATCACACAGCTTTATAGAAACAGCATCTATTCAAAAATACCAGTATTTCCAAAATATTTAAAATAATATTTAAAGTAATAATAACATTTAAATAAATAAATATATTTAATAAATATTTAAATAAATAAAATAATATTTAAATAATTCTATACCCATGTTTTTCAAAATAAACCAATAAAATAGTATATATTAGACGTGTTAGTATATATATCTGACACATGTTAAAAATCACAACTGAATTCTCACAATTCAGTCACAAACCTAAACAGCAAATAAAAATTTCTATCGTCAGAATTTAGGGGAACTACCAATAGCTATAAATAGAAGAGATTATTATGGAAGTATCATAGATAAAAAGAGTGCTCGCTTCAGGAGCACATATAATAATACAGAAACAAATTTAAAGATGATAAAATATTTAGGATAAAAAGAATTGTCTCAAAAATGAAAAGAAAATTATCTTTATGTATATATAACAACTATAACTCTCATCAAAAAACTACAGGAACAGCATGTTTTCAAAAGTACAACAATTTCCAAACTATTTGAAATAAATCTATGAATAATTCAATGGCCAACATTTTCCAAACAAACCAATAAAATGCAGAGTGTGCATGAAGCTATCTGTTACAATCTGTGGCACTGATATTTCACAAAAGAATTCTGTGCCAATCTGAGCCCCTGCATTGTGCCTTCAAATGCTCCTGGACTGTGGCAACCAAGTCCGTAAGAAACAGGACCTCCAGGTTCCGCCCCAGGGAGGTTGGAATTCAGCAATATAAAAAGGGTGGTGGTGCCCCAGGAAAGGGTGGAACTGGAAACACTCCTGGTTTCTTACTTTTCTCCAAGGACTCCTAGAAGGACCCCATCCCCCTCCCCCCACCCCTGCTCCTAGGAGGACAACGTGATCACTGTATTCAGCTCCATCAAGAATGGTCCAGGTTCTTCTAGATGATCTGCACAAATGGTTCCTCTCCTCCTTCCTGGTGTCTGCCATTAGCATTGGAATAAAGTTCCTGCTGAAAATCCACATCTCCCCTGGGTCCGGTGTTCTGGAAGGGAGAGAGACAATGTCACACTTCAAGGAGGCAGCTCTCTAGACAGGAAGGTTATTCACATCCCATGTCAAGTCTAGAGTTCAGAGCAATTGAGAAATGCAATTTTATCTGCTGCCTTTCATTCTATACCCTGCTTCTGAACCATCGTGTTCAACTGTGAAACTCACACTTTGGTGACCATGACTCCAAAACTCACTTAATACACCCAAGGTCAGCCCCAGTGATCTGCTTCATAGCAAGGACTTTGGGTGGGTCTGCCCAGGGAGTAGGGCACCCTCAGAGAATGTGGCTTTGGACTTCATCACAGCTGAGGCCTTTTGTGTCACTTAAGATCTAAACTTGTAACCATGCTAGATGTGTTTCTAATGTGACAACATCACGAACCACAAGTCCAGAAGCCTAATCCTTAATCCTACCTCCTCATGATGAAGTCTCATGCTCTGTGCTCAACGTGGTTAGCTGCACAAGATGTAAACCAAAGCTTCACTGAACCCTCGACCCAAATCGGTAACTCAAGTGCGTCAATCATAATGAACCTCCCCAAACTCAGTATTTATGATTATTTTTGAGGCAGGGTCTCACTCTGTCGCCCAGACTGGAGTGCAGTGGCAGGATCAGGGCTCCGTGCAGCCCCGACCTTCCAGGCTCCAGCAATCCTCCCGCCTCGGCCTCCTGAGTAGTTGGGAGTAGAGATGCGTCCCACATTGCCTGGCTAATTTTTGTATTTTTGTGGAGAGGGGATCTCGCCACGTTGCCCAGGCTTGAAGCCGGATCAAGCAATTGGGTTCTTCGGATTTCCGAAATAGACCCCAATATTCTGCCTTTACCCCGGAGGATGCAGATGTACCTTCTCTCAGGCCGATGACCTCAGGCCTCCACGGTCCCTGGAGCTCTAGGAAAGGCGAGCGCGATCTCGCGCCCACACCCAGTGCTCTGGGTCATAAGCCTGGATCTGGAAAAACAAACGCCCTTTGAGAAGACGGGGACTCGCCAGGATACCCCTCTCTCCCCTCATCCAGCCTCCAGCCCACCCAATTCCTCCCCACCTCCTCCACCTCCCCAGGCCCCACTCACCTCCTCCAACTCCTCTGGGGAAACCCAAGCCCTGCAGCTCATGGAACAGAAGAAGTGGAACCGACGTTTCTGGAACAGGACTATCTGAGAGCGGTTCTTCCTGGCCCTCGGGTTCATGCAACGGCGTAACTGGAACCGACGCTTACGGACCAAGGGTATGTGAGAGCGGTTCTTCCTGGCCCTCGGGTTCATGGAACGGTATAACTGGAACCGACGCTTACGGAGCAAGGGTATGCGAGAGCGGTTCTTCCCATACAGGAAGTGGAAGATGTTTTGTTTGGAGTCCTCGTCGTCCTCCTCCATGTCATTGGCCAGGTAGCTGAGGACAGGAATCAGGTTGCTGCTCAGGGGCACCACCAGGAGAGACCTCCGGCTGAGGTCAGCTTCCCAGAGAGGAAGGTAAGGGACCGTTCCTAGCTCAGGACTGGCACCCACCCTGCAGAGAGCCATGCCTTCCTCAGGAGGGCTCTGCTGGACAGAGACCTGATCAAGAGCGTCTCCCACTCCTTCAGGATGGAGACAAAAACCCAACTGGTGGCCAAGAGTGGTGGCTTACGCCTGGAATCCCAGCACATTGGGAGGCCAAAGCAGGAGGATCACTTGAGGCCAGGAGTTTGAGACGAGCCTGGGCAACATAGCAAGACCCTCGTCTCTATTAAAAATATAAGAAATATGCCAGACACGGTGGCTCATGCCTGTAATCCCAGCACTTTAGAAGGCTGAAGCAGGTGGATCGCTTGAGACCAGGAGTTGGAGACCAGCCTGGTCAACACGGAGAAACCCCATCTCTACTAAAAATACAAAAATCAGCCTGGTGCGATGGCACACCTGTTAGGCCTAGCTACTCAGGAGGCTGAAGCATAAGAATTGTGTGAACCCAGGAGGCGGAGGTTGCAGTGAGTTGAGATTGGGCCACTCCATTCCAGCCTGAGAGGCGGAGCAAGACTCTGTCTCAATAAACAAACAAACAAACAAACTGTCCAGGTGTGGTGGCACAGCCCTGTAGTCGGAGCTAATAAAGAAGCTGAGGTGGGAGGATCGCTTGAGCCCAGGATATGGAGGCTGCGGTGAGCTATGATCTCACCACTGCACTCCAGCTTGGGGGACAGGGCAAGTCTGTCTCAAAAAAATAAAAGAAATTGAATACATTGATATTTTGCCAGGACCCTGCCTTCTACAGGCATCTAGTCTAATGGGACTGGGAGTAATCAAGGCAGATGACCTAATCCCAGTGTCCAGGATGTAACTAGAGAGCTACGGGCATGCAGAAGTTGGAAGATGAGGGAAGGCATCACAGAGGCTGTGGGGTGAACTGACTTCAAGGAATGGGTCCTTCCCTTCAGAGCCACATGTATGCGGGACACCCAGACAGAAAACACAAACACAAAGTCGAGTGGAGGGCATTTGGAAGGAGCAGTGAAGCCGAGCCAGGAAATACCAAGATGGCGAGCCAGTGTGCTTGTAGAGATTGTAGAGAGGGTAGAATTGATACTGTGGACCCTGGCCTCGATAGAGAAAGGCATCAGCTAAGGAAGTTGTTCAGGTGGGCAGTGAGGTTGTCGTGCTTTGGAAAGATGTTCAGGCTGCACTAGGAAGCCCCCTGGCTTGGGGAGAGACTCCAGGAGACCCCAGCGGGGAGCATTTGACAGTGGATTCGAGTGATGCGAGGGGGACCTGAACTGTGGCCTCTGTCATGGGAACCCAGAGGAGGTCGATGGCGTTTGTGGTTGATGTGGGAAGGAGAGAGAGAGAAGAACCAGAAACGTCTGCTTGCTGGAGGAAGTGGCATGTCCGCTCCTCCACTCCTTTTCTTTTCCCCTTAGGAGTGGTTTATGGTTCCTTTTGTTTTATTCTTTTATTTGTACACTGGCATTGGAGTTTGTTTTTTTGGCTTTTTTTTTTTTTTTTTGAGAAAAAGTCTCACTCTGTCACCCAGGCTGGAGTGCAGTGGCTCGACCTTAGCTTACTGCAACCTCCACCTCCTGGGTTCAAAGAGTTCTCTTGCCTCAGCCTCCCGAGTAGCTGGGATTACAGATGCACACCACCACGCCCAGCTAATTTTTCTATTTTTGGTAGAGACGGGGTTTGGCCATGTTGGCCAGGCTGGTCTCGAACTGCTGACCTCAGGTGATCCGCCTGCCTCGGCCTCCCAAAGTGCTGGGATTACAGGCGTATTCCACTGTGCCCAGCCTGAGTTTCTGTTTAGAAACAACAGTCTATGATAGTATAATCCTCTCTTTTTTGTACACAGAGTAAAGAGGACAAATAGGTGAAAGAATAAATGAAAGGCTGGAATCCCACTTCCCCCGCTGTCCCAGGGCATTGGATATTGACGGATAGGAGGCAGCAAACCACTCACAGAGCCAGGAAGAAATGAAGGCGTTGGTATTGCCAGGAGGGGAAGCCGGCTCGGCTGAAATACGCTATGACCATAGCAAGGAGATACTGATGGAGAGAAAGGAACACAGAGAGGGAGAGGTCACATCTTGGAAGAGGAAGATTGTGGAGAGGGGGAATGAGGGTCTGGGGAGGGGCTGCCCATCAGAGAAGGGACCTCAGTGTTGGGGTGACTGTACTCATTTGGAAATTGCGGGATGGAGGGGTATTCGAAGGTCGGATGCAAATCCGAGAAGCCAGAGGAAGGGTTTTGGGTGATGCTCCCAGGATGGTGGGCTCCGATGGGATCTTTGGAGGGGGTGTGTCTAGGTTGGCTGGTGTCAGGAGGGTCTTTTGTGTGCCAGGCAGAGAACTGTCCCGAAGAGCTGAGAGTAGAGGGGCCAGGAGCTTCAGGGCTGCGGCCAGACTGTGGCCCAGAGCTCAGATCCCAAAGGACCCATAGGAGAGGCAGGGGCCACTCATTCACTCTGCAAGAGACCAGCAGAATCCTGAGGGAGATGCTGACAAATCATAAAAAGACCAAGAATAGCCGGGAGTGGCGGCTCAAGCCTGTGATCCCAGTACTTTTTGAGAGGTGGAGACAGGAGGATCATGTGAGCCCAACAGTTCGAGAACAACCTGGGCAACATAGTGAGACCCTGTTTCCACAAACATTTCAAAAATTAGTTGAGCATGGTGGCATGTGCCTAGTCCCAGCTCCTCAGGAGGCTGAGGAAAGAAGATTGCTTGAGCCCAGGAATTAGAGGCTGCAATGAGCTATGATCATGCCACTGCACTCCATCCTGGGGAGCAGAGCTAGATTCTGTCTCACAAAAAAAAAATTTGTGGGTGCCAAGACTCAAGACCATGGGAGCTGGTCGGGCACAGTGGCTGACGTCTATAATCTCAGCACTTTGGGAGGCCAAGGTGGGTGGATTGCCTGAGGTCAGGTGTTCAGGACCAACCTGGCCAACATGGCAAAACCCCGTTTCTACTAAAAACACAAAAATTAGCCAGGCGTGGTGGTTCATGTCTGTAATCCCAGCTGCTTGGAGGCTGAGGCAGGAGAATCGCTTGAACCCAGGAGGCATCGGCTGCAGTGAGTGAAGATCGAGACACTGCCCTCCAGCCTGGGCAACAGAGCAAGACTCTGTCTCACACACACAAAAAAAAAAAAAAAAAAAAGACTGTAGGAGCATCTGGTGGGAGGTGGTGGAGGGAGAACTGTGGGTTTGGAAGCTGCGCCCTCCCCCCAGCCATGCGTTGGAACAGGAACAGTTACATGGAGAACAACCTTACCTTGTCCGACACCCTCAGATCTTTGTCCCAGGCCAGGAATCTTTTAATGACAGGATCCTCTGTGATTAGAGAGCAGATGTCAGTGTGAGAAGCAGGACAGGGTTTCCGTGGGAGCAGCAGGGCAGCGAGGAGAAGTGTGCCTCCCGGGGGGAAGTCTCAGGATTGTGGCCGCGGGTGAGGTGGATGGGAGAGGGGAGAATGACTTTCACTGGGCAAGGGAGAGAGGCTCCTGCTCTGAGACTCCCCTGAGAAGAGGCCGAAGGAGGCCCTGGGTGTGAGAATCTACAGGATGTAGAGCTGGGAATCAGCCAGGACCCCCTCCAGCAGACACGGAGGGACCACTGCAGAGTCATAAAGGAATTCCCATCATTTCCTCATGAGACAGTCACACATCAGGGTGTGACCATGGCCTTGGTATCCCCCACTATGGATGGAGACACTTAGGTTTAGAAAAGTCAGTAAGAGACATTAAGTTTCAGAGGGCACAGCTGAAACCACTTTCTTTGTTTATTGATTTTGTTTTTCTTTATTTGATTTTTATTTTTATTTATTTATTAATTTATTTTGAGACAGAGTCTTGCTCTGTGGGCCAGGCTGGAATGCAGTGGCCTGATCTTGGCTCACTGCAACCTCTGCCTCCCGGGTTTAAGCGATTCTCCTGTCTCAGCCTCCCGAGTAGCTGGGATTACATGCATGAGCTACTGTGCCCAGCCTTGGTTTTTCTTTTGAGACAGGGTTTTGCTCTGTCACCCAGGCTGGAGTGCAGTGGTGTAGTCATAGCTCACTGCAGCCTCAAAGTCCTGAGTTCAAGCAATCCTCTTGCCTCAGCCTCCCAACGTGCTGGGATCTCAGGCGGGAGCCACTGCGCCTGGCCCGAAACCAAGCTTTCTTATCCCAAGCGCTGACCTTTATCAAGTTGACCTAATCCTTTATCATCTCCTAAGTGTCCCTCATGAGTGATCACTTCACATTCCTCCCACATGGAGAGCTCACCCACTGGGGCCTATTTTTCCCATTGGAAAAGTGTGGTTATTGGAAGTTTCCTGTTTTTGGAAAGAACAGGATTGGAGGTGCTCTCTGGGGTGTCCTCCTACCAAGCAGCCTGTTGAAGGCCTCGTGGTGCTCAGGGAGCACGAGCGACACTCGCCGTCGCTTCAGCTTCATCTTGAGGCCACACAGCATCTCCGCCACCCAGATCTCCTCAGGCTCAGGGGCGAGCACCTTCCGTGGCTCCTCCTCCGACTCCTCAGATTTGTCCCACCACTCCATCTTCCTTTTCCAGCAAAAGGACCTATGCGGGGGGCTGGGATCTACCCCAGGGGCTGAGTAAAGAAACCAGGCCACGGTGTAATGCTTCTGCAGTTGATCACACTAGAGCCCGACCCAAAACCCCAAACCACTCTCCATCCTCCCCAGCCTCGCAGACTGCTGGCTTCTCCAAGCCATCTTTCCTTCTGTCTGTCTCCTCTGCTGAGCTCCATGTGCCGCTCCTTCTCCTCCCCATTCTCCCGTTTCTCTGTCCTCAGAACACTTCCTCATATCCTTCCCTGGTCCCTGGCTCTCTGAGTCCCTTTTTTTTTTTTTTTTTTTTTGTTGTTGTTGTTGAGAAACAGTCTTGCTTTGTGGCCTAGGCTGGAGTGTAGTGGTGCGATCTTGGCTCACTGCAACCTCTGCCTCCTGGGTTCCAGTGATTCTCCTGCCTAAGCCTCCCAAGTAGCTGGGATTACAGGTGCCCACCAGAACGCCCAGCTCATTTTTGTGCTTCTAGAAGAGACAGGGTTTCACCATGTTGGCCAGGCTGGTCTCCAACTCCTGGCCTCAAGTGATCTGCCTGCCTGGCCTCCCAAAGTGCTGGGATTACAGGTGTGAGCCACTGAACCCTGCCTCAGTACCTCCATTCTTCCCACACACCCTCCTCACGTGCTCCTTCCTGACTTCTGGGCCCGCCCTTCCTTCTTTTTTTTTTTTTTTTGAGACAGCGTCTCACTCTCTCACCCAGAATGGAATGCAGTGGCACTATCTTGGCTCAAAACAACCTCTTCCACCTGGGTTCAAGCGATTATCCTGTCTCAGCCTCCCGAGTAGCTGGGATAACAGGCATGCCTGGCTAATTTTTGTATCGTTAGTATAAATGACGTTTCGCTATATTGGTCTGGTTGGTCTCGAACAACTGACCTCAAGTGATCCACCCATCTCAGCCTCCCAAAGTAATGGGATTACAGGCATGAGCTACCACACCCGGCCTTCGTTTTTCTTTTGACACAGGGTTTTGCTCTGTCACCCAGGCTGGAGTGCAGTGGTGCAGTCATAGCTCACTGCAGCCTCAAAGTCCTGAGTTCAAGCAGTCCTCTTGCCTCAGCCTCCCAACGTGCTAGGATCTCAGGCGTGAGCCACTGCACCTAGCCCGAAACCAAGCTTTCTCATCCCAAGCGCCAACCTTTATCAAGTCTAGCCTAGTCCTCTATTGTCTCCTAAGTGTCCCTCATGAGTGATCACTTCTGAGTCCTCCTGCGTGGAGATCTCACCCACTGGGGGCGTATCTTTCCCATTGGAAAAGTGTGGTTATTGGAAGTTTCCTCTTTTTAGAAAGAACAGGATTGGAGGTGCTCTCTGGGGTGTCCTCCTACCAAGCTGACTGTTGAAGTCCTTGTGGTGCTCAAGGAGGATGGGTGACACTCGCTGTTGCTTCAGCTTCATCTTGAGCCCACACAGCGTCTCCACTACCCAGGTCTCCTCAGGCTCAGGGGCGAGCTCCTTCTCCGGCTCCTCCTCAGATTCATCTGACCACTCCCTCTTCCTTTTCCAGCCAAGGGACCTACATGGGGGGCTGGGATCTACCCCAGGGGCTGAGTAAAGAAACCAGGCCACTGTGTAATGCTTCTGCATCTGATCACCTTAGACCCCGACCCAAAACCCCAAACCACTCTCCATCCTCCCCAGACTCGCAGACTGCTGACTTCTCTAAGCCATCTTTCTGATTTTCTCCTCTGCTCAACCCCATGTGCCGCTCCTTCCCCTCCCCATTCTTCTCTCTCTCTGTCCTCCGAACGCTGCTTCATGTCCTTCCCTGGTCCCTGGCTCTCTGAGTCCCTCCTTTTTTGTTTTGTTTTGTTTTGTTTTGACACAGAATCTTGCTTTGTCACCCAGGTTGGAGTGTAGTGGTGCAATCTCAGCTCACTGCAACATCCATCTCCTGGATTCCATTTATTCTTCTGCCTCAGCCTCTCAGGTGGCTGGGATTACAGGTGCCTGCCATAATGCCCAGCTCAATTTTGTACTTTTAGTAGAGACAGGGTTTCACCATGTTGGCCAGGCTGGTCTCAAACTCCTGGCCTCAAGTGATCCGCCTGCCTTGGCCTCCCAAAGTTCTGGGGTTACAGGTGTGAGCCACCGCACCCAGCCTGAATTTCTCCATTCTTCCCACACACCCTCCTCAGGTTCTCCTTCCTGACCGCTGACCCTTCTTTTCTTTTCTTTTCTTTTTTTTTTTTTTGGAGTGCAGTAGCGTGATCTCAGCTCACTGCAACCTCTTCCTCCCAGTCTCAAGTGATTCTCCTGTCTCAGCCTCCTGAGTAGCTGGGATTACAGGTGTGCACCACTACCACTTGGCTAATTTTTATACTTTTAGTAGAGATGGGGTTTCACCATATTGGCCAGGCTGGCCTTGAACTCCTGACCTCAGATGATCCGCCCGCCTCGGCCTCCCAAAGTGCTGGGGTTACAGGCGTGAGCCACCGCACCCGGCCCCCTTCCTTCGTCTTAGTCAATCCTATCCCACCTCTTCTTCCACCAGTCCCCTCACCTGATGGTCCCAACACTTCATCATCCACCACCTCCTGGAGGGGGTACCCCGAGGTGCTCCGCTGGGGACTCTGCTCATTCTGGCGGTGCGGTTGACGGCTGGTCGTGATCTTTCCCGTAATCTGTCCCCTCTTACGGAACCTAGTCTCCGTTCTGTCCATGGCCTTCTTCTGGACACTGCTAGGATCCAGAAGAGTATGTTATCAATTCTCAAGCCTAGGAGAAGTCAGGAGTGGAGAACAGCTCTGAGAAGATACTGTTGTCCAACTGATCTCCAGGCACCACGGAGTCCGGTCCCTCCAATCAGGAAGGTCGGAATCTCTGATGTCATCGTTCATGCCAACCTGGCAACCAGTTTGAAAAAAAAACACATGTAACTGCCAGGCTGATCTCTTGTCCTGGAGATCCTGGGTGAATGGTATCTCCTGCCACTGTCCCAACCTCAGACCATTGTCCAAAAGCATCTTCAGGGACTCCACATCCCTCTGTTCCCTGTCCCAGCAGAGGCTGTGTCCTCTCCACTCAAAGCCTGAAGCATGTTGGGGTCTCTTCGTCTCTGTACGTGCCCATTTCAGAGTCCAGTCTGGTGGGAGAGGGAACAGAGTGGGAAAGAAAACTAGGGTAAGCAGAAACGATGAAACCTTATAAGAGTGAGATTATCATGTACAAGAGTGAGATTATCATGTACAAGAGTGAGATTATCATGTACAAGAGATCCCAGGAATACTGACTTGATGAAAAAGTCACATCAGAGCACTCAGTTTGGCAGAGCTTTTCTGCTGAATGTTTACTCACATTCACTGTCCAAGATTCTGTACTGGGGGTACATACGTCCTCTGCCCTAAGGCAATTTTGAGTCCAAGAGACATTTTGAGGCCTAAAAATCATAGGAAACTGCCCCTGAGCTCACACATATTTCCAATGGAGCTCACACATATTTCCAATGGTGTCCCCAATTTCAGGGAATCCATGGATTACCTAAGCCAGCCCCTCCAGTTCGGCTAAGAAACTCTAGTCTATATATCAAGTTTTGTATCATATGTATTGCTCTGAACTCAGAAATTTCCCTTCCATTTATGGATTCTATGAATAAAATATCACATGTACAAAAAGACTAAGTCGAAAAATTTCAGCTGTGCACAGTGGCTCATGCTTGTAATCCCAGCACTTTGGGTGGCCAAGGGAGGAAGATTGCCTGAGGCCAGCAGTTCAAGACCAGTATAGGCAACATAGCAAGAGCCCATCTCTAAAAAAACAAAACCAAACCAAATTAGCCAGGTGTGGTGGCTGGCACCTGTGTTCCAACTACTTGGGAGACTCATGTGACAGGAAGATCACTTGAGCCCAGGAGTTAGAAGCTGCAGTGAGCCATGATCTTGCCACTGCACTCCAGTCTGGGCAACACAGCAAGATACTGTGTCAAAAAATTTTTTTTTGATAAAAAATAAAAGAGTTACATGACATTCAGAGACCATCCAAAAAACCTGCGGGTTCCCGGCTGGGCTCAGTGGCTCATGCCTGTAATCCCAGCACTTTGGGAGGCCAAAGTGGGTGGATCACTTGAGGTCAGGAGTTTGAGACCAGCCTGGACAACATGGTGAAACCCCATCTCTACTAAAAATACAAAAAATTAGCCAGGCATGGTGGTGGATACCTGTAATCGCAGCTACTCAGGAGAGGGCGCTGGAGAATCACTTGAACTCATGGTGCGCAGGTTGCAGGGAGCCAAGATCGCACCATTGTGCTCCAGCCTGGGCAACAAGAGCAAAACTCCATCTCAAAAAAAATAAAGAACCTGCGAGTGAGTTCCCACACGTTTTCCTGATGGGCTGCTGCTTTCCTAGGAGTCTCTCGCTCATAGAAAAGGCACAAACTGAAAGAGGAAGCAGATCCCATTGCTGTGGAAGTCCCATTGTTAGGAAGCTCTGCTTTTCTGGAGTTCAAATTCGCATTCATGACGCTTTAAACCGTCAGAGCTGGGTGGGTCCTCCTACAACAAAATCGTTTGCTCTCTCTCTCCTAGTTAACAGGCTTTCAAATATTAGAAGATCAATGTTCTGACCCCATTAAAATTTCTCTTTTGTGGAATGAAAAGCTCTGATTTAACCCATCTTCAAGCCTGGTTTGATGGAGGAATAGGGGCTGAGTCACCTGCATTTCCCCTCCCTGCACAAAGTCCTGGGCCCAGATCTGGGGTCTGTCTCTGCTGAGGGTGGGGTGAACCAGGAAGCACCTCCCTCTACATCTCCTTGATGAATGGGTATAATGGTTGCCATGGAACTGGGGCTTGTTTGATGACCTGGGGCTGGGTGGGCCTCTGAGAGCCTTTATAGCTGATTGCCTTTTGGGAGAGGGCAGGTGGGAGCCCCACCCTGTCTTATGAGTCACCCCAAAGGTGCATGGGCAGGCAGGTGCTGGGGAATCGGCTACTCCCCAGAGCTTGGCGTGGCCATCCCTGTGGCCCCTCTGGGAGTCTGGAGCCCATTCCCTCACACTGGTACTCTCTGCAGCTGGGGACATCTGCACTAGGAAGACAGGACACGGCATGGAAGCTGGCCTCTGCCCAGAAGCCATGACATTCTGGTCACCAGCCTGATGCTATAAAACGAGTGTCACGGCCGGGCATGGTGGCTCACACCTGTAATCCCAGCACTTTAGGAGGCCAAGGCGGGTGGATCATGAGGTCTGGAGTTCGAGACCAGCCTGGCCAACATGGCGAAATCCCGTCTCTACTAAAAATAAGAACATTAGCCAGGTGTGGTGGCACATACCTGTAGTCCCAGCTCCTCTGGAGGCTGAGGCAGGAGAATCACTTAAACCCAGGAGGCGGAGATTGCAGTGAGCCGAGACCACGGCATTGGACTCCAGGCTGGGCAACAGAGCACGACTCCGTCTCAAAAACAAAAAAAAACGAGTGTCACCTGGGGCTACTTGGCCAGACACAGAGAGCAAGGAGACATCCCTATTATCTGTCAAAAATAATTGTTGGGGCTGAGCACAGTGGCTCATGCCTGTAATCTCAGCACTTTGGGAGGTCGGAGCAGGAGGACTTGAGGCCTAGAGTTTGAGACCAGCCTGGGCAACATAGCGAGCACCCCATCTCCAGAAAAAATTTAAAAATTGGCTGGGCGCAGTGGCTCATGCCTGTAATCCCAGCACTTTGGGAGGCCGAGGGGGATGGGTCATTTGAGGTCAGGAGTTTGAGACCAGCCTGGCCAACATGGTGAAACCCCATCTCTACTAAAAATACAAAAATTAGCCGGGCATGGTGGTGGGCACCTGTAATCCTAGCTACTTGGGAGGCTGAGGCAGGAGAATCGCTTGAACCCAGGAGGCGGAGGTTGTAGTGAGCTAGGATCATGCCATTGTACTCCAGCCTGGACAGCAAAGCTAGACTCCATCTCAAAAAAAAAAAAAAGTAAAAAATTTAAAAATTAGATGGGCATGGTGACATGTGCCTGTAATCCAGGTACTAAGGAAGCTGAGGTAGGAGGATGACTTGAGTCTAGGAGTTCGAGGCTGCAGTGAGCTCTGATCGCACCACTGCACTCCAGCCTGAGTGACACAGCAAGACCCTGCTTCAAAAAAAAAAAAAAAAAAAAATTACTGGACACAATTATTGTGCCAGACCCCTAGGTTAACAGTGAGGATTCAGTGGGAGAACTAAACAGATAAACAGATCCAGTCCCCACCCTCAGAGAGTTACAGTTTAATGGGAAAAAGACATTCACCAAAGAAGGACACAGCCCACTAGTGAGTTACACTCGAGAGGGATCATTTACAGAACAAAGCAGACTATAAAAATACAGCGATTGGCTGGGCGCAGTGGCTCACGCCTGTAATCCCAGCACTTTGGGAGGCAGAGGCGGGCAGATGACTTGAGGTCAGGAGTTCTCAACCAGCCTGGCCAAAATGGTGAAACCCCATCTCTACTAAAAACACAAAAATTAGCCAGGCGTGGTGGTGGGCACCTGTAATCCCAGCTAGTTGGGAGGCTGAGGCAGGAGAATGAATCGTTTGAACCCAGGAGGTGGAGGTTGCAGTGAGCTGAGACCGCACCATTGCACTCTAGCCTGGGCAACAAGAGCAAAACTCCGTCTCAAAATAAATACATACATACATACATGCATACATACATACATACATACGGGGATTAAAATAGTCTAGTAGTGACACCTGAACAGAGAGATTGATCCAAGAAATGAAACAGAAATTCCGGAAGTTGACCTGAATACACACACACACACACACACACACACACACACACACACGAAGGCGTGAAAGACTCCATGACCCTCAAGGTATAAGATGCATTTTTTTTTTTTTTTTGAGACAGGGTCTCACTCTGTCACCCAGACTGGGTGCAGTGGTGTACTATCCCAGCTCAGCTCTACCCTCCATCCCCCCAACCTCCCCCAACCACCCTGAGCTCAAGCAATTCTCATGCCTCAACCCTCAGCCTCATGAGTAACTGGGACTACAGGCGTGCACCACCATGCGCAGCTAATTTTTTGTATTTTTAGTAGAGATGGGTCTAACCATATTGCCCAGGCTGGTCTCGAACTCCTGAGCTCAAGCGATCCTCTTGCTTCAGCCTCCCAAAGTGCTGGCATTACAGCTGTGAGCCACCGCACCTGGCCGCATTCTTCTAAATCACAGTACATCTGGCTCCCAGTGCCCAGGCTCTCAGGGCAGAAGGTCCAGTGTGATCACTTTGCATGGCCTCTCTCCCCTCCTGAGCTTGTGCCAGGGCCCCAGGGCTGACCTGGAGAAGGAAAATGGCAGAGGGTGAAGATGGGGTGTCTGGTTTGGGGACCATCCTGGCCCCCCTTGTCACTGTTGACATCTCTTCTGCACAGTGGCATTGCTGGGAGGTGCTTACTGTGCCTATTCAAGGGGCTGGCAGCCGCAGCCTCACTGCAGATCAGGGACTTGGCTTCCCAGTTGACCACAGGTCCAAGAACCTGCAGGGTCCAGCCTCCCCCCCATCCCCAGTCTTCCCCACCCTGGCCCGGCCCTCCAGGTGCAGAAACATGCAGGCCCCTCTCCAGGACTGTGGGAGGAGCGTGTCCCTCAGACTGGCCTGTGTCCTGGCTCCTCTTACCACCTCTTCCACAGGTTGTCACCTGCAGCTGCCCCAGGATAAAGGCAAGGCCAGAGAGGACTCCTGAACTCCTGTGTGCCTGGGGTGGCAGGGGCAAACATAGCCAACTGGTGGCCTGAGCGGGGCCATGGTGAGGACACCCTTGGTGGCTTGTCCCACATCAAGCTGGGAGGTGACACTGAGGATGCATTAGTCTGCAGCGTATGATAAAAACGGCATTTCAGGCCAGGCGCGGTGGCTCATGCCTGTCACCCCAGCACCTTGGGAGGCCAAGGTGAGCAGATCATATGAGGTCAGGACTTTGAGACCAGCCTGGCCAACATGGTGAAAACTCATCTCTACTAAAAAAACAAAAATTATGTGGGTTGGTGGTGTGCGCCTGTAATCCCAGCTACTTGGGAGGCTGAGGCAGGAGAATCACTTAAACCTGGGAGGCAGAGGCTGCAACGAGCCGAAATTGCACCACTGCACTCCAGGCTGACTCCGTCTCAAAAAAAAAAAAAAAAAAAAAGGCATTTCAGTTCAAATAGGGAAAGGATACATCTTTCTTTCTTTTCTCTTTCTTTCTTTCTTTCTTTCTTTCTTTCTCTTTCTTTCTTTCTTTCTTTCTTTCTTTCTTTTTCTTTCCTCCCTTCCTTCCTTCCTTTCTCTCTCTCTCTCTTTCTCTCGTTCTCTCTTTCTTTTTGAGATGGAGTTTCACTCTCGCTGCCCAGGCTGGAGTACAATGGCGTGATCTCGGCTTATTATTATTCTCCATGTTGGTCAGGCTGGTCTTGAACTCCCAACCTCAGGTGATCCGCCTGCGTTGGCCTCCCAAAGTGCTGGTGTGAGCCACTGCACCCGGCTTAGGATGCATTTTTCAATATTTTAGTGTTTGAATAACGGGCTAACTTGAGAAAAAAATAATTTGAATCACACATCACACCAAAAATAAATTCTAGGTGGATTTTAACACTTTCAAAAATTATTATTATTATTAGTTTAGAGACAGGGTCTCACTCCGTCGCTCAGGCTGGAGTGGAGTGGTATGATCATGGTTCACTGCAACCTTAAACTCCTGGCCTCATATGATCCTCCAGCCTCAGCCTCTCAAAGGACTGGAACTACAAACATGCACCACCACGCCCAGCCTAGGTGGGTTTTTAAAATCCATTCAAGGGCGGGTGCAGTGGCTCACACCTGTAATCCCAGCATTTTGGGAAGCCAAGGTGGGAGGATCACTTGAGCCCAGGAGTTCGAGACCGGCCTGGGCAACATAGTGAGACTACATCTCTACAAAAAATTTAAAAATGAGCCAGGCATGGTGGTGCACACCTGTAGTCTCTGCTATTCAGGAGGCTGAGGCGGGATCATTGTTTGAGCCCAGGAGACAGATTGCAGTGAGCTATGATGGCACCACTGCATGGCAGCCTGGGTGACAAAGGGAGATTCAGTCTCAAAAAAAAAAAAAAAAGGTGACAGGCTGGGTGCAGTGGCTCACACCTGTAATCCCAGCACTTTGGGAGGCCGAGACAGGTGGATCACCTGAAGTCAGGAGTTTGAGACCAGCCTGGCCAACATGGTGAAACCCTGTCTCTACTAAAAATACAAAAGTTAGCCAGGCGTGGTGGCATGTGCCCGTAATCTCAGCTACCTGGGAGGTTGAGACAGGAGAATCACTGGAACCCCAGAGGCGGAAGCTGCAGTGAGCCGAGATTGTGCCACTGCACTCCAGCCTGGGTGACAGACCGAGACTCCATCTCAAATTAATTAATTAAATTTAAAAAAAAAGGCAAAGAGGGAGTCCTGCCTGGGTACAGGAGACCTGGGGTTGGGTCCCAGCCCTGCCGCTGACCTGCCCTGGGACTGCAGGAAGTTTCTTTCCCTGCCGGGCCCCAGGTTTCTTCTCATCCGTATAATGAGATTAGTCATAACACCTGCCCTGCCCATCTCTGGGGACCCAAGGAGAGGATGAGTCGATGAGCAAGAACGTGTTTTCAAAAAGGGGAAACAAGCTCTTCCCACATTCTGATGTCTGCTTTCAACTGCCTTTTGAAAGGGAGTGAGAGAGGGAAAAATTGTATTATACAGGCCGGACATGGTGGCTCACACCTGGAATGCCAGAACTTCAGGAGGCTGAGGTGGGAGGATCACTTGAGCCCAGGAATTTGAGACCAGCCTGGGCAACACAGTAAGACTCTTTCTAGAAAAAGTTAAAAAATTAGCTGGGCAGCCGGACACAGTGGCTCACGCCTGTAATTTCAGCACTTTGGGAGGCCGAGGCAGGCAGATCGCATGAGGTCAGGGGTTCAAGACCAGCCTGGCCAACATGGCGAACCCCGTCTCTACCAAAAATACAAAAATTAACCAGGAGTGGTAGTGCACGCCAGTAATCCCAGCTACGCAGCAGGCTGAGGCAGGAGAATCACTTGAACCCAGGAGGTGGAGGTTGCAGTGAGCCGAGATCATGCCATTGCACTCCATCCTGAACGACAGAGTGAGACTCTGTCTCAAAACAAACAAACAAACAAACAAAAAATTAGCTGGACATGGTGCCTTATACCTGCAGTCTCAGCTACTAGGGAGGCTGAAGTGGGAGGATCACTTGATCCTGGGAGGTCAAGGCTGCAGTGAGCTATGATCACACCACTGCACTCCAGCCTGGGCAACAGAGTGAGACCTGTCTCAAAAAATAATAATAATATAATAAATAAAAGAGACCCCAGAGAGCTTCCTTGACCCTTCCACCATATGAGGACACAGCTAGAAGGCACTCTCTACGAACCAAAAACAGACACCAACTCTTCCTAGGTTTTGTTTTTGTTCTTTTTTTTTTTTTTTAAGATGGAGTCTTACTTTGTCACCCAGGCTGGAGTGCAGTGGTGTGATCTCGGCTCACTACGGCCTCCCCATCCTGGGTCCAAGCGATTCTTGTGCCTCAACCTCCCGAGTAGCTGGAATTACAGGCGCGTGCCACCACGACTGGCTAATTTTGTATCTTTAGTAGAGACGGGGTTTTTCCACATTGGTCAGGCTGGTCTCAAACTTCTGACCTCAGATGATCCGCCCACCTTGGCCACCCAAAGTGCTGGGATTACAGGTGTGAACCACTGCGCCCGGCCAGAAGTTTTTCTTGTGAGTTGAGGTGAACATCTGAATCCCCTCGGGGAACTGAGGTATGTCCCCTTCAGGGAATGGCCCCTCTTCATCCAAAAATGGGGCCCACAGGTGATAATCTGTTGGGTTTCCCAGAATGAAGACATCTGGCATAATTAGAGCGTGAGGGTCAGGCTGACGGGGGCTAGTACCCCGATCCAGGGGAGAGGTGGTCACAGGTCTCGCTCCACCTGCCCTGAGCCCCATCTCATCTTTTTTTTTTTGAGGGGGAGTTTCACTCATGTTGCCCAGGCTGGAATGCAGTGATGTGATCTCGGCTCATTGCAACCTCTGCCTCCTGGGTTCAAGTGGTTCTCCTGCCTCAGCCTCCTGCGTAGCTGGAGTTACAAGAACAAGCCACCACGTCCAGCTAATTTTGTATTTTTAGTAGAGATGGGGTTTCGCCGTGTTGGCCAGGCTGGTCTCGAACTCCTGACCTCAGGTGATCCACCCACCTCGGCCTCTCAAAATGCTGGGATTACAGGCGTGAGCCACCATGCCTGGACTTCCATCTGGTAATTTTCTGTCTTGAGGAGGAACTACCCTGCCCTGGCAGAGGCTGGGGATGAAGGAGGAAGAGAGAGCCGGTCCCCTGGATAAAGAGGTGAGGGGGTGTGAAGTCTGGGAGCCCCCCTCCCAGGGCCAGGCTACAGGGGGACAGCAGGGCTATACCAGGAGTGCCACAGAGCTTGCATTTGGGTGTGATCTAATCCCCAGTCCTGCCCTGACCTCCTGGGTGCTCTTAGCCAAGCCCTCTTCCCTGTGTGTGCTAGAAAGTAAGGGTCACTCCCTTCCACACAAGGGAGTGAATTGAGGGTGGGGATCTGAGCTCTCTGAGCAACAAAGCTGGACACAGGCCAAATTGCCAATCCTGAGTCCCTCTGTCATGTGGACCTGGGAAGCTTGTCCTCATCCTCCATCCTTCCCCAGGGTGGGGCCTGAGAATCTGAGAACCTTGAGCCTGGGAGGTCAAGGCTGCAGTGAGCTATGATCGCACCACTGCACTCCAGCCTGGGCAACAGAGTGAGACCCTGCCTCAAAAAAAAAAAATAATAATAATAATAAATAAAAGAGACTCCAGGGAGTTTGCTTGACCGGCACTCCCTACGAACCAAAAACAGACACCAACTCCTCCTAGGTTGGTTTTTTTTTTTTTTTTTTTTTTTTTGAGGCAGGGTCCCACTCTGTCATCCAGGCTGGAGTGCAGTGGTGCCGTCTTGGCTCACTGCAGCCTCAACCTCCCAGGCTCGAGTGATCCTCCCACCTCAGGTCCTAAAGGAAGAGTCGCTACATTGGGGACTGTTTGGACAAGGAGATCCACGGGGTAGACTTGGCGGGATTGTCCCTGGGGCAGCCTGGATCCTGAGGCTGCCCCCCCTCCTTCCTCAGCCCCTCCCTGGTCAGGCGCTCCTGGTGGGTGGGGTTGGGGGGTAGTCCAGGCTTGTTCCTGCAACTGTATGTTCTCTTCAGACCCCTCCCTGGCGATGCCAGATTCACTGGGCTGGCAGATTCTGCCCCCAAACCTGTCCAACCAGTTGTTTGAGAGGAGGGGGTATCTGGGAGGGGCAGCAGGAGATGCCAGGAACAGCTTCCCCTAGCGCAGCACAGACTACAGACGGGGGAGCCTCTGGGGCTGCAGACACTGCAGACGGACGGACAGACAGATGGACAACAGCTGGAGGCTTGGCCCCAGCCATAGGGCTCTCTGCGGGACAGTCCCAGCTGCTAGTGTTGCTGTTGCTGCTACTGACCCGTGTCCAGCCTGGGACAGACGTGGGTGAGTAAGGGTGGGGATTGGCACAGGGGTACCCGCTGCATCTCAGGCTGCAGGACAAACCCAAGACCTTACTTGGTTTCCAAATTCTCACACATGGCTCCTGCCTCCTTCCTTTCCCTGAGGAGAGGTTTCCAGATGTCCAGGACAATGCATGTCCCCAGGAAGCTCTGGCAAGCCCAGCCTGGGCAACATAACAAGACCCCTTTTTTTAAAAAGATTTTTTTTTTTTAAGATTTTTGTTTTTAATTAGCTGGGTGTGGTGGAGTGCACCTGTAATCCCAGCTACTTGGGAGACTGAGGCGGGAGGATGGCTTGAGCCCATGCAGTGAACTATGAATGCGCCACTGCACTCCAGCCTGGGCCAAACAGCAAGACCCTGTCTCAAAAAAGAAAAGAAAAACTGGACAGGCTGAGAGATACAGTCCTACAATCTCTGCCCCCAACCCCAATCTCTGACTGCTCCGCTTCTCTTTCTTTTTCTTTTTTTTCTTTCTTTCTTTTTTTTTTTTTTCGAGACAGAGTCTCCCACTGTCGCCCAGGCTGGAGTACAGTGGCGCGATCTCGGCTCACCACAACCTCCGCCTCTCGGGTTCAAGCAATTCTCTTGCCTCAGCCTCCTGAGTAGCTGAGATTACAGCCGTGCGCCACTATGTCTGGCTAATTTTTGTATTTTTAGTAGAAACAGGGTTTCACCATATTGGCCAGTCTGGTCTCGAACTCCTGACCTCGTGATATGCCCGCCTTAGTCTCCCAAAGTGCTGGGATTACAGACGTGAGCCACCGCGCCCGGCCTCCACTTCTCTTTCTAAACATTAAGTGCCTCCTGCACGCAGAGTGCCCTGGGCTTCAGAGATAGGACTGAGAGCTCTAAGAAAGGAATCGTGACAATCCTTCCCCAAGGAAGACTCTAGCCTGAACCTTTGGAGTTGAGTTGAATTCAACGTAAATGAATCAAGTTGAACTGAACTGAACTGAACAGGGGCAGCTGCTGGAGACTCGCATAGAAACCCACTCCATCGTTCTGCTTCTCCTGGACCAGTATTTGGGGTTGGGGAGGTCTGAGCTCTCCAACCAGCAAGGCTGGACACAGGCCAAGTTGCCAATCCTGAGTCCCCTTTGGGGTACAGACCTGGGAAGCTTGTCCTCGTCCCCCACCCTTCCCCAGAGAGATGAGGTGGGAGTCTGAGAGGGGGACCTGGTCCTGAAGGCGAAGATGCCTTGGGGCCATGTTGGGAGGTGGCAGAGAACCAGACAGGTTGAAGAGGACGTTCTAGACTCACTCGGAACCAAGCTCTGGCTTCAGAGCCCCCGGACCCTCTGGGCAGTCTGTGTCCCAGCCTGGGGTCTCAGCCAAGGGGACCTTCCTGTGCCATCCCCCCGACCCCTGCCAAGCCACGCATCCTCTCATCAAGCAAAACAACCTAGACCATATGGGTGGAGCTGGAGGGACTTAAGTTGGAGGTCACTAGGCATGTCAGGAACAGAGTTCAGCCTAGGGTCAGGCTGTCCCCAAATTCCAGTTCCATCCCAACATGGCCCGGCCCGGGAGAACTGTGCCTACCGCCAGGGTGGGACCTCCCATGCCACCATTGTCCTAGACCTCCCACAGTGCCCACCCCCAGTAGGCTCCTAAGAGAGGGGCCAGGGGCTGGACTCAGGCCTCCCATCCATGCCCATGGGGCATAGAGTTGCCGGGAAAGCTTCCTGGTTCATACCGGACCTGACCTCCCAGGAAGTGCCCGTAACTTGGGGCTCCCATGTTAAGTCTGGATCTGGGCGGGGGGAGACCAGAGCTGTTGGGGCTTGGTTGCCCCATTTGGCCTCTCCTCTCTGCCCTCCCCTTCCAGCTGCCCCAGAGCACATCAGCTATGTGCCCCAGCTCTCAAACGACACCCTGGCGGGGAGGCTCACCCTGTCCACCTTCACGCTGGAGCAGCCTCTAGGCCAGTTCAGCAGCCACAACATCTCTGACTTGGATACCATCTGGCTGGTGGTGGCCCTCAGCAACGGTGGGTGCTGCTGGGGCCAGGCCTCGGTTTTCCCTATGTGAAATGGGCCTGTGGGCCTAAGGGCAGTAGCGGGTGTGTTGCAGGGAGATGCAGGGAGCAGGTGCTGCAGGGGATGGGGCTGGGGAGGGCTGTCAGGCTTGGTAAGGTGAGGGTGGGATCCTGTTGTGTGACCTGTCTGACCATGGTGCCACCCTTAGCCACCCAGAGCTTCACGGCCCCACGGACAAACCAGGACATCCCTGCTCCTGCCAACTTCTCCCAGAGGGGCTACTATCTCACACTGAGGGCCAACCGGGTGCTGTACCAGGCCAGAGGCCAGCTCCATGTCCTCCGTGTTGGCAATGATACCCACTGCCAACCAACAAAAATTGGCTGCAACCATCCCCTACCAGGACCGAGCCCCTACAGGTGAGCGGCTCTGCCAGGCCCTGGCTCCTGCCCGCATGCACCCAAGCCGGAGCCTGGGGCAGCTCCTACGAGGCTCACCAGGGCCCCAGCAGGATGCCTGGGTCCCCTGCTCCTGCTTGGCCAAAGGGAAGAGGAAGCAGCAGGCAGGGGCTGGGGAGGCCTTCATGAATTACATGAATTATCCTTCTTTTTTTTTTTTTTTCCTTTTCTTCTTCTTCGTCGTCTTCTTCTTCTTCTTTTTTTTTTTTTTTTTGAGATGGAGTCTTGCTCTGTGACCCAGGCTGGAGTAGAGTGGTGTGATCTCGGCTCACTGCAACCTGTGCCTCCTGGGTTCAAGCGATTCTCCAGCCTCAGCCTAACGAGTAGCTGGAATTACAGGCATCTGACACCACACCCGACTAATTTTTGTATTTTTAGTAGAGACAGGGTTTCGCCATGTTGGCCAGGTACCTGCCACCATGCCTGGCTAATTTTTGTAATTTTAGTAGAGATGAGGTTTCACCATGTTGGCCAGGCGGGTCTCAACTCCTGGCTTCAAGTGATCTGCCCACCTTGGCCTCCCAAAGTGCTGGGATTACAGACGTGAGCCACCATGCCTGGCCTATCCTGCTTTTCTTGAGCAGAAGGTTCCCCACCTCAAGCCCCAGTCCCCACAGGCCATGTGGACCACTCAGGTGGCGTCTCTCCATCCAGACAGGGTCTCCCCTCACTAAATGCTTGATTCACGCATGTTCAGTTCTGAGAGATCTAATACTCACCCCCTACCTTTCCCAAATGAGGACACAGAAGCCCAGAGAGGGGGAGGGACGTCACACCACTGGAAATGTCACACCTAGATTTGAACCCATTCTGTTGGGCTCTTTCGCCCCAGCCTCCGGCCCCCTCCCCGGGCTGCTCTCGCCAGGGCCTGGGACTCCAGGGGACAGACTTGCAGGCACCAAGTCTGATGGTTTCAGGACTCCGGGGGACCCCCATGGCCAATGCTGGGTCTCCCATTCAGGGTGAAGTTCCTGGTGATGAATGACAAAGGACCCGTGGCTGAAACAAAGTGGTCCAGCAACACTCGCCTGCAGCAAGGTAGGGGCCAGAGGCTCCGGTCAAACAGTAGGGGCAGGGGGCTGGGGCCTGGGGGTCCTGAGGACTGAGGATGGGCTGGGGGAACAGGTCAGCTCACCACTCAGTCAGAGGCAGCCAACCATCTTGCAATCTGCAGGCGCCCCTCCCCCAGCCACCCCCTTCCCCCAGGCCTGGGTGGTGGTAGGGGAGGCAGGGCGGTGATTGGTCTGGATTCTGCCCAAGGGCCCCTTCCGGTCAGGTAAAATTTCTTTTCCTGCCCGCCTATGCGGCCCCCATCACTGCCCTCAGCCCAGGCACTTCGGGCTGTCCCTGGCCCCCAGAGCCCGGGCACCGTGGTCATCATCGCCATCCTGTCTATCCTCCTGGCCGTCGTCCTCACGGTCCTCCTGGCTGTGCTCATATACAGCTGGTGAGTGGACCGGGCTGAGACCGCCCATGCCTCTTGGGAGGGGCGGGGCCCTTGGGCATTAACCCCTCCCTCTCTAGTTCCTCCCCGCCCGCCCCTGCCCACCTTCCAAGCGGGTACTGTGCACCCCCTGGTGGCAGCATCTGGGATTGCAAGTGGTTGCCGCCTGCGGACACCCCAGTCGGGGAGGCGCCCAAGGAGGAGGTGAATTGCTTTCACACCAAGCTCTGAGCATTGCCTCAAGACGCCATACAGGCCGGGTGCAGTGGCTCACGCCTGTAATCCCAGCACTTTGGGAGGCTGAGGCCCGCAGATCACCTGAGGTCAGGAGTTCAAGACCGGCCTGGCCAACATAGTGAAACCCCAGCTCTACTAAAAATACAAAAAATTAGCTGGGTGTGGTGGCACGTGCTTGTAATCCCAGCTACTCAGGAGGCTGAGGAAGGAGAACGGCTTGAACCTGGGAGGTGGAGGTTGCAGTGAGCTGAGATTGCATCACTGCACTCCAACCTGGGTGACAGAGTGAGACTCCATTTAAAAAAAAAAAGGGGGGGGTGTCAGGGTTTCATACAGAGCTCAGGTGCCTGAGCCTGGGGCACAGAGAGTGTCCACAAGGCTTCCTAGAGAAAAGGGGAGACCTAGCCCTGGTGGGATTTGGGGAGGAGGGGGAGAGGGAGTGATAAAAAGGGGGTGGGGAGGTGTGGGGGCAGGAGGGGCAGGAGGAGCAGGAGGGGTGCATGCAGCCAGGCCAGGCAAGGGGCCCCAGGTGCCTAGCTGAGGAACTGGGCTGTATCCTGCAGCCTATGGGAGCCGGGAGTGGGTTTTGATCAGGGGAGACAGGCAGATAATGTTTGAGCGGGGTCCTGAGGTGTGGAGGGTGGAGGGGGAGAGTGATGGGGAGCAGGAGCAATGAGCTGGATTTGTGAGGTTTGAAGGAATCGCCTCAGTCCCTTTGGTTAATTCTGCCCGGCCAGTGGAGTCTCAGTTTCCCCTGTGCGATGGGTCAGAGCATGCTAGCCAATGGCTGTGGGATCTCGGCCAGAGCCTTTCTTCAGCATCCATCATCTCTCCCTCTCTCCTCCCCTCCCAAGCTTCAACAGCTGCAGGAGCACTTCCCTATCAGGCCCAGAGGAGACAGGGAGTGTGAGAAGATACACCACGCACCTCGCGTTCAGCACTCTGGCCGAGGGGGATTCCTGAGGGGTACCAGAGGGGCCCACGTGTCCCTACACCTCCTCCCTGGCCCAGGCTGCAGAGCCTGGGCTGGGACACGCCCTGAAGCTTCTGGACCCTGAGAGAGATTGTTTCTTTTCTTTACTTTTTTTTTTTTTTTTTTTTTTTTTGAGACGGAGTCTCACTCTGTCGCCAGGCTGGCGCGATCTTGGCTCACTGCAACACGGGTTCAAGCGATTTTCCTGCTTCAGCCTCCTGAGTAGCTGGGACTACAGGCACACGCCGCCATGCCCAGCTCATTTTTGTATTTTTAGTAGAGATGGGGTTTCACCATGTTGGCCAGGATGGCCTCCATCTCTTGACCTTGTGATCTGCCTGACTCGGCCTCCCGAAGTGCTGGGATTACAGGCGTGAGCCATCAAGTCTGGCGAGAGAGATTGTTTCTAGATGAGGGTGGGGGCGGGTGTCCTTAGCCCAAAGCTTGTGCCAGTCTCTATCAGAAATAAATGCCCCCAACACCTCCCTGCCTGCCTCTGACATCATACACCTGGGTAGTCTTTCTGCACCACTGCCCCTGGCTCCTCCTCCTGAGGAGGTCCCCAAGGGCGTGTAGGACCAGGGCAAGGCTCAGGATCCTAGAGAAATTGTCACCTGGGGCAGGACAGGTCTCTCTGCCAGCCTTACTGTCCCTATCTGTAAAATGAGGATGGTAACCCTGAACCCACAAGGCCACAGTAAGGCTAAACCAAGGTGAACATGCCTTGGGAACTGTGAAGACTGTGGACCCAAAGCCGGTTGCGGTGGCTCAGGCCTGTAATCCCAGCACTTTGGGAGGCTGAGGCAGGAGGATCACTTGAGCCCAGGAGTTCGAGACCAGCCTGGGCAACATGGTGAAACCCTATCTCTACAAAAATGACAAAAAATTAGCTGGGCTTGTTGGCAGACTGTGGACCTGAGATAGGTGCTCCTCTTGTCCTGCCCAGACAGCCTCCTGGTAACCAAAGGCCACGGGGCAGCATGGCTGGCACTTGCTATCTTTCCACCCAAGCATCCTCCCTGTGGCCCCTCTCCCCAGCCTGCCCCCTGTTGGCTGGAGGACTTCAAGCCCTCTGCCTCCACTTCCTCCAATCCTTTCCTAGAGTACACGAAAGGCAAAAGGTGCAGTTTCTTTTTTTTTTTTTTTTTTGAAATGGAGTTTCACCTTATAGCCCAGGCTGGAGTGCAGTGGCACCATCATAGCTCACTGCAGTCTCTAATTCCTGGGCTCCAGTGATCCTCCCACCTCAGCCTCCTGAGAGTAGCTGGGACTACAGGCACATGACACCACGTCTGGCTAATTTTTAATTTTTTTGTAGACATGGAATCTTACTCTGTTGCCCAGGCTGGAAAGAACAGTGGTGTGATCATAGCTCATTGCAGCCTCAAACTCCTGGGTGCAAGCGATCCTCCCGCCTCAGCCTCCTGAGTAGCTTGGACTGTAGGTACATGGCACCATGTCTGGCTAATTTTTTAAATTTCTTTAGAGACGGGGTCTCACTATGTTGCCCAGGCTGGTCTCGAACTCCTGGTCTCAAGTGATCCTCCTGCTGGGATTACAGGCGTGAGCCACTGTGCCCAGCTCATGCAACACTTATCATCAGGATTCCCACTCAGTGCTCGGACCCCAGGGGCCAGAGATGCCCGTGGCAAGGTTCTGCCCTCAAGGTGCCCACTGCTTTAGGGGGAGGACAGTGATACTACCACATACGAGAGAAGGAGAGGACACAACTGTCAGGGAGATGGACTGTTTGAGCTTCAGAGGCAGCATCTTGGGGAGGGGTGGCTTTGAAGAAGGAGCAGGACACTTGGGCCAGGTGGACCTTGGAAGGGTGCCAGGCAGGAGGAGCAATGTGTTGCTGATGGGCAGGTAGGGGAGGGTGAGGGATGGAGAGGAGACCGGAAGACACCCTGTGCCATGTGGAGGGGCCCCGCCCTCTGGGGCAAGAGGTCAGGGAGGAGGGCGCTGGCTGGGTTCCCAGGCGCCTGCCCCTGAGAGGCGCAAATGGCCCTAATGGGGTTATTAGGTGGAGCAGATGCATCCGGCTCCTGCTGTGGAGGAAATGCTCAAATGATCTTGAAGCTACCAGGCTGGGAGAGGCAGGCAGGGGATGGGGCAGACAGGCTGCCAACCTCTGTGAGATAAGCCCTGGCCTCTCCAGAACCTTTTCAGAACAGCTTTGAGCCCCAACCCTGGGGCTGAGTGACCCAAGACAGATCACTCACACTCTCTGGGCCTCAGTTTCCCCTTACATAAAAAGCAATGGTTAGGCCAGGTGCAGATGGCTCACACCTCTAATCCTAGTGCTTTGGGAGGCCGAGGTGGGAGGATTGCTTGAGACCAAGAGTTCAAGTCCAGCCTGGGCAACATAGCAACACCCCATCTCTACAAAATATAAATACAAAAATTAAGGCTGGGCATGGTGGTTAAGGCCAGGCGTGGTGGCTCACACTTGGAATCCCAGCATTTTGGGAGGCAGAAGCAGGAGGATCACCTGAGGTCAGGAGTTTGAGACCAACCTGGCCAACATGGTGAAACCCCGTCTCTACACAAAATACAAAAATTAGCCAGCCATGGTGGTGCATGCCTGTAATCCCTGCTACTGTGGAGGTTGAGGCAGGAGAATCACTTGAACCCAGGTGAAGGAGGTTTCAGTGAGCCCAGATCATGCCACTGCACTCCAGCCTGGGTGACAGGGAACAAGACTGTCTCAAAACAAAACAAAAGAAAAATTAGCCAGACATGGTAGTGTGAACCTGCAGTCCCAGCTACTATGGAGGCTGAGGTGGGAGGATCGCTTGAGCCCAGGAGTTGGAGGCTGCAGTGAGCTATGATGGCACCCCTGGACGCCAGCCTCTGTGACAGAGCAAGACCCTGTCTCTAAAATGAAACATTTTTAAAAGGGAAGGTGAACTGGGTGAACTCTAAGACCCTGCATTTCACAAACCCTTGCCCACACCCTGTATGCGTCGGGCCCTGGCAGGAAACAGAGGGTACGCTGTCTCACAGGGCAATTGAGAGCGTTTACAAAGGTGTGGGCAGCATTAGGGGAATGGACCAGAGAGGGTGACCTGGGACTTGGCTGTAATGGGGCCCTAAGCACTCCTGGATCTGATTGCTGATGGGAGGGAGGGAGTGATGTTTCCTGGATCAGCAGGCAGTAGCCATGGGTGAGGGGCCCCGCAGGAGCAGGGGCTGTAGGTGAAAGGATGAAGCCACCAGAGGGAACTGGGCTCTGTCTTCCCGCCCCCTGATCTCATGCCAGTGTCTCCACTGGCCACACCTCACGAGAAGCAAGAGAGTGTGGGGTCTCAGTGGTGCAGTCCCTGGAGGCCAATCTGCTGGGTCAGAGCAGGACAGAGAAAGCGAAATGGACATACAGAGGCACACGCCACTTTCATGCTGATCCAGTGGAATTAGATCCTTCCTGTTCTTTCTTTTCTTTCTTTCTTTTTTTTTTTTTTTTCCTTTTTTAGAGATGGGGTCTCACTCTGTTGCCCAGGGTGGGGTATGGTGGCGTCTTCATAGCTCACTGTAGCACTGAACTCCTGGGCTCAGGCGATCCTCCCACCTTGGCCTCCCAAAGTGCTGGGATTTCAGGCACTACAGGCACCTAGCTAACTTTCTTTCTTTCTTTTTTTTTTTTTTGGGTAGAGGCAGGGTCTCCGTCACCCAGGCTTGAGTGCAGTGGCACGATCATAGCTCACTGCAGCCTTGAACCCCTGGGTTCAAGCAATCCTCCCACCTCAGCCTCCCAAGTAGCTGGGATTATAGGATGTGCCACCACCCAGCTAATTTTTTTATTTTTTGTAGAGATGGGGTCTCGCCATGTTGCCCAGGCTAGTTTGGAACTCCTGAGCTCAAGAGATGCTCCCACCTTGGCCTCCCAAAGTGCTGAAATTACAAGCATAAGCCACCATGCCTGGCCTCCCTTCCTGGCCTTCTGGTCTCCAGACTGGAGAGAGGGCCACAAAGTCCTGCCCAGACAGAGGGCTGCTAAGGCTGGGGTGGGGCTGGGGGTGTGCAGAAGGGACTCTGCAGGGGCTGACCTCTGAGTCTCAGGGGACAGGGCAAATTTTTTTTTTTTTTTTTTTTTGAGATGGAGTCTTGCTCTGTCGCCCAGGCTGGAGTACAATGGCACGATCTCGGCTCACTGCAATCTCCGCCTCCTGGGTTCAAGTGATTCTCATCTCTCAGCCTCCCGAGTAGCTGGGATTACAGGAGTGCACCACCATGCCCAGCTAATTTTTGTATTTTTAGTAGAGATTGGGCGGGGTGGGGGGTGGGGTGCAGGTTTCACCGTGTGGCCCAAGCTGGTCTCAAACTCCTGACCTCAAGTGATCCTTCCGCTTCAGCCTCCCCAGGTGCTGGGATTACAGGCATGAGCCACCGCACCCAGCGGGGACAGGACAATTTTGCCAGCTGGAGAAGGGGTGGCCCCCAAATGTCCCCTTCACCACCCTCCTGCCTCTTCCTTCAGAACACTTTTTCCCTGAAGCCCTCCTGGGTAGCCCCCTACCCACATGCCTCAGCATTGGGATGTGGGGAGTGTGGGGGTCCCCCTTGCTCCTCAGCCCCATTTGGAGTAATGTCCTGTGCAGCTGAGCTCACAACTCCTCCTCCACCTGTCCCTCCACCCGGTGTCACTGGCAATTGCTCACTTCCTGGGCCTGCACCCACTCAGCTCCCCTATCCCTGGGCACCAGCCTCAGCCAGCTCCCATGTGGACTAATGACCCTTGTCCCTCCCCTCAGCTGCCTCTCTTTTTTCTTTTTTTTTGTTTTTGAGACAGAGTCTGGCTCTGTCACCCAGGCTGGAGTGCAGTGGCGCGATCTTGACTCATTGCAACCTCCACCTCCTGGGTTCAAGCGATTCTCGTGCCTCACCCTCCTGAATAGCTGGGATTACAGGCACCCGCCACCATGCCCGGCTGATTTTTGTATTTTGGTAGAGACGGGGTTTCACCATGTTGGCCAGGCTGGTCTCAAACTCCCGACCTCAGGTGATCCGCCCGCCTCAGCCTCCCAAAGTGCTGGGATTACAGGCATGAGGCAGCTCGCCCGGCAACCCTCAGCTGCCTCTCATATGTCCTTGGCCCCCTGGCCATCTCTGACCAGACATCCAGGAGGCCCCTCCTGCCAATATGCTTCCCCGACAGCTGAGCCCAAAGCTGCCTCCAGCCCTGCACCTTGTCTTGGTTCCCTGGGTGCTCCCTTTCCCAGGCTGAAGCCTGGACAGCCCCAGGCAACCTCTCTCCCTGGCCACAGTACCACCCGGCCACATGCCACACTGCTTTCTACAGCAGACACCGCCTGGCCACAAAGACTTAAGCCACTTCCTTGGGTCCTGCTCAGTGCTGAGCCCAGAGCCCAATCTCGGACTGGGAGAGAGCCCAGTACATGGCCAGTGGGATTCTCCCGATGAAAATCCCAGCCATGCGAGGCTGGCTTCTCCAGGTTCTCTGGGGCCTGTGAGTCCAGGGCTGGCTGGAGGGAAAGCCCCTGGCCCCTTAAAGCCACTGATCATGTTCCCAGAGAGGGATCCTGAGAATCCCCTGGGAGAGAAAATGTCGGAGCCCCAGTCCTGGCCCCCCCTTGACCGGCTTGGGCCTCAGCCTCCTCATCCATGAAAAGAATGGACAAGAGGGGTCTGGGTGCGGTGGCTCACGCCTGTAATCCCAGCACTTTGGGAGGCCGAGGCAGGTGGATCACGAGGTCAGGAGTTCAAGACCAGCCTGGTCAACATGGCAAAACCCTGTCTCTACTAAAAATACAAAAATTAGCCGGGTATGGTGGTGCACGCCTGTAGTTCCAGCTATTTAGGAGGCTGAGGCAGTAGGATCACTGGAACCTGAGAGGCAGAAGTTGCAGTGAGCTGAGATTGTGCCACGGCACTCCAGCCTGGGCAATAGAGCCAGACTCCATCTTAAAAAAAAAAAAAAAAGGAGGGACAAGAGGCACCAGAAGCTCCTGTCCAGGTCTGGGCCTCCCTTGGGTCACTCAGTTCTCCCCCATTCATTCATTCATTCATTCACTCACTCACTCACTCACTCACTCACTCATTCCCACACTCTGCAGCCACTGACTTCAGCTAGCCATGCTGGATGCTAAGACATAGAGTCCCGGCCATCAAGGCCAGTCCATCTCAGTGGCATCTAGACATGCACAGAGATGACCAGGGAGCCCTTGAGGGACAGAGAGGCACACCCTGCCTCCTGATCCCATCTGGGGGCTGCATGAAGGAGGGGCACAGGTGTGGCCTTGAAGGCTGGGTAAGGGGCTGGGAGGGCTTTAGGGGCATTCCAGGGGGCAGGCACAGAGCTGGAGGCTCTGCCAGGCACACCCACAGGAGAGCAATGGCTGGAGGGTGACATGGACTGCAGGGTGTGGCCGCGGCAGCCCAGCTCTTAAGGGGACAGCCTGGGAAAACAGACTTAGGGACAATGATCTTGAGCCATGAAATGATGTCCAATGCCCCTTGTGCCACCTGACATCAGCCTGATTAATGAACAAACAGAAGAGGAAGCAGGGGACCTGTGTGTCCCTCTCTCTGCTTTTCTGTCTTTCTCCGTGCCCCCTCTCTTATGTCTCTCACGCTGTCTCTTGTCCTTGTTTTTAACTCTGACACGCCGTGGGAACTCGGCTCACTTCCTAGGGGGAAGCTGTCTGGACTGGCCCAGAGATGGGCACCACCATTTCCCAATAAACACAAGATAAAATCAGAGAGCTGGCGTCAGTTCCACGGCTGGACTCAGTGGGGAAAAGGGCAAAAAGCAGCAGAAATAAGAGCAGGGAAAGAACGGGCTGGGTGCGATGGGTCCCATCTGTAATCCCAGCGCTTTGGGAGGCCTAGGTGGGAGGATCGCTTGAGCCCAGAAGTTCAAGACCAGCCTGGGCAACATACGGAGACCCCCATCTCTTAAAAAGTTTTAAAAATTAGCTGGGCATGGTAGTGTGCATCTGTGGTCCCAGCTACTCAGGAGGCCGAGGTGTGAGGATCGCTTGAGCCCAGGAGGTCGAGGCTGCAGTGAGCTATGATTGCATCACTGCACTCCAGCCCGGGCACAGAGCAAGACCCTGAGACCTTGTCAGAAAGAAATAAAGAGAGAAAGAGAGAGGAGAGGGAGAGGGAGAAAGAAAGGGAGAGAGAGAGAGAGAGAAAGATGAAAGAAAGAAAAAGAAAGCAAAGAAAGAAGGAAGGAAAGAAAGAGGAAAGAGGAAGGAAGGAAGGAGAGGGGAAGGAAGGAAGGAGAGGGGAAGGAAGGAAGGAGGGGAAGGAAGGAGAGAGGAAGGAAGGAGAGGGGAAGGAAGGAGGGGAAGGAAGGAGAGAGAAAGGAAGGAAGGAAGGAGGGAAGGGAAGGAAAGGGGAGGGGAGGAGAAGGAGAAAAGAAAGAAAGGAAAAAGAGCAAGTGGATATCAGGGGACAGAAACCATTCGCAGCCCATCCCTCAGCAGATGCAGAGGGAGTCAGCCTGGAACCCCCACCCCTGCTGGCTGTGCCCCACGGCTGTCTCCACACCCCAGCCCTTCCTCCAGACACCCAGCCGTCCACTGCAGCAGGAGCACAGGTGCCCCAAGGGGACCACTGTTGGAAACCAGGCAGCCCTCCACTCACCCACACAGTGTGTCTCTGCACCCCCTCTTTGACATGGGAGCCGGGGCGCTCTTGGAAATAAGGGTTTACCTGAGGGGTCTGAAGACTTGGGCAGTGGGGGGCTGTGAAGCCTCGGGGAGGGAATCAGCTTGTCCAAGAGTCTGGGGCAGCGAGTGGGCGGGGGCTACCCGGTCTGACCCCATCAAAGTAACCTTCCTGGGGGATATTTCCATTGCAGGGTCACAAAAAGGCAAGGGCTATGGTTCGAGAGAGGGGTCTCTCTGGGGTCCCAGCCACCCTGCTGTGGGGGCCCTTCCCAAGCAGGACACTCCAGGCAAAGGGGATGGCTTCCCCTTGCTCCCAGGACCCATAGGTGAGGTCCTGGCTGAAATGCAGACTGTCCCCAGATGCCCCTGGGGACTTGTAGGGATTTGGGGGATTCAGTGTTGCAGGAGCTGGAACCCCTGCTTGCTGGACGGGTTTGAGCTGTGCTGTCGGGCCCAAGGCTCCTGGGTCTCCAGGATGGTGCATGAGGGCTCACACCAGCTGCTCCCTGCCACCCTTCCCCCACCTCCCACCCCTTCTCCTGGAGCCCCAGTCCTCTGGTCCTCCAAGCTCAGCTTCAAATGCTTCCATCACTTCTGTCTCTTCTACCTTGAGTGGTTTGTCAACCTCCAAATCACACGGAGTTCAAGAATATCTCAAATATCGACCAGGTGCGGTGTCTCACACCTGTAATGCCAGCGCTTTGGGAGGCCGAGGCGGGTAGATCACCTGAGGTCAGGAGTTCGAGACCAGCCTGGCCAACTTGGTGAAACTCTGTCTCTACTAAAAATACAAAAATTAGCCGGGCGTGGTGGTGGGTGCCTGTAATCCCATCTACTTGGGAGGCTGAGGCAGGAGAATCTCTTGAACCAGAGAGGTGGAGATTGCAGTGAGCCAAGATTGTGCCACTGCACTCCAGCCTGGGCAACAGAGTGAGACTCTGTCTCAACAACAACAACAAAAAGAATATCTCGAATACAAAAATTAGCTGGCTGTGGTAGTTTACACCTGTAATCCCAGCTACTCAGGAGGCTGAGGCAGTAGAATCTCTTGAGCCTGGGTGACAGAGCAAGACGTCATCTCGAAAAAAAAAAAAAAGAGTATATCGAATACAAAGGAATATCTTGAATACAAAAATTAGCTGGGCATGGTGGCACACGCCTGTAATCCTAGCTACTCAAGAGGTTGAGACAGGAGAATCGCTTGAATCCAGGTGTTGGAGGTTGCACTGAGCTGAGATTGCGCCACTGCACTCCAGCCTGGGTGACAAAGCGAGACTGTGTCTCAAAAAATAAAAAAATACAAAATTAAAAGAAAGATTATCTCCTGGCCACCCATGGTGCAGGCTGTAATCTGTCTCTGCTGGGGTGAAGGGACGGAGGGAGACAGGTGAGAAATGAGAACACAGACCTGGAGACTCAGACCACCCATGCCAGCTACCCAGGTCACTTCAGCCCAGCCCAGGGAGCCCCTGCCCAGCACAAGCCTCATGCACAGTAGCAGTGTTAAGATGGGCCCTTGGGCCGGGTGCAGTGGCTCACACCTGTAATCCCAGCACTTTGGGAAGCTGAGGTGGGTGGATCACTTGAGGTCAGGAGTTCGAGACCAGCCTGGCCAACATGGCGAAACCCTCGTCTCTACTAAATATACAAAAATTAACTGGGCGTGGTGGTGAGTGCCTGTAATCCCAGCTATTCGGGAGCCTGAGGCAGGGGAATTGCTTGAACTCGGGAGGCGGAGGTTGCAGTGAGCTGAGATCGCACCACTGTACGACAGAGCAAGACTCCATCTCAAAAAAACAATAAAAAGAATTGCTGGAGGAGGGAAGTGAGGGGCGGCTGGCGGGGGACTGCTGGGCTGGTGCAGAGGGAGTCAAGGATCCCTAAGAGAGAGGCAGGGGTGTTCAGCTCTCCCACCTCTGCTGGATGAACTTGCAGAGCCTCCTTGGTGACTGAGCTGGTGCAGAGACTCTGCTCAGGACAACACCCTTGCCTGGGACCCCCACATCTCTGGCCCCAGCAGCAGCCCTTGGGGGGGTCCCTTTATCTTCCTCCACTCCTACCCAGGCTTCCTCAGCAGGAGATGAGGCAGGATATTTCCACTCCCTTTCTGGAAGGTTCAGAATGTTAATGAGAGCTAAGCACGTAAGTCCATTTAGGGGGATGAACTTCTGGGAAGAGAGGAACCTGGGTCTGGGCTGACGGCCAAGGGCGGGCTGGGTGACGGTCCCTCTGATCACGGAGCCTGTCCACCCGCTGCCCAGGGCCCTGCCTCGACCCCTCTGACCAGCCACTGAGCCCCAGAGGGATCTCCATGAATGTCAGAGACATTGACTGGAGGCCTTATCTCCAGTGGGAGACCCCTTCTCTTCCCACCGTGGGCCGGTTCCAGCCTGGGCTGTCCAGGAAGTGACCTCTCAGGGCCTGGGAAGGGTGTGGCCAATGGTTCTTGGTTGTACTCAACTCATCTGCCTTGGGTCTAAGGCTGGGGTGAATGGAAGGGCCCACCTGGACCCTGGAGGGACACCAGGCTCGTACTAAGATCCCAAAAAGTGAAAAGCTTTCCTCAGGCCCAAGCAGAGAAACTGGACCTTGAAGCTACATCTCTGGACTTAGTCCTCAAAGTAGGAGACATTTGCCTCTAAGCTGTTCTCTCCTACCCCACCTTTCTGTGAGCCGCCGGTTCCCTGTTGTTCACATCAAGCTGTGTGCTGGGCACTGGGTGCAGGAATAGCTTGACCACAGTCTCTATCCTGGGGGTAAAGGGGTGGCCAGCCCACAGAGGGATGGACTGCAAACAGACAGTCCCAAAGTGCCATGAGAGAAGCTCTCAGGGCCTGGGCGTGATGGTTCATGCCTGGAATCCCAGCACTTTGGGAGGCCGAGGTGGGTGGATCAGTTGAGGTCAGGAGTTCGAGACCAGCCTGGCCAATAAGGTGAAACTCCATCTCTACTAAAAATAAATAAATAAATAAATAAATAAATAAATAATACAAAAATTAGCCGGGCATGGTGGCACGCACCTGTAAACCCAGCTACTTGGGAGGCTGAGGCAGGAGAATCACTTGAACCCCAGAGGCAGAGGCTGAAGTGAGCCAAGATTGCGTCACTGCATTCCAGCCTGGGTGACAGAGCGAGACTCCATCTCAAAAAAAAAAAGAAAAAAAAAAGAGAGAGAGAGACAGAGAGAGGCTCTCAGCCTGCAGGAAAGGGCTCTCTCCTTGTTGGCCAACCCAGTGGGCCCTTTAGCTGTGACGGGTGTGCCCTGGGCCCACCAGGACAGGAGCAAGGTCAGGAGGGCTGCTCTGCTCTGCAAAACAGAGGCTGATGGATCTGAAGTTTCTGTTACTGGGAGAATAAAGGGAGGTGAAGGAGACACGTGGTAGGTCCCCTGGGAAGGTGGTGGGAACGCGTGTGAAATGCTCGGAGAGGCACAGTAAGAACCGGCCTGTTTAGAATCCAGTGTTCTACGCCTGCCCCAGGCCCCAGCAATTCTGCTTCTAGACATCTCCCCATGAGAAATGAGCACTGAGCCTCCCAAACATGTCTTTTGGGAGGCCAAGGGGAGCGGATCACTTGAGGTCAGGAGTTCGAGAGCAGCCTGGCCAACAGGGTGAAACCCTGTCTCTACTAAAATGACAAAATTAGCTGGGCGTGGTGGCAGGCGTCTGTAATCCCAGCTACTCAGGAAGCTGAGGCAGGGAGAATTGCTTGAACCTGGGAGGCAGAGGTTGCAGTGAGCTGAGATGACGCCACTGCACTCTAGCCTGGGCGACAGAGCGAGACTCCGTCTCAAAAAAATAAAATAAAATAAATAACAGCCAGAGAGAGGCAGCCCTGTGCCCCATCCAGAGCAGAGAGGAATGTCAGGGGGTAGTGATTGGTGGTGAACAGTAGGGTCTGGCACAGGGAAAACACATCAGTGGCAGAGCCAGTTGTTATAGGGGTAGGGGGAGATACAAGGAAGGTCCAAGCCCAGGGCCTGGGGGTGGCCTGGGCACATGCTGAGGGTTCTCTCCTGCAGGACAGCCACAGTGTGGAAGACCCTGTGCCCCTTCTGGGGTGAGGAGTACCAAGTGCACCTGCCGCCCACCTTCCACGCTGTGGCTTTCTACGTCATGGATGAGGATGCCCTCAGGTGAGTGCCCCCCTCTCCAGCTGGGACCCAGACCTGGCCATCTGATTGCTCCCTGGCCCATTTCACCACCAGGACTCCTGGGTCCTTTTTGGCATCCTCTTTGCAGCCTGGAGGGAGGCAGAGCCTGGGGGCCTGGGAGGGCGAAAGGCTTGAGCATGTGGGTGTGCACATGCGTGGCTCCATGGTGCATGCACCACATACACACGTGTGTGTGCAGGCATGCGGGCACAAGTGTGCATGGACTACACGTGTGCGTGCAGGTGTGAGCTGTGAGATGGGCACCCAGAGAGTGTGAGCTTGGCATGTGTGGGCATGTGAGAAACCTATCACATCCCCCTAGAGGGTCCAGAACCCACAGCCTACAGAAGGGCCACAGGTCCAGCTCTGTTGGGTTACTCTGGAAATGACATCGGTGTCCACCACCCTGCTCCCCCCGGGGGGGCCCTGAACTTGGTGGGAGGTCCCAGAGGGCAGATACTGAAGCCCTGCCCAGCTCTGCCTCCATCTCCCTCCTCTAGCCGGGACGACGTTATCGGAAAGGTCTGCCTTACAAGGGACACCATAGCTTCTCACCCTAAGGGTAAGTTCTCCCTTCCCTCCCGCACTGGTCTGCCCAGTCCCTGGCCTCCCTCCCACTCAGAGACCTCCCCTCTAGGCTCCGTCTGGTCTCCTGCTCAGGGAAAGCCATTTCTACTCTCCCCAGAAGCCGGGGCCACGTTCTGTACTCCTGGCCTCTGTTCTGCAGCATGTTCCCAAGCCTGGTTGTTACTGCCTCTTCCCTAGGGTGAAGAGGGGCTGCTATGGGTGGAATCTGAGGCCTCTGCTGGCAGAAGAAGGGGCCTCCTTACACTCTATTGCTGAAGCATAGGGACCCCTTCTCCAAATCAGGCCAGCTCCTTCTGTAACCCATGGGGTCTCCTCCATCTGGGCCCTAGTACTACTGTGTCCTAAGTCTGAAGGGTTGGCCTAGAGCCAGTCCAGGCTGGAGATCCCTTTCAATTATTTCTGGGATGCAGACATTGTTTTGTGTTATTGTTTTTACAATTTTTATATAGTTTTTTAAAAAAAGAAAAGGCCGGGCACGGTGGCTCACACCTGTAATCCCAGCACTTTGGGAGGCCGAGACGGGTGGATCACGAGGTCAGGAGATCGAGACCATCCTGGCTAACATGGTGAAACCCCGTCTCTACTAAAAATACAAAAAAATTAGCTGGGCTTGGTGGCAGGCACCTGTAGTCCTAGCTACTTGGCAGGCTGAAGCAGGAGAATGGCGTGAACCCGGGAGGCAGAGCTTGCAGTAAGCCGAGATCGCGCCACTGCACTCCAGCCTCAGCAACGGAGCAAGACTACACCTCAAAAATAAATAAATAAATGAATAAAAAATAAAAATAAAAAATAAAATAGAGGCCGGGTGCAGTGGCTCACACCTATAATCCCAGCACTTTGGGAGGCCGAGGCAGGTGGATCACCTGAGGTCAGGAGTTCAAGACCAGCCTGGCCAACATGGCAAAACTCTGTCTCTACTAAAAATACAAAAAATTAGCTGGACGTGGTGGTGGGCACCTGTAATCCCAGCTACTCAGGCGGCTGTGGCAGGAGAATCGCTTGAATCCAGGAGGCGGAGGTTGCAGTGAGTCAAAATCACGCCATTGCACTCCAACCTGGATGACAGAGCAAGCTCCATCTCCAAAAGAAAAACAAAGATGGAGGCCGGGCATGGTGGCTCACACCTGTAATCCCAGTGGCAATTCACTTGAGATTAGGAGTTCAAGACCAGCCTCGTCAACATGGTGAAACCCTGTCTCTACTAAAAATATAAAAATTACCTGGGCATGGTGGCACTCACCTGTAATCCCAGCTACTAGGGAGGCTGAGACAGGAAAATCTCTTGAACCTGGGAGGCAGAGGTTGCAGTGAGCCAAGATTGCGCCATTGCACTCCAGCCTAGGTGACAGAGCAAGACTCTGTCTCAAAAAAAAAAAAAAAAATGGAGATGGGGGGTCTCACTCTGTTGCCCAGGCTGGTCTTGAACTCCTGGCTTTGACAGATCCTCCCGCCTTGGCCTCCCCAAGGTGCTAGGATTACAGGTGTGAACCACCATGCTCTGCCAGACATGATTTTGAGGGTTCAGCCCTGTGCCAGCCTCACTGTGTGTGACCTTGGGCAGCTCTTGCCTTCTCTGGGCTTCTCTGAGGGTTCAAACCAGTTCTTGGATGCTATGGGCTCTGCCATCAGAGCCTTTGTGTCCCGCTTACTGGCTTGCCCCCACACACACCTGCTCCTGTCTGTGACGCTGGGCCAGGGATGGGGGCAGGGCGGAGGCAGGTTCTGCTGACTCATGGGGCTTCTTGGCCCCTGCCAGGCCAAAGGCCTTTCCCACCTGCAGCCTTAGCCAGCGTCTCTGGGGTCTAGTGGCCCCAGTGAGGCTATTCCTCCGGGTGCCTTGTAGCTTCCCCATCCAGGCCTCAGACCCTCCTCCCAGCAGCCCTAGGGGAGGGCCACTCTCTTCCTGTTTTAAGATGGGGAATCTGGCTGGGTACAGCGGCCCACACTTATAATCCCAGCACCTTAGGAGGCTGAGGTGGGAGGATGGCTTGAGGTCAGGAGTTTGAGACCAGCCTGAGCAACATAGCAAGACTCCATCTTTTTTTTTTTTTTGAGATGGGGTCTTGCTCTGTCACCCAGTCTGGAGTGCAATGGCGCAATCTTGTAGCTTCTCCATCTGGGCCTCAGACCCTCCTCCCAGCAGCCCTAGGGGAGGGCCACTCTCTTCCCGTTTTAAGATGGGGAATCTGGCTGGGTACAGCGGCCCACGCTCATAATCCCAGCACCTTGGGAGGCTGAGGTGGGAGGATTGCTTGAGGTCAGGAGTTTGAGACCAGCCTGAGCAACATAGCAAGACTCCATCTTTTTTTTTTTTTTTTTTTTTTTTTTTTTGAGATGGGGTCTTGCTCTGTCACCCAGTCTGGAGTGCAATGGTGCGATCTGAGTTCAAGTAATTCTCCTGCCTCAGCCTCCTGAGGAGCTGGGATTACAGGCATGCGCCACCACACCTGGCTCACAGGGTGAGACCCTGTCTCTAAAAACAACAACGACAAAAATGACACAATAGTGAGGGCACAGGCCCCAGGTCACTGACTTAGATTCTAATCCCAGCTCTTCCAACTGCTGTTTCTTCACCTGCTGAGCCTCAGTTTCCCCATCTGTCATTGGGGATACCAGCCCCTGCTTCACGGGTGCCTAGGGGATTCCCAGGAGATTATGGAGGTGCCTCAAGGTGCCTGGTAGGGCTGAGGGTGGAGGGTATGGGGGTTCAGGGCCGTGTCCCTGGCTGAGCTGACCCCACAGGTTTCAGCGGGTGGGCCCACCTGACGGAGGTTGACCCTGATGAGGAGGTGCAGGGCGAGATCCACCTGCGGCTGGAAGTGCGCCCAGGGGCCCGGGCCTGCCAGCTACGCTGCTCTGTGCTGGAGGCCAGGTGAGACTCAGGGGCCTGGGGGCGGGCAGTGGGTCCCCTGCAACTAGAGAAACCCAATGAGGAAGCTGAGCCCCCCCTCGCCCCACCTCTACCTCCTGGTCCCAGAGCTGGCCACCTCCCATCAAAGCCTGCTCTCAAGAGAGGGTCTCGCCAGGCACAGTGTCTCACACCTGTAATCCCAGCACTTTAGGAGGCCGAGGCAGGTGGTTCACCTGAGGCCAGGAGTTCAAGACCAGCCTGACCACCATGGTGAGACCCTGTCTCTACTAAAAATACAACAATTAGCCGGGCATGGTGGCAGGCGCCTGTAATCTCAGCTACTCAGGAGGCTGAGGCAGGAGTCTTGAACCCAGGAGGCAGAGGTTGCAGTGAGCCGAGATGGCGCCACTGCACTCCAGCCTGGGTGACAAGCGAGACTGCATCTCAAAAAAAAAAAAAAAAAAGAAAGAAAAAAGAGAGGGTCTGGGGAGGTTTTCTGGACTTGAAGATGCTTCTTGGGTGATTTCCACTCAAGGGGATATGTCCCTTAAGGGACAGTCTAATGTTCTCATGGAGGAACTGGAGCCATCACAGAGGAGTGGAGTAGGGGGTACGGGTGAGGAGACCCCGAACTCTGATCACACAGCCTCAGTCCCCCAGTGCTAAGGCCGGCTTCCTTATGTTTAACGCCAGTGTGAACTTGGCCTGGTGGGAGTGTGTGTAAGTGGGTCCCTCGTGGGGCTGGGGGGGTGAAAAGAGTTGCTGAAAATCTCCCGATGGGCAAATTGAGGGTTCCCCCAAGGAGGGACAGTGGTTTGGATGGTTCCATGGGCCTGAGTCACCTGTGACAGGGCCACCCCCCAACCCCCAGGGTATTTTTAGCTGCAGGCTGCACTCCCGTCTGGGCCTGGGTCTGAGTCACACTCTGTCCGTGAGAAGCGTCTTCCCTTCCAGCTCCAAACCCACCTCCCCAAGTTGCTCCCTGCCTGTGAGGCAGGAGGGTGGCCCCCAGCCAGGCAGCCCTATGGAGCCAGTGTTCCCCCCACCCTTGAGGGGTCAGCCTGTCTAAGAGGAAGACTTCCCTTGGGCAGAGGGGTGTGGGTCGGATGATGCCCATGTTGCTCACTCTGGCTTCCCGGGAGTTATTTTCTGTCCTGGGAAAATAGAAATGGATGGAAAATGTCTGGGCTTGGGCCGAGCCTCAGCCACGCCCCCACACTCGCTCACTCTCTGGCCCTGCCATTCATTCCCCCCCGCCCCACCCCAACTCACCTGCTTCTTCCATCCTTATCCTTTCTGGGCACCAGGCTGTCTGGGGGACAGGCATGCACACGTGTGCACCCGCTCACACACGTGGCCGGGCTCTGGGACCTCGGGGCCACTTCTCCCAGGCACCCATCGTCACCCACGGAGATGGGAGGCATGGAAGCATGTCTCCCTGGCCCTCCCCTCTCTCCAGGAATCTCCCCTCTCCCATCCTCTGGGGCCACAGTGGTTGGCCTTCTAGTGAGTCCTAGCAGGGGAGAGGAATGTCCAGGCCTCTCTCAGAGTGAGGGGACTTGTCCCCCGTTGTCCTCGGCAATGAGACTCCTGCTGCAATTCCAAGTCAGCCTAAGAAGGTCCATTTGCTGCAGAGGAAGAAAGAACATTTCCTCCTTATTTTTTCTGGGGAGATTCTCAATATTTCAGTAAAACCTTGGGGTTTTTTTGTTTTTTGTTTTTGAGACAATCTCGCTCCATCATCCAGGCTGGAGTGCAGTGGCCCGATCTCAGCTCACTGCAACCTCCACCTTCTGGGTTCAAGCAATTCTCCTGCCTCAGCCTCCCTAGTAGCTGGGATTACAGGTGTGCACCACCACGCCTGGCTAATTTTTTGTAGTTTTAGTAGAGACGAGACTTCACTATGTTGGCTAGGCTGGTCTCAAACTCCTGACCTCAGGTGATCTGCCTGCCTCGGCCTCCCAAAGTACTGGGATTACAGGCGTGAGCCACTGCACCCGGGCTGTTTTTTTTTTTGGTGTTTTTTTTTTTTTTGAGGCAGTCTGGCTCTGTCGCCCAGGCTGGAGTGCAGTGGCGTTTTCTTGGCTCACTGCAACCTCTGCCTCCCCAGGTTCAAGCAATTCTCCTGCCTCAGCCTCCTTCCCAAAGTGCTGGGATTATAGGAATGAGCCGCTGCACCCAGCCTCAATGTTGGGGGGTTTTATTAGACAGTCTTGAGGGGGAAGAAAGGCAGGTATGAGAGGCTTAAAATATCGAAGATGAGTGGGCTTTGGTGTTCTTCCACAAAGAGTTCTAAGTAGGGGATACTGGCAGGGTGCAGCGGCTCACTCCAGTAATCCCAGTGCTTTGGGAAGCAGAGGTGGGAGGATCTCTTGAGGCCCGGATTTCGAGACCAGCCTGGGCAACAGCAAGATCCAGTCTCTACAAAAAAATTTAAAAATTAGCCAGGTGTGGTGGGGCACACCTATAGTGCCAACTACTTGGGAGGCTGACGTGGGAGGATTGCTTGAGCCCAGGAGGTGGAGGCTGCAGTGAGCTATGATTGCATCACTGTACTCCAGCCTGAGCAACAGAGCAAGACCCTGTTTAAAAAAAAAAAGAAAAGAATAAAAGGGCCAGGCGCGGTGGCTCACGCCTGTAATCCCAGCACTTTGGGAGGCCAAGGCAGGCGGATCACCTGAGGTCAGGAGTTTGAGGGCAGCCTGGCCAACCTGGTGAAACCCTGTCTCTACTAAAAATACGAAAATTAGCTGGGCGTAGCGGCAGGCCCCTGAAATCCCAGCTACTTGGGAGGCTGAGGCAGGAGAATCACTTGAACCCAGAAGGCGGAGGTTGCAGTGAGCTGAGATCGTGCCACTGCACTCCAGCCTGGGCGACAGAGCAAGACTGTTTCAAAAACAAAACAAAACAAACAAAACAAAAACATATGTGTGCAGGTATCTTTTTTGTATAATGACTTCTCCTCTGGGTAGATATCCAGTAGTGGGATTGCTGAATCAAATGGTAGTTCTACTTTTAGTTAGTTAAGGAATCTCCGCTGTTTTCCATAGTGGTTGTACTAGTTCACATTCCCACCAGCAGTGTAGAGGTATTCCCTGTTCACCACATCCTCATAGTCAGTACTGTTCTGCTGTGTGGCCTCGGATACATCTTTTCCCCACCCTGGGCCTCAGTTCTCCCCATCTGAGAAATGGGTGGGAGCTTGGACAGGACATTTTAACCTCTGCTGTGGCAGAACCTCCAAGGCGAGGAGGCTGTGGGGAACCCAGGGGAGGTGTCTAGGGCAGCTCTGCCTTTTGCCCAGCCTGGGGAGTCCAGTGGCATCAGCCTAACCCCCTCCCACCCTCCTCTGGGCAGATCATGAAGAAGTCATGCTACCCACGCTGGAATGAGACGTTTGAATTTGAGCTGCAGGAGGGGGCCGTGGAGGCGCTGTGCGTGGAGGCCTGGGACTGGGACCTTGTCAGCCGAAACGACTTCCTGGGCAAAGTGAGCACCACCGCCCCGCCCCCCCTCCTCCCCCGGCAGGCTGCACCTGCTGTCCCCCAGCACCTGGCTCCATTGCAGCCATCCCATCCTCAGGGACCTCCTTCTGGCTTCCCCAAAGAGGGACACTCAGGAAGCCTGGGACTACCCCCCCACCTCCACCGTCTGCCAGAACCAGCAACTTCCCCCCACCACCACTGGCACTCAGGGACCCTTGGAAGAGGCCCCTCCCCACTAAGAACAGTAGTTGGCAAGGAGGAGACCTAAGTCTCCCAGCTCCAGGAAAACTGCCACTATGTCCCCAGGTGGTGATCGATGTCCAGAGACTGCGGGTGGCGCAGCAGGAGGAGGGCTGGTTCCGGCTGCAGCCCGACCAGTCCAAGAGCCGGCAGCATGACGAGTAAGTGCATGGAGCTGGGCAGCCGGCCTCAAGGGGTGGGGTGGGGGCTGACATTTGGGAATTGGCTACAGGCAGGCAGGGCAGGGGGGCTGCTCAGGGGTGAGAGGTCAGGAGACACAGCTCCAGGGTCCCCTCAGCCCCTGCCCACCTAGCCAGCATCCTTCTCATCCCGGCTGGGCTCCACCTCCCCTTTATTTATTATTTATTTATTTATTTATTTATTTATTTATTTATTTATTTATTTATTTTGAGATGGAGTCTCACTCTGTCCCCAGGCTGGAGTGCAATGGCGTGATCTCGACTCACTGCAGGCTCTGCCTCCCAGGTTCACGCCATTCTCCTGCCTCAGCCTCCCAAGTAGCTGGGACTACAGGCACCCGCCACTGCGCCTGGCTAATGTTTTGCATTTTTAGTAGAGACAGGGTTTCACCATGTTAGCCAGGATGGTCTCGATCTCCTGACCTGGTGATCCACCTGCCTCGGCCTCCCCAAGTACTGGGATTACAGGCATGAGCCACCGCGCCCGGCCCCTCCCCTTTATTTTTCCCCACAGTTCTGCATTCAGCTCAGCTCTGTCTTCTGTCTTTTTTTTTTTTTTTTTTTTTTTTTTGAGATGGAGTCTTGCTCTGTCACCCAGGCTGGAGTGCAGCGGCACAATCTTGGCTCACTGCAACCTCCACCTCCTGGGTTCCAGTGATCCTCCTGCCTCAACCTCCTGATTAGTTGGGATTACAACTGTGTGCCACCATGCTCGGCTAATTTTTGTATTTTTAGTAGAGACAGGGTTTCACCATGTTGGCCAAGTTGGTCTCGAACACCTGACCTCAAGTGATCCACCCGCCTCAGCCTGCCAAAGTGCTAGGATTACAGGCATGGGCCACCAAACCCGGCCAGGTCTGTCTTCTTAGCTCACAGGTTGTACAGGTCTCCTGCTTTCTGCCTCTGGAAGTTTCTGAAACAAGTACTCAGACATTTTCCCTTTGAAAATTTCCCTGCAGACCTCAGACCAGGGTTCAAGTCTCCAAGGTCAGTGTCCCTGAGCCATAGCTCCAACTCCCTATGCCAGATTCTCCAGGAATAGGGTTGTGAGATAAGATAGGACACCGTTGGCCAGGAGCGGTGGCTCATGCCTGTAATCCCAGCTCTTTGGGAGGCCAAGGTGGGAGGATCACTTGGGGCAAGGAGTTTGAGACCAGCCTGGGCAAGAAAGTGAGACTCTGTCTCTACAAAGAAATAAAAATTAGGCCAGGCTCGGTGGCTCACGCCTGTAATCCCAGCACTTTGGGAGGTCGAGGTGGGCGGATCACCTGAGGTCAGGAGTTTGAGACCAGCCTGGCCAGATGGCGGGCGCCTGTAATCCCAGCTACTCGGGAGGCTGAGGCAGGCAGAATTGCTTGAACCCCGGAGGCAGAGGTTGTAGTGAGCCAAGATTGCGCCATTGCACTCTAGCCTGGGTGACAAAGCTAGACTCTGTCTCAAAAAAAAAAAAAAAGAACACCCAGTTAAAACTTAATTTCAGATAAACAGTGAATAATTTTTTTTTTTTTTTTTTTTTGAGCAGCATCTCACTCTGTCACCTAGGCTGGATGGAGTGCAGTGGCATGGTCTTGGCTCACTGCAACCTCTGCCTCCCAGGTTCAAGCAATTCTCATGCCTCAGCCTCCCGAGTAGCTGGGATTACAGGCATGCACCTGTACCACCAGTGCAGTGGTGATCATAGCTCACTGTAGACTCCACCTCCTGGGTGCAAGCAATCCTCCCACCTCAACGTTCCGGGTAGCTAGGACCACCTCACCTGGCTAATTTTTTGTAGTTTTAGTAGAGATGGGGTTTCACCGTGATGGCCGGGCTTGATGTTGAACTCCTGACCTGTGCCCGGCTGTGAATACTTTTTTAGTATAAGAATAACCGCTGGGCGTGGTGACTCACACCTGTAATCCCAACACTTTGGGAGTTTGAGGCGGGTGGATCACTTGAGGTCAAGAGTTCGAGACCAGCCTGGCCAACATGGTGAAACACCGTCTCTACTAAAAGTACAAAAAATGGTGGTGGGCACCTGTAATCCAAGCTACTTGGGAGGCTGAAGCAGGATAATTGCTTGAACCCAGGAGATGGAGGTTGCAGTGAGCCGAGATCCCACCACTGCACTCCAGCCTCTGTGACAAGAGCGAAACTCCGTCTCAAGAAAACAGCTGGGTGCGGTGGCTCATGCCTGTAATCTCAGCACTTTGGGTGGCCGAGGCGGGTGGATCATGAGATCAGGAGTTCAAGACCAGCCTGGCCAACATGGTGAGGCTCTACTAAAAATACAAAAATTACCCGGATGTGGTGGCGGGCACCTCTAATCTCAGCTACTTGGGAGGCTGAGGATGGAGAATTGCTTGAATCTGGGAGGTGGAGGCTGCAGTGAGCCGAGATCGTGCCACTGCACTCCAGCCTGGGTGACAGAGCAGGACTCCATCTCAGCAAAAAAAATAAATAAATAAAGAAGAAGAATGACCATGCACTATTTGAGACATACCTATACTAAAAATATTCAAATTTAGGCCGGGTATGGTGGCGCATGCCTATAATCTCAGCACTTTGGGAGGCCAAGGCAGGAGGATCACTTGAGCCCAGGAGTTCAAGACCAGCCTGGGCAACATAGCAAGACCCCATCTCTAAAAAAAAAAAATAAGTAAATAAAATATTCACATTTAACTGGGTGTCTTGGGTCGTTTTGCTAAATCTGGCAGCCTGTCTAGGAAGCCCTCTGGCTTGTTTGCTGTGGCCCACAGCCCTCAATGGTTCAGCTTTGTGTCTCTGTGGAAGGCCCCAGACCCCCACTCCCCCAGTTCCCATCCTTAACAGGGTAGGAGCAGGTGGACGGCTGTGTGTCCAGCACAAGGTGTTTCCATAGAACCAGCCAAGGCCCATCTTGCCATCTTATTTTTTATTTATTTATTTTTTTTGAGACAGAGTCAGGCTGGAGTGCAGTGGTGCAATCCTGGCTCACTGCAACCTCTGCTTCCTGGGTTGAAGCGCTTCTCCTGCCTCAGTCTCCCGAGTAGCTGCGATTACAGGCACCTGCCACAATGCCTGGCTAATTTATATATATATATTTTAATAGAGATGGGGTTTTGCCGTGTCAGCCAGGCTGGTCTTGAACTCATGACCTCAAGTGATCTGCCTGCCTTGGCCTCCCAAAGTTCTGGGATTACAGGCATGAGCCACTGCGCCAGGCCCAGGGGCCCATCTTAACACTGCTCTGTGCATGAGGCTCGTGCTGAGCACGGGCAGTGGGAGCCTTAGAGGCTCCCACTTGGTCCACACCCTCCTCTGTTCTGAACTTCCCTATCAGAACAGGGAAGCTGGGAAGCTCAATCTAATGTGGCAAGTTGCTGAACTGGCTCGGGTCTCAGTTTCCCTATTAGGTTGTTATGAGGGTTGGGGATTTGCTTCTGCTGTAAAGTGTACCCATGATGGTGCCATTATCTGGGAGTTGATAGATTCAAGGCTGGCAGCTCCACATACCCAAGCTTGGAGGTGGCAGGGAGCCACACCTCGAAGACAGATAGAGGTGCCTTGAGTGCAGAGACAGGAAGGGCTTTCCAAAAACAGAAAATAAATAGCCCGGGCAGAGCCTGGGAGGCAGAGCTGTGCAGGGCACCCGGATGGAGGGCATGAGCAGAGAGATGGGAGGCTGGCCCCAAGGGAAAAAACTGGAGGCCATGGGAGCGGTGTGGTCCAGGGTGGCCTGAGTCCCTGGTGGAGAGGTCACAGGCTGCCCATTCCAGGGGCAACCTGGGCTCCTTGCAGCTGGAGGTGCGGCTGCGGGACGAGACGGTGCTGCCCTCCAGCTACTACCAGCCACTGGTGCACCTGCTGTGCCACGAGGTCAAGCTGGGCATGCAGGTGAGGGGACCTGGGCAGGGTGGGAGGGTCCAGTGGCAGTAGGCCTGTGCGCCTGTCCTTCCAAACCCATTCTGCAGAGCAGAAACCTGAGGTCTGGGGATGTGAGGAGCTGGCCAGTGTCCAGGGCCCCATCCCCAGCCACCCCTTGGGAAAATGTCCTCTTTCCCTGGGATGCTCTGAGGTCCTCAGAGGGAAAGGTTCGGGATCCCCCGTGCCTCTCCCTGCAGGGCCCAGGGCAGCTGATCCCACTCATCGAGGAGACAACCAGCACCGAGTGTCGCCAGGACGTGGCCACGAACCTGCTCAAGCTCTTCCTGGGGCAGGGGCTGGCCAAGGACTTCCTGGACCTGCTCTTCCAGCTGGAGCTGAGTCGCACCAGTGAGGCCTGGGAAGGAGCTGGGCCCAGAACGCTGGGAGGTGTTTGGGGGTGGGTGGGCTCCTCCTGTAGGAGGCAGATGGGGTCAGACAGGAGGGAGGCAAGGAACAGAGCCAAGGGCAGAGGTGGGACAGTGGGCTGGGAGGTGGCGAGGAGGCCCTTTATTGAGGGGCCAGCTTAGATCCCCCAGCCCCAAGGTCCTCTGTCCTCCCCCTCCCCCAAAAGCTTTGTCCCAGCCCCCTACCCACTGGGACCTCTGTTTGTAGTCAGAGTTTGTTTGGCTACTTCCTTTGCAACCCCCACCCCCAACCTTTTTCTGCATGGTAGATGAAAAATTGAAAGTACCTCTGATTGGTCCCTTTCCACAACCAATGAGGCTGGTCATGGGCCAAGTCTTCATTTGCATAGGAGTATAACTTTGTAACTTCACTTCAGCCTTTTCCCAATCAATCAGAGATTTGCATAGGGTGTAACTTTGAAACTTGCTTCAGCCTCTGATAGGTCCCCTCCCTCAACCAATCAGACTGATTGTGGGCACTACTTCATTTACAAGGGTGTACATCAAGTAACCAATGGGAAACCTCTAGAGGATATTTAACCCCCAAAAAATTCGGTAACCAGGCTCTTGAACCACTTGCTCAAGCCACTCCCACCCTGTGAAGTGTACCTTCATTTTCAATAAATCTCTGCTTTTGTTGCCTCATTCTTTCCTTGCTTTCTTTGTGCATTTTGTCCAATTCTTTGTTCATGACACCAAGAACCTGGACACCCTTCTCGGGTAACAAACCCACTTCTAAAATAATGGCATTAATCCATTCATGAGAGCCTCAGCACCTCCCACCTCCCACCACTCAACACCATCACACTGGAGATCAAGCCTCTAAGATATGAACTTTGGTGGACACATTTGAACCACTGCCTTGTCTTACAGGCAGAAGCTCTGACATTTCTGAGAGGAAAACAGTTACTTCATCCTGACCTGGAGAAGTCTCAAGTTGTGGCAAAATATCTCTTCTCCTTAGCAGTCCAGTCTGCAGTCTTCACCCCTCCTTTGAATTCGTCCTGGATCTTCTTTTCAATCTTTTCTCTTTTCCACAGTGCAGGTCTCCCTACTTCTCTACTTTGACTTCACTACTGTTTACATTAGAAAAAGTGAATTTACATAAATAGAGGCTCTCCAGATCTCCTAATTTTCAGTCTTTTCCCCCCTTACTTCAGTAACATCTCTGCTTGTTTTTCCTTCAGACCAGACCCTCAGGTGACTTTCTGCCCCCTCATCCCTCTGCCCCCAGTCTCCATATTCTAGAGGAGTTTGGCCATCAGTCTTATGGTACTTATACCGTCTTCTCTTTGGTGAACATACCTTTTTTTCTCTTCTTTGTCTGGGAATACTCCTATTTAATCACCTTCTAGTTGTCAGGTTCCTTCACCCGTTTGGCCACCAGTCCCAGGTGGAAGCCCTAGGAGGTCTGGGAGCACTTTTCAAATTTTAGTCTACCTGAGGAGAAGCTACCCTTACCTGAAACCAGGTTGTGCAGGCCAAAGAAGCAGGTCTCTGTGTTCTGGAATTAGATCAGCTCAGTGAGGTGACCAAGCTCCATGTAGAGAAGACTATAAGGAGGAGTCTCTAGTGGTGAGAAGTTTGAGGGAGCATGATACTGCTTCCTGTTGCAGTGTATGGAAACCTGTTTCAGCTTGATAGGCCAGGGAAAGCCTTAGAGGAGGTAACTAACCCTGGAGCAGAGACTGGGTTCTGAGGTAGGAGCCAGCTTAATTGGTCTGAGAAGTGGGACACAGGGAGAAGGAGAGGCCAAGGGAAGGGCTTTGGGTTTTATTCTATGTGTAATGGAAACCCTGATGGGTTTTAAAGAGGAGAGGATGTGGCCTGCCCTATGTAGACCCCCTCGCCCTTATCCCTCTCATGCTCCCATTTTTCTTGTTTAAGTTTCCTGTTGGCTGTCCTGTAACCACTCAATGGGTTCTTCTTTCCTGTTGCTCAGATACAGCTGATCTATCAAGATCAGAGAAAGAGTATAATACACATAGAGCCAGCTAAATGGGAGACTAGAGTTTTATTATTACTCAAATCAGCCTCCCCGAAAATTTGGAGGCTAAGATTTTTAAAGAATAGTTTGGCAGGCAGGGGGCTAGGGAATGGGTGCTGCTAATTGGTTTGGGGTGCAGTCATAGGGCTGTGGAAAATGGTCTTCATGTGCTGTCTGCTTCTGGGTGGGGCCACAGGAGTCTAACTGGGGCCATCCAGTTATCAGAGATGCAAAAGCCTGAAAAGACATCTCAAAAGGCCAATCTTAGGTTCCACAATAGTGATGTTATTTACAGGAGTTATTGGGGGAAGTTGTAAATCTTGTGACCTTTGGAATAATGGCAGTAATCATTTAACTACAAATTCAGGCCCCTCTCATCCTTCTAACCTGGTGGCCTTTCATTAGTGTTACAGAGGCAGTTTAGGTTTGTGTGTTTTTTTTGTTTTTTGTTTTTTTGAGATGGAGTTTTGCTCTGGTTGCCCAGGCTGGAGTGCAATGGCACAATCTTGGCTCACTGCAGCCTCCGCCTTCTGGGTTCAAGTGATTCTCCTGCCTCAGCCTCCTGAGTAGCTGGGATTACAGGCATGCGCCACCACACCTGGCTAATTTTGTATTTTTAGTAGAGATGGGGTTTCTCTATGTTGATCAGCTGGTCTCGAACTCCTGAACTCGTGATCCGCCTGCCTCGACCTTCCAAAGTGCTGGGATTACAGGCGTGAGCCACCGCGCCCGGCACTAATTTTTTTTTTTTTTTTTTTTTTGAGACAGAGTCTCATTCTGTCACCCAGGCTGGAGTGCAGTGGCACAATTTTGGCTCTGCCCCCCCAGGTTCAAGCGATTCTCCTACCTCAGCCTCCCGAGTAGCTGGGATTACAGGCGCACGCCACCACACCCAGCTAATTTTTGTATCTTTTTCGTTTTTTTGTTTTTTGTTTTTTTTTTGAGCCAGAGTCTTGCTCTGTTGCCCAGGCTGGAGTGCAGCGGTGCAATCTTGGCTCACTGCAACCTCCGCCTCCCAGATTCAAGAGAGTCTCCTGCCTCAGCCTCCCGAGTAGCTAGGACTACAGGCACACACCACCACACCCAGCTAATTTTTTGTATTTTTAGTAGAGATGGGGTTTCAGTGTGTTGCCCAGGCTGGTGTCGAACACCTGAGCTCAGGTGATCCGCCCACCGTGGCCTCCCAAAGTGGTGGGATGACAGGTGTGAGCCACCATGCCTGGCCCGTTAATTTTTGTATTTTTAGTAGAGATGGGGGTGTTGCTATGTTGGCCAGGCTGGTCTTGAACTCATGACCTCAAGTGATCTGCCCTCCTTGGCCTCCTGAAGTGCTGGGATTACAGGTGTGAGCCACCTCACTCAGCCTCTTCTTAATTTCTTCACTGTCCCCTTGATCTTTCAGGATGGTGTTGTTTAATTTTCATGTATTTGTACAGTTTCCAGAGTTCCTTGTGTTACTTACTTCTAGTGCTTTTTGTTTTTTTAATTTAGAAAGAACAGAAATTTGTTTCTCACAGTTCTGGAGGCTGCAACATACTGCTTTTTATTCCATTGTGGTCTAATAAGATACTTGATAGGATTTTGATTCTTAAATATTTGTTGAGATTTATTTTGTGGCCTAACATATGGGCTATCCTGGAGAATGTTCCATGTGCTGATGAGAATATGTATTCTGCAGCTGTTGAATGAAATAGTCTGTAAATGTCTCTTAGATTCATTGGTCTATAGCGTATTTTAAGTCTCATGCCTCTATGTTGATTTTCTAGACCATAATCTGTCCAATGCTGAAAGTAGGTGCTGAAGTCCCCAACTTATTGTACTGGGGTCTATCTCTCTCTTTATCTCTAGTAATATTTATTTTATATATCTGGGTGCTCCAGTGTTGAGTGCATATATATTTACAATTGTTATATCCTCTAGCTGAATTGATCCCTTTATCATTATATAATGACCTTTTCTCTTTTTGTTTTTTGACTGACTTAAAGTCTATTTTGTCTGATATAAGTATAGCTAGTCCTGCATGCTTTTAGTTTACATTTGAGTGGAATATCTTTTTTCATCCCATCACTTAGTCTGTATGCATCTTTTTAGTGAGTTCCTTATAGGCAGCATATAGCTGGATCTTGTTTTTGTTAAATTCATTTTACAAAATTTATTTTAGAGACAAGGTCTTGTTTTGTCACACAGGTTGTAGTGCAGTGGCAATCATAACTCAGCTGCAGCCTTCAACTCCTGAACTCAAACAACCCTCATGTCTTAGCCTCCCGAGTAGCTGGGACTACAGGCACATGCCACGAGGCCCAGCTTTTTTTTTTTTTTTTTAGAGCTAGTGGTCTTGCTCTGTTGCCCAGGCTGGTATTGAACTCAAGCGACATCCTCCTGCCTCAGCTTCCCAAAGCATGGGGATTACAGTTGTGAGTCACCATGCCTCGCCTGGATCTTGTTTTTCTAACCCACTCAGCAAGGGTATTATGTGTGTGTATATATATATTTTTTTAATTGTATTTTTTTGGAGATAGAGTCTCACTCTGTCACCCAAGCTGGAGTGCAGTGGCATGATCTTGGCTCACTGCAACCTCCACCTCCCGGGTTCAAGTGATTCTCCTGCCTCAGCCTCCTGAGTAGCTGAGATTACAGGCATGTGGCACCATGCCCGGCTAAACAAGGCTATATATTTTAATTGGGAAGTTTGAACTCTTTACATTCAAGGTTGTTATTGATGAGTGAGGACTTATTCCTGTCATTTTGTTAATTGGTTTCTGATGTTTTATATGTCCTTTGTTACTTTCTTCCTCTTGAAAAATTTTTTTCCTTTCCTTTTTTTAATAAGAGACAGGGTCTCACTATGTTGCCTTGGCTGGTCTCAAACTCTTGACCTTAGGCAGTTCTCCCACCTCAGCCTTCCAAAGGGCTGGGATTACAGGGATGAGCCACCATGCCTGATCCCTTTCTTATCTTTTGCGATTTGGTGGTTTTCTGTGATGATAATGCTTGATTTGTTTCTCATTCGTGTATCTAGTCTATCAGTGACTTTTATACTTTCACATGGTTTCTGTCTATAATTCCCTTTTCCTCCTACCATATCTTGCATACCGTAAGTGCTAATCAATGCTCTGATGCCACTTAACATAACTGGAAAGTGACTGTGATGATTGGCTAGCAGCAAGTCTTTCTCAGAAGACCAGCCTTTTGAGCCATTGTGGGTGGGCTGGGGGACAGCAGGGTTGAAAGACCGGCTATAAGTGGCAGCTCTGCTGTTGCCCTCCAACGTGGAGCCCAGCTGCGCACCTGCCTTCAAGGGGAGCTCTGATGCAGGCAGCTGGATGCCTGCAAGCACACCTGTCTGGGGCAAGGGAGAAGATAAGAAGGACAGGAAGGAAGTAGATGTATTTTTAAGGAAATCATTGACTTCTGATAGGGTGTTTTGCAGATTTTTTATAGCTTTTGTTTTTGTTTTTTTTTAGAAAGTTTCTCTGTCATCAGGCAAAGACCAGGGTGGGAACAGGAAAACTAGAAAACTGGTCAAGGGAGAACAAGTCCCTTTTCCTCTCACCAGTGAACAGCAGGTGAGGAAACAGACTCTGGGAGGAACGCTGTTCAGGATGGCTTGCTGCCTGCATGGCATGAGGCTGCTGTCTTGTGGGTGCTGGCAGCCACAATCTCCATTTTTCTGAAGACCACCATTTATGGCTAGATCCAGTAGAGGTCCAGAACTTTCCCAACACTGCTGGAGAGGAAGTGTTTCACAGTCAGAGGAGAGAGCCATGGGGAATGGAAGCAGGGGAAGAAGGGGTGGGGAGGGGAGGAGAGATGAGTGGCTCTATGCTAATCTTAGGGTTCCTTCTCTGCCCTTTTGGGTACCAGAGACAGACCCTAGGAAAGGAATTCTGCAGACAGTCTTGGAAGCACCTTCTCTGGCACTTAAGGCTTTTTCCCGAATTTCAGAGACAGAAACATACCCATCCTTGAGCAACTGCAGTGAGGCAGTGTGGAATTCTAGGGTGTTGATAGCTGTGAGCTACCAGGCCTGTTGGACATTTGCATTCTGGCATTTTAATTCCTTGTCCTAAGATTTTGACTCTTTGCCATGTTCTTGGAACTCCTGGATCTTTCTGGAGTCTGATAGCGGATCAAAATCTCAGCTCCATTCAGCAAACACAGACGCTTCTGGGGGAGAGCTAATGGTCATTTTTTCATCATGGATCAATTGTTCAAGATCAAGCACCTTTCTGATCACTCTTGTCCACAGAGAAAAAAACACATTACTCCACAGTTGGCTTCTCAGATTTGATGTCTAGTTGTCAACCTGAGACCTTCCTTGGAAGCATGGCTTCTGCACAAGTGGGTTACATTGACTGTACCACAGTGGCTCTTAAAACAAGGTTTTTGACCTAAGGAGCCTGTTCTCCAGGCTGACCTGAACCCCTCAAAGACATGGCAAGCAGGTGACATTTCTGCCCAGGGGATTTGCTGAGAGATCTGGAAGGTACAAAGCCACCTTAGGCTTCAATGGGTGAGTGAATTTTTACCACAAACCCCAAAGGGCTGATTTGACTTTCTCTATTATGTATATCCAACAGAGAGAGCAGGCTTGGGGAAATTTTGTCTGGACTCAGAAAATTCATCAGTTTCTTGGGAATCATCAGCTACTACACTTGAAAGACCAGAGTATGGTTATTCCCCAACACCAAGTTGGGCCTTAATTTTCCCATCTGACCTGTCTCTAACATGTGAATCAGTCCCACCTTCCCTGACCACATGAGTGAAGTGTTTCTGTGATGCTTGGCTGTAGATGCAGTGTGACAACTGCCTGAAGCACATGATCTCAGGCACCAGATGGCACTGCTGCTCAGTAGAGCCATATGCTAACAGCCTTCCTAGAGGACACTGGTAACAGCATTCTCCCCAACTATTAAGCTTTATTGTTTTGTTTAAGCAAAGACCAAAGAAGCAACGAAGATACAAGAATTAAAACAGCAATCCTTGCTGGGCACGGGGGCTCACGCCTGTAATCCCAGCACTTTGGGAGGCCAATGTGGGCGGGTCACTTGAGGCCAGGAGTTCAAGAACAGCCTGGCCAACATGGTGAAACACCGTCTCCACTAAAAATACAAAAATTAGCCCAGCATGGTGGCACATGCCTGTAATTCCGGCTACTTGGGAGGCTGAGGCAGGAGAATTGCTTGAACCTGGGAGGCAGAGGTTGCAGTGAGCCAAGATCGCACCACTGCACTCCAGCCTGGGAGACAGAGCAAGGCTCTGTGTTAAAAAAAAAAAAAAAAAAAAAAAAAAAAGGCAATCCTCAACATGGTGAGATGCAGCCACACCCAAAGAACCCCAAAAGGGGCCTTATGGTAGCAGGAGGATCCTAAATGTGGACCCTCACAAAGGGAATGCAGCCCAAGTTAAAAGTGCTTCTTCCTTTGTTAAGGAAGTGATTATGTGAATAACCTCAGTATTCTCAGTGGGAAAATATCTGGCAATAAATTTGTAGCCACAACTTGGAAGTTTCTGGAAGAAATCAACCTCCCACAGCCACCTTTGGCTGACTGCTTATGTTAGGTCTGTAGACTTCCTTTCAATCAGCCGGCAAAAGCCCCATCTGGCCACTTGGTCACAGTTTTACTGCTTCTTCACCTTTTGTTCCTATTCACCTACACATCACTTCCTGGAAGTGGACCAGCTTTATAACCAACCTAGAAAGATCAGGTTGAATTTGGCTTTAGAGATCTGAAGCTCCTCAATTTTCTTCCCTCTGTGGAAGTTTTATTAGAATAATCTCTTCCCTTTGTTGTCCTCTTCCTAACTAACCTAATCTCAAGGCTCAAAGCTTTAAAGGCAAATCTTAAAATGTGCTGCATCAGAAAGCCAAGGCAGAAAGCCGATCACCTAACAGGCTATTGTAATTTAAGGCTTCAAATAACTGTTAATAGTGTGTATCTTCTGTTTTGCCTAAAAGAAAGAGGCTGAAATGTCAATTATCATTTAGAGTTGTGAGTGAATTGCATTTTTATTTACGTTTAAGAGTCTCTCTCCCTCCTTGTGTTCTAGTCTGTGAATGGCTCACACTTGGACTTAGTGTAGGCTCCTATGGGAGGAGCGGGCGGTAGTGAGAATCTTCATCAAATGGAGTAACATGACCCAAATCTCTAGAGGTTTCATAATTTTGCTCTTGCTTCTAAAAACATAATCATCTCTTATGGGGTGTTATGTGCTTTGTATCCTGAAATTTTCCACTTGCTGCTTCTTGGTGTGAGGCGAGAAATGCCACCACGTGGCACTGCAGGAGGAGACTGGTGGAAGCCACAGGGCTAGGCCTTCACTTCCCAGTGACACTGTTCCCAATTCCCTCCAGGATAAGCTGAGACTCCTCAGGATGTGGTTCTGCAGCAGATGAGGTGCGAACAAAGCCTGCTCTGCCCTGGGCACCCAGGATGGCACTGAGTTCTAAAAGGCAAAGGGTATGTGGTGAGGGGCCAGGCTGAGGCCCTGGTGTGGTACCATCATGGGCAGCAGCACCATTTGAGGCCGGGTAGGAGAGACGTGCAGGGCCTGGCCCCCCAAGAGACCAGCAGACAAACTGAGGCGGCAGAGAGAGAGATTCCAGTGTCACCAGGAAGACTGCAGATCATAACAACAATGGTTGCTGATTTGGCATCAAAGAGGTGGCACTGTCAAAGCCGTAATTGCTGAAAATGGCACCAACATGCTGCAGCTGGAGAGAGTGGGTGACCAACATTTGTTTGAAGAACAGATGATGCTCTTTGAATGGCTCAGCCAACAGCCCAAAGTTTTAAGGGAAGACCTCTCTGCCAGCTTCTCTTGGACAGTGTCTCATGTAAAACCTCCAAGGCACTTACATAGCATATTTTTGTGTCCACTCTCTTGCTAGTCTGTTGTACCTGGAATAAAAAAGCAGAGGAAGTGACACCCTCACTTGAAATGGTCACTTCCCTTCAATGTGCTGCAGAGAACAGGACTGATGTGGGGAATGCTGCTGCTGCTGCTTGTCAAACATCTACGGCTGATGGGTGAGTGGAATAAAGGCTTTCCCTGGAGCAGGAGCACATCAGACATGGCTGTAAACCCCCAGCTGGGTGAACCCCTCATGTGTAAACCCCAAACTGTTGATTCTCCATAACTATCTGCTGTGGAAGATTTAATAATGCAACAGACTTCCTCCCTTTCTTTCTCCTGTCCTACAATATGGATGCAGGGAGGACAGAGAAGAGACACACAAAGGTCAGTTTGTACTAGTTACAGGCCGTCCAGCACACAAACTCCAGAACAAGGGCTTGGGAATCTGCCTACCGGGGTGTGCATCAGTACAGTCCTCAGCAGCTGTTCCGCCCCTCTGTGTCCTGGCTTTTTTGATTGCTTGCCATGGGGAAAGTATCTGCCTTGTGTGCTTGTGGGGAAACTAGAGAAGTCTGTATGTAAAGCACATGGAGCAGGCCAGGCATCCATTGAAGACTATGCAGGTGTGTGCACTTACTCTCATCATTGTAATGACACTTGATGCTATGAGACTATAAATTAGAGAGATTTATAGTTACAAGAGGCACTGAAAAAAAATCACTTTTGGTATGTCTAAAATATCTTGTAAAAAGTGTTAAAATAAACAAACCCAGTCAATTAAAAATTTTGACTGTTATTGAGAAAACTCCAATGAGGGAAATAATAAGATCTATAAAGGTCTTAAGAAAAATATAATTTGAAAAAAACATGTGGCTGAGTGTGGTGGCTCACGCCTATAATCCCAGCACTTTGGGTGGCCTAGGTGGGCAGATTGCTCGAGTCCAGGAGTTTAAGACCAGCCTGGGCAACATGGCAAAACCCTGTCTCTACAAAAAATTAGCCAGGTGTGGTGGGACACGCCTGTAGTCCCAGCTACTCAGGAGGCTGAGGCAGGAGGATAGGTTGAGCCTGGAAGATCGAGGCTGCAGTAAGCTGTGATCACACCACTGCACTTCAGACTGGGCAACAGAATGAGACCTTGTCTCAAAAAAAAAAGGGAAAAACATACTCTATTCTAATCTCTTCAGACAGAAAAGAAGTAATGAGTAATGAACTGAAGAATGCACTCACTGAAGATGTCTTTTAAAAGGGCTAGCAATACCTTCCCTGAAGGTCCACAACTGAGATTCACACCACTCACTGGACTGCGGCCCCTGCCACACCTGGGCCTCTTTCACAGTGCTGTCAGCACTGAGAGACTAACACTTGGCGATGACTCCTTGTGCCTGCCCCACCAACTACAGACACCCTCATGCTACAGTGCATGTGGTTGTGCCTGGCCTAGGGGGTCGGAATTTTACAATTCTGGGTCTGTTAATTGGTGTTTAAACAGAGAGCTGGCAATGAAGGTCTAACACACTGCTGACTTCTGAGCTGAGCCAGCGAACTGACCACAGCAGTGTTTCCCACCTTGACTGCCCTCAGCCTCACCTTCGGTATAGCCAAGCAGACATCCCCTTGTCTTAGGCTATAAACCCTAGAATTTAAATCAGAATTTTTCTTGTTGTCAGATTCTTCTGAGTCTGTTCTTGGCTGACCACTGATTTTGCTGGTCTTGAGGGCAGGGCTTGGCAATGTTTTCATATACAGTAGCAGCAGCTAATGAGTTATCCAGGAGGGGAACTGCTTTTATCTCCTTTTCCCTCCTTAGACTCAAAGGACATGTTAGTGAGAGAGCCAGGAGTCCAAGCCCAGGGCACACCCTCTGTGCACATGGCTCAGCATGGGCAGGAAGATGTCTGTGGGAACCTGCAGCCTAGAAGCACCAGCTCAGAGCACAGGTACTGCATGGAGCTGCCTGGGGCAGCCATGGTGCAAAGGCAACCCAAAGAGGACACGTACTTCTCTCTGTCGGCCTTGTAGGTGTGTGCTATCTCTGGCACCAGGGGGTCATCGGGGTTGGGGTCGCAGAGCAGCGAGCAGATGGACAAGAGAACTGGGAAGAAAAGAAAAGGTTGGTCAGCTGTAGCCACGAAGCTGCTGGGTCACCCCTGGGTAAACTTCCCTGAACTTGCACTCTGTATTTTGACCAAGCAGTTGTCTTCCCTTCAACAGCCCAATCTAAATTGCTTGATGCACCACTTGCCCCGTCCCATGTATCAGCCGAGGTGGTCCTCACTGTGTGGCCTGAGGCATGCTGTGCTAGGATACTTCCCTCCTGGGTGCATCCTGGTTCTCATTCCCCTTCTCCACTGAAGCACCCCATCTTAGTCTCCAACTGCCCTCCCATCCTTGTCTGTACCCTACATCATGAACCTCTGGCATTTAGTCCTAGGAGTCCTGTTTACTGTTAAGGAAACAAGAATTCAGAGCATTCAAGTAACTTGTCCAAGGTCACAGACTTGGAACACCCAATAAATGGATTAAAATGAGATTCTGGACCAGGTGCGGTGGCTCTTGCCTGTAATCCCAGCACTTTGGGAGGCCGAGGCAGGCAGATCACCTGAGGTCGGGAGTTCAAGACCAGCCTGACCAACATGGAGAAACCCTGTCTCTACTAAAAAAATACAAAATTAGCCAGGCATAGTGGTGCATGCTTGTAATCCCAGCTACTCAGGAGGCTGAGGCAGGAGAATCTCTTGAACCTGGGAGGTGGAGGTTGCAGTGAGCCGAGATCGCGCCATTGCACTCCACCCTGGGCAACAAGAGCAAAACTCGATCTCAAAAAAAAAATAAAGAAATTCTGAACCAGGTCCTTCTAACTGCAAAGCAGATGCATCCTCCTCTGTGCCAGCACCGTCTCTAAGATGTGCACTCAATGTGGCTCTCAGCAACCCTAGGGGAAGGGAATCACCCACTAGGGCTGTGGTGAGGAGCAGAAGGAATTGTGGTGCCTGGATTCTTGGGGTCCCAGAGAGAAATGCACACTTTCATTCCTGGCTTTGCTTTCGACTCACCATATGATTCCAAACAAACTGGATTCAGTGAGTCCATCAAAGTTCTGACCACAGGTCCCCACACATAAAGCTACAAATGACAGGGGCAGGTTTGCCTTTCTTAAGATACTTGGCTGGGCACAGTGGCTCACGCCTATAATCCCAGTGCTTTGGGAGGCCACAATGGGAGGACTGCTTGAGGCCAGGAGTTTGAGAATGGCCTGGGCAACAAAGTGAGACCCTGTCTCCTCTACAGAAAAATTTAAAATTTAGGCCAGGCTCTGTTTCTCTTGGGTTGATTTTTCACCATCCTCCCACGCTCCACCTGCCAGGATACTGCACCATCTACATTCAGGTCTCTCGTGCATACATAGCCCATGCACAGCCCATCTTAATTCAGAAGGAATATCTGCATTTCTAAGCTCAGTTTAGACTGGTTTCTTCAACTTCAACCAAAGACATGTGCTCAACATCATTTATTTTGGGAAGGGAGGATTTCTCCACCAACTTCGAGGCCCCCGGAGGCATGCCCTGTATCTTCCTTCAGGGCTGACTCACAGTCCGTTTTGTGCTTATTAGATGAATAAATGAGGGAACAGAGAAGGTAATGTAATATTTGCCTTTCTTATTTTTGGATAAAAAAATATAAGTAGAATCAGTATTTTCTTCTTGCACCCATGTGACAGTCTTGAGCACACCAGGGCAATTGACTGCTGAGAAGCGCCAGGGAGCGGGGCACAAAGTTCTGCTGGTGCTGCCTCGTAGGCGTGTAAGGATATCCACTTAAGGGCACAGCAGTGGACAGGGCTATGTGACCTGGGAAAGGTGACTTCTTTCTCTGAGCTTCCATTTCCACTCAGTCAGTGCTGGGGTAAAAACATGTGTAAAAGAGCACACAGAGCATGCCATCAGCATCTCTACCTTTTGACACAGTCAACGCTGGAGACCACTGAGACCGCAGGATATCAAGGCAGATGCTGCCATTGCTGTTGATATTAGGGTGATAAATTTTGGTTGTGAAAGCAACCTGCAAAGACAAGAGATCCCCAATCAGACAAACCACAGGGACGTGTGGGAAATGAACCAAGTAAAGCAGAAGCAGCTGCTGCTGGGCAGTACCTGGAGTGTGCTGCATACCTGGCCCCACAGTGCAGGCTAAGCCAGACCCCCACTCCCAAACTCTAATGGGATATGGGAGTGAGTGATCACCCAGAAGTTCCCTGACCCATTCCCTGCTGGATTCTCATTCTGAACATAGGGGGATTGATACCATCTCCCTGAAAGCAGTATGCTCTGAGGAATAACAAGGGTGGTGGAAAGGACTCAAAAGCCCAGGAAGTTTTATGCAAAAAGCAGTGATGTTTTGTTGATGTATCAGCAGAAAAGCTCAGGCCCAAAGACTTCATGACTAAAACACCAAAAGCAATGGCAACGAAAGCCAAAATAGACAAATGGGATCTAACTAAACTAAAGAGCTTCTGCACAGCAAAAGAAACTATCATCAGAGTGAACAGGCAACCGACAGAATGGGAGAAAAATTTTGCAATCTACCCATCTGACAAAGGGCTAATATCCAGAATCTACAAAGAACTTAAACATATTTGTAAGAAAAAATCAAACAACCCTATCAAAAAGTGGGCAAAGGATATGAACAGACACTTCTCAAAAGAAGACATTTATGCAGCCAACAGACACATAAAAAATGCTCATCATCACTGGTCATCAGAGAAATGCAAATCAAAACCACAATGAGATACTATCTCACAGCAGTTAGAATGGCGATCATTAAAAATCAGGAAACAACAGATGCTGGAGAGGATGTGGAGAAATAGGAATGCTTTTACACTGGTGGTGGGAGTGTAAATTAGTTCAACCATTGTGGAAGACAGTGTGGTGATTCCTCAAGGTATTCCTCTAGTACTAGAAATGCCATTTGATTCAGTAGTGATCCCATTACTGGGTACATACCCAAAGGATTATAAATCATGCTACTATAAAGACACATGCACATGTATGTTTATTGCGGCACTATTCACAATAGCAAAGACTTGGAACCAACCCAAATGTCCATCAATGATACATTGGATTAAGAAAATGTGGCATATATACACCATGGAATACTATGCAGCCATAAAAAAGGATAAGTTCACATCCTTTGCAGAGACATGGATGAAACTGGAAACCATCATTCTCAGCAAACTATCACAAGGACAGAAAACCAAACACTGGGCCAGGCATGGTGGCTCACACCTGTAATCCCAGCACTTTGGGAGGCTGAGACAGGCGGATCACCTGAGGTCAGCAGTTCGAGACCAGCCTCAACATGGAGAAACCCCATCTCTATTAAAAATACAAAATTAGCCGGGCATGGTGGTGCAGGCCTGTAATCCCAGCTACTCGGGAGGCTGAGGCAGGAGAATTGCTTGAACCTGGGAGGTGGATGTTGCGGTGAGCCGAGATCACGCCATTGCACTCCATCCTGGGCAACAAGAGCGAAACTCTGTCTCAAAAAAAAAAAAAGAAAACCAAACACTGCATGTTCTCACTCATAGATGGGAATTGAACAATGAGAACACAGGGACACAGGGCGGGGAACATCACATACCAGGGCCTGTCGGGGGGTGGGGGCTGAGGCAGGGATAGCATTAGGAGAAATACGTAATGTAAATGATGAGTTGATGGGTGCAGCAAACCAACATGGCACATGTATACCTATGTAACAAACCTGCACGTTGTGCACATGTACCCTAGAACTTAAAGTATAATAATAAAAAAAAAAGAAAAAGAGAAGCTCAGGCCGTGGACCCTCTGCCAGGCCACAAACCCTCCCCACCTTTCTACTTCACCCTTTCTAAGACCCCCCCTTCTCAGAATTTAGCCCTAAAATACCCTTGTGCACTTCAAATATGTAAGGATAACCACTGTAACAAAAGATGTAAAACCTAAATGTCTTCAGATTGATTACTGGTTAAATTAATGTTATATATAAGCAACAGAATATTACACCTGTTTAAAAAGAATGAGGTGAATTTTTAAAACATGAATGTGATCATATGGAACAATTTCCAAGATATATTGCTATGGGAAAAGCAAGATGCAGATTCACGGAAAGGTCTGTTCCATTCATGGGAAAAACAAGGAAGCACAAACAAGTGCTTATCCAGGTTGAGATTACTCTTGGAAGAGAAATGAAAAGACAAGTAGGACTCAATGCCTTATGGAAAAAAAAGGCGGGGGGGCCAGGCGTGGCTAGAGAGACAAAGTTTAAAGAAGGTCCTATTTTCTACTGTATACTGTCCTACATTTGACTTTTTTTTTCTTTTTTAAACCACAGCCACACATTACTTCTTCAAATGACCTTGGACCTCAGAGCCTTCACTATAAGTAGGTACATGGTACCTCTCCCAGGGATGTTGTGGGACCCATGAAGAGTCCGCTGTCTGTGATGTGCAAGGTGCTCTGAGTCAGGTGCAGCTTGTACTGCTATAGGAGCCTAAGAATCTGCCTCACCTACACTCCCTCTGGGTGAGCAGTGACCCCAACGCAGGGGCTGGGGCAAAGGAACATAGGATTTTGCCGGCCGGGCACAGTGGTCACACCTGTAATCCCAGCACTTTGGGAGGTTGAGGTGGGTGGATCACAAGGTCAGGAGTTCGAGACCAGCCTGGCCAATATGGTGAAACCTCGTCTCTACTAAAAATACAAAAAAATTAGCCGGGCATGTGGCACATGCCTGTAATCCCAGCTACTTGGGAGGCTGAGGCAGGAGAATTGCTTGAATCCAGGAGGCAGAGGTTGCAGTGAGCCGAGATCACGCCACTGCACTCCAGCCTGGGTGACAGAGCGAGATTCCGTCTCAAAAAAAAAAAAAAAAAAAAAAAAGGGATTTTGCCTCCTCCGCTAGCTTTGAGAACTCACTGGTACTTCTTAGTCTAGATGGAGGATGCACAAACATCCTTTATATCATTATCTACAATTTTTTGCATGTTTGATATAGTTTTTAATAGTTTTTTTTAAACTTACTTTCGAATATGAGAAGAGAGTTGTGTGCATGTGAGCTTGAACATCTGTAATTTTTCCCAGGAAGGGTCAAACTTCAAAATCATCGCAGACATTAAGTATCTGCCTCAATATCTCCAATAAAGATCATGCAATCTTGCCAGATTCCTCCTATTGTCAGAAAATTTGTGCCAAAACATAAATCGTTGCTCCTGTTCCCCTGTGGAAGGAGATTTTTAAAAGACAGAAGCACTTTCTTCTCTCATAGAGTGTCACTGTCACCTTTCAGCTCACATCTCTCCTTGTTAAAATAATCCCAACTCACCCACAGAGCTTACTTCTTAGTTTTTTAATAATAACCACTGTTGGCTGGGCACGGTGGCTCACGCCTGTAATCCCAGCACTTTGAGAGGCCGTGGTGGGCGGATCACCTGAGGTCAGGAGTTTGAGACCAGCCTGCCCAACATGGCAAAACCCCATCTTTACTAAAAATACAAAAAATTAGCCGGCGTGGTGGCGGGTGCCTGTAATCTCAGCTACTTAGGAGGCTGAGGCAGAAGAATCGCTTGAACCCGAGAGGCGGAGGTTGCAGTGAGCTGAGATTGTGCCACTGCACTCCATCCTGGGAGACAAGAGTGAAACCGTGTCTCAAAAATAATAATAATAATTAAAAAATAATAATAATAATCACTGTTTCTCCTTTGTCCTTAGGCAATTAGGTATGCTGAAAATGCCCAACAGACATTCAGGACTACATTGGTATCTGTTTAAGGAAAATCCTCAGCTGCTCACACAGTAATGAAAGAGACAAGCTAGAAAATTACTACTTGATAAGACTCTGCCACAGTCTCTCCAGAGGGGAAGGGAGAAGGGGTGGATCACAGCACCATGAAGCATGCTTATGATTTTTCAACCAAACTCCCTTGAACAGCAGTTGTACTCCAATGTGGTGAAGCTATTTTAGCATCTGTCATTGTCCTGCTCAGCACACTCCACTCCCTTGCTAAAAGCTTAAAAGGTCTCTGGGATCCTAAGCATATTTAACAAAGATTTAAAATGCTCAGGCACCAGGTAGCCTCTGGTGGCGATGTCTGGACAGAGCTGCAGCTGGTGAGCACAGAAGGGGCTTCTTCACATTGACTCAGATAAACAACATGCAAAACAGCAGCTAAGCCTCTGACTCAAATTGAGGCATCAAGGCCAAGTCAAGGTAGTAAGACATAGCAATATCACAACCCCTCAGCTAAGGGGTCTGATGCAGATGCAGGACTTTCGAGTAAGTCTTGACAAAATGCACAACCTGGCCAAGCGTGGTGGCTCACACTTGGAATCCCAGCACTTTGGGAGGCGGAGGTGGGTGGATCACCTAAGGCCAGGAGTTCGAGACCAGCTTGGCCAACATTGTGAAACCCTGTCTCTACTAAAAATAACACAAAAATTAGCCACATGTGGTGGCGAGTGCCTGTAGTCCCAGCTACTCAGGAGGCTGAAGCAGGAGAATCACTTGAACCCCAGCCTTTTCTCCACAAGGCAGCAGAGTGATTGTGTCGGTGTGGCGATCCCCACAACGGCGTGCAGACCCTACTCCTGGGGCCATCCGTACCCCTCTGGCCTCCTTCCCAACTCCTCACAGGCTCACTCCCCTGGGGCAGTTTCCTGGGGACCTGTCCGCCCTCTTGCTGAGCTCCTGCAGTTCCCCTTTCTCAGGGCAATCTCTCCACCACCCTGGCTCCTGCTGCCAACCACTGCTTGTGCTCCTTCCCAGTGCTGAGTAGCTCACATGCTAAATGCCCTGTCTCCTCCACAGGACTATGAGCCTCAGGGCAGGCTCGGCCACCCATGCAGAGCCCAGGTGAGAAGGAGTACGAGGTCCAAGGGTCCAGGGAGTGAGACGACCTGCGGTGCACAAGACATGCTAGGGCAGGGTGGTCGAGGCAGCTCCCTGGGCTTCTCCTTCCCTTTGGTGGCACTGCTCTCTAAAGCTCCACTGATGGGATGGTGTGTGCATGAAGGGCAAAGGAGGCTTGCTATTCTTTTAACTTAATAAAGAAAAGTGAAGGTGTGACTCACCAGTCCTAAACCAGGGTGTGTCCACCTTGGCACTATTGACACTTGGGGCTGATCATTATCTGTCATGGGAAGGGTGGCTCTCCTGTGCACTGCAGGGAATCCCTGGAATACCCTGGCCTTTGCCGACTAGATACCAGTAGTACTCCCTCACCACGGTTTTGATAACCCAAAATATCCTAAGATGTTGCTCAAATGTCCCTGGGGCAGTAGCAAAATCACCCCGGCTGAGAACCCCTGTCCTAACTCTAAGGGACTGCAGAGAAGGGAGCCAGAGCCTGGAGACATGACCAGACTCAGCTACAGTCACAAGGAGAAGCATTCAAACTGTGGCCTCAGTAAGGCCAGCACCAGCTCACCCCACTGACCCTTGATCACAACAGGTGCTAATTCCCAAAGTCCAGTAATTAAAGTCCTGGGAAACTCTCACCACAGGGTGGAGCAGTGGGCCCTCAGAGAAACCCCACGTACAGCTCTTTTTACCTATACCTGACTTGAAGGGCCCCTTGTCACATGCTGTCCTTCATCCAAACATCAGGGGAGTTGGGAGAGGGACCTCACCTTTGGGGGCTTGAACGGGTAATCTGTAGGAAAGTGGATGGTCAGGAAGAAAACACCTCCTTGGTAAGGACTGTCATTCTGGAAGGATGAGACACAGAAAGAGATCAGTGCATGTGCTAAGCCCAAAGTGCAAGAAGCAAAACTGGAGTGGTGCGCTCAGCAGCTACTACCTACCGGGCCCATGATGGTGGCCTGCCAGTGGAACACTACAAAACAAAAGAGAGACGGGCATGTAAGAGACCCCCCAAGAAACATGTCATTCTACTGAAAACGCACTGCTAAATTACAGCGCACTGTCTACACAAGATGCACTCACTTCTGACACCAACTGCAAGACTGGGGTTCCCCAAACCACCCAAGATGCAATAACTGCCTAGGACTCCCAGAGCTCACTGAAAGTGGTTGTGCTTAAGATTGCTGGTTATCACAGGGAAACAACATAGGTTAACATCAGGAGGGTCCAAACGCAGAGTTTCTATTCTTCTCTCTCCGTGGAGTCAGGATGTGTTACTCTCCTGGCATTGCTGTATGGCAACACACACAGAACACCCAATCAGGAATGCTCACTGGAGCCTCCGTATTCAGAATTCTCATTGGAGCTCCACCCTGAGAGCATGACTGACTTATTTGAATGCCCATAGGACTGATCTCAGGCTCCAGTCTCCAGCTCCTCCAGGCATGATCCAAGCCCCCACCTTATTTTATTTTTTAGTTTTTTGAGATGGTCTCACTCTGCCACCCAGGCTGGTGGGCAGTGGCATGATTATAGCTCACTGCAGTCTCAAACTCCTGGGCTCAAGCTATCCTTCTGCCTCAACCTCCTGAGGAGCTGGGACAACAGGTGTGTGCCACCACATCTGGCTAATTTTTTTACTTTTATTTTTTCATTTTTGTAGAGATGGGGTCTTGCTATGTTGCCCGGGCTAGGCTCTCACCTGAAATCACATGGCTGGTCTACTTGGTATGGCCATTCCTCACCCTAAATCACATTGTTGGTGTGCATTAAAGCTTCCAGCCAAACAAAGACATTCCTATCAGGTATGGTATCTTACAGATCGCCCCCTACGTGTTAAGGATGAAGGCCAGATCTTTTGGGGACAAGATTAAATTCTTTTTGTTGTTATTGTTTTGTAGAGATGGGGTTTTACCATGTTGCCCAGGCTGGGCTCAAGAAATCTGCTAGCCTCAGCCTCCCAAAGTGCTGGGATTACAGGCGTGAGACACTGTGCTTAGCCAAGATTAAATTCTTTACTACACAAATGCCAGTAACTACAATTCAGTCAGTTCTTTGCACAGAATTAAGCCTTGGCTAGGCTTCAGCCATTTTCCTTATTGCTCTTTATAAACCCTTCTATTCCTTGGTTCTTCTCCTGATTCATTGTGAAGCCCTCTTCAAAGAGTGTCTCTCAGGAGCCAACTGCCCGTGGCCCTGGAGCCTCAAGGGTGCTGCCTTCATCTGAGTCCTCTCCTGCCCAACCCCTGGGCAGTGCCCTGTGCTCTAGGCACTCAGTAACAAGGTCACGATGAGCCCCTCTCATGCTTCCCTTCCAGGTCACCACCATTTGGTGAGAGTTTAGAGCCCCCTCTTGCTGCACATCACACCCTCTCCAGCATCTCAGGTGACTTTCACTGCTCTACCCATTCCCAGAAAAGCTCCTGTGTATCAGCAAGGCTAGCCCAGTATGGCCCAAACACTCACATTCAAGGCTCCCAAGTCATACAAATGGTCCCAGGGATATTGACTCTAGGGCCTTGGTGGAAAATGCCTACTCACCCACAGGAGTGGGTTGCTGGGATCATCTGAAGGGCCTGTTATTACCAAGAGAATTCTGTCTCATATGGATTCATAGTAGATATGGAATTAGCCCAGAGTTTCAGACCTGGTCCTGTCCTGGGTTTCCTGTCACCTGTTTAAGTACCCCACAGGCTCTACACAACAGGAGGCCTAGGAAAGCACCAAGGTTTGGGGTGGGAGCACAAGTGCAGGGACTAAAGCAGAAGTTTCCCAAGCCCCTAGAGGTGTTCAAAAGTAGTCAAGGTGGCCCATGAGCCCTTTTCAATATTTCAAAGAAATGGTGCTGAAAAGAACACCTTTACCTGTAATAAGCCTGCCTGAGTTAATAAAAATATCACTTTTTTTTGCTTTTGACTGTTTTTATTCCAATTCATGCTAATCGTTAGTTGAAAGTAGACATATTTTGCCTAACATTAATGTGAATGGAATTCTTTATTAAATAAAAGTGTTTTGATAATATATTTCAGAACGGAAGGTTAGAATCCTCTGGTCTTGTTCACTTTAACCCTGAGGGCTGCTGGGACACTAAGCAGTGCTTGAGAGCAGAGTCAGAAGAGAAGGCCCCAAAAGCAAGAGGACGAGAAAGGATATACAGGAGGGATGCTGGAAATGGCTGTGAGCCCATGAGGCGGGTGTGAAATGGCCCCAAAGGCTAGCTTCCAGTGCTGTCTGAACCTCATCCACTGAGGTCTGACTGTGGTGGCTAGCCTTGATGCTAGCCTCTCTTAGCACTGGGCTCTGGTGCAAGGTAAATTTGAGCTGAGCTGAGCATCAAGGAGCTGCCTCTAGACAGGTAAGGCTAAACAAGAACTAGTTCAAGCTTACAGCGACCCCAGTTTAATCTGATATTATCTTAAGTGACAGGTAAGAGGGGAAGCATGCTATGGAGACCTGGGGTGCTTGTGAGGACGACATGAGGTAAACACTGATTAGTGGGGAGCAGAGTGATGAGCAGGTACCAGGAGACAGTGGAGCAGAGTCATTCTTGTTTCTTACACTCTGCATAGGCAGCTGGGAAACATTTCTGCTCTGCTCCAGAAATGAGATTTAAACTCCCACATAAAGCCTTTAGAGTCCTCCATTTTCAGTGGCTCCATCTGCCTACCGCTGGCTCCTCTAAGCTCAGTCCCCTCCCAGGACATGCAGGCACACATATGATGCCATGCCCTCCTTTTTTCCAGCTTTGTGAAATTTCTTTTTATTGTAGTTAAAAATATATAATAAAATATGCAATTTAAACAACTTTAAAGTGTACAATTCTGTGGCATGAAATGCCTTCACAATGCTGTAGAACCATACCCCCATCCATTTCTAAAGCTTTCCATCACCCCCAACAAATTCTGTATCCATGAAACAATATTTCTCCTATTTCCACCCCCCATCAGCCTCAGGTAATCTCTCATCTACCGTCTGTCTCTATGAATTTGCCTAGTCTAGATATTTCATGTAAGTGGAATCATATATTCATTCTTTTCTTTCCGGCTTATTTCACTTGGGATGTTTTCATGTTGTAATGTGTATCAGAACCATATTTTGTTTATCTGTCATCCACTGATGGGCACTTGGGTTGTTACCAGCTTCTGAAAATCATGAGTAATGGTGCCGTGAACATTGGCATACACATTCTGTCTCACTCTGTTTTTGATTCTTTGGTATATGTACCTCTGACACCACTCTCCTTGAACACATAGTATCTCCCCTCCCCACCTATTTTCCTATGGCTGCAGTTACTGAAGCCTCACAGGGAAGGATTGGTGTCCCAGAGCCCAAGAAGCCCACAAAGTGGAGGCAAGGTGAGTGGGCAGAGGACAGACCTGGAAACCCTAGTGCTGGGCAGCTCAGCCTCGGCCAGCACCTGTGAGGGACAGCAGAGGCCTGGAACAGGCAGTGCTGCTTCTCCCTCTCTCTCCCAAGAAGCTGCCCAGAGCTGCTGCTTCAGTCTCCGCCAGGGAAGAGTGGAAGTGGGAGAAAATAATAGGGACTGCCCTTCCCCTTGGCAGAGGCAAGTGGCCACTGCCCTACCCTGCCCTGCCCCTCCTCCACTGTCCTGCTCTGCTCCCAGGAGCTGCAGCAGCACCAGGTCCTCTAGACCAACTCCAACAATATTTACACCAGCACCCAAGTTTGACTTGGCCAAGGGCACTTTCCAGCAGCTGATGTGACTCCTCAGGCCAAGCTGGCTTTCTCATGCGCCAGAAGAGGGAAGCGGTGACTATGGGACATGAGAGGCAGTGCAGGTTCTACTTTGAGTATAAGCTGACCAGCCAAGCTGCTGTGAACTCATGGCCTAGACCTCAAATGAAAAGCCATTCAAGAGAAAATGAAGGGAAAAGCATTGATTGGTTTTCTTAAATACTGCTTGGCTGATAATTTGGTTGTTTGGTTTTGTTTGTGTTTGTTTGTTTTTCAGACAGAGTCTGTTGCCCAGGCTGGAGTGCAGTGGCACGATCTTGGCTCACTGCAACCTCTGCCTCCTGGGTTCAAGCGATTCTCCTGCCTCAGCCTCCCAAGTAGCTGGGATTACAGGCATGTGCCAGCATGCCCGGCTAATTTTTGTACTTTTAGTAGAGACGGGGTTTCGCCATGTTAGCCAGGCTAGTTTCAAACTCCTGACCTCAGGTGATCCACCCACCTTGGCTTCCCAAAGTGTTGGGATTACAGGCGTGAGCCACCGCACCTGGCCTAAGTTGGGGGGTCTTAATTAAAATGCTCCTACAACTTGAAGCCCCCCAAAATACTTACAGTCATCACCGACAGGTCCTGCAGAACACTGGGCAGGAGGATCCCTCTGCAAGTCGGTTAATTCCTAGAACATGAGAGAGTGGGTCAGAGCTGCTGTATGCTGGGGATGCTGCCTCTACATACCAATCTTGGTAGCTGGAAGGAATTCTCCTGGTGGGAGGAGGCTCCTAGGCCTCAGGAGGGGGTTAGAGACATGGTGGGTCATAGGACTCTACTCCCTGCTACAAAGATACCAGAGAAGTAGGTATGATCATTTCCATTTTATACATTAGGAAATTGAATTGTAAAGTGATGAAGTTACCTACTCAAGGTACAGAGCTGGAAGAGGGCAGGGCAAGAAGTCAGTCACATGTAGCTCTGCCTTACCCCCAAGCCTAGCCTCCTACCTCCTCAGGTAGAGGACATCCCCAGGCCCCCAGGTGCTGAAGATATGGAAGAAAAGCAGCCCAGGAGAGAGTTCTGGGAGAAGGATAGGTGCCAGGTTTTACTGCTAGGCTAATGAATTAATGCATGGAAGCAGCACCAAGGAAGTGCTAATCTCTCTACTTTACCTCCCCAACCACCATCCCAATCACCCTAGTCACCACTGGTTATGTGGCAAGTCCTAGGGCTCTGAATGTGGAGACTGGCACGTGAGCCAAAGTTTAACACTGCACCAGTGGGGATCAGGGATTATACCACGACTAGATTCCCTTTATGGGACACCAACCCTGAACTAAGCCAAACACTGTCCTATCTACACAAACTCTCCTGATTTCACCATATGTCTCTGGACATGCTGATCATTTCAGTAACCACATCTCTGGCCATCCTGCATTTATCCCCTTCACTTCAAATTTAATCAGCCAAGATGGAAGTATTAACATCACAGAAGCCAGCAAATGCTACAAATCAGGGCCATGTTTTCTCCCCGAGGGTTGATCTTTAAACATCTACCAGTATACCACTGGCCAATTCTCGATTAGTATCTAATATATCTGAACCCATTTCCTCATAAGTAAAATGAATTATACTTGGCAAGCACTCAGGAAGCAGCATTAGGAGTGGCCAAAAGAGAATTTAACTTGGGGAACAAGTGAGGTCATACAAGGGGACCAAGGACAGGCTCAGAAATGCAAGAGCTACAGAAATCTCTGTGGAACAGTTCCTTTTAGCTTACCTCTCTGCTATGTGCCCCTCAGCACCTCCACTATCACTGTGCAGGAGAATTGTTTATATTCATTGCTACACTGCATGGATAAATTAGCCCTATGACAGAACTGCTAAGGCAAATCCTGAAGAGGTTATATGAACAGCCAGGGGCAGGAAAAGCCAGCAGTACAGACCAATTCCCCTCCACCTCACAAGGTTTTCCCACACCTCTATGCTTTTGCACTGCCTATATGCAGAATCCATGTTCCCCCTTTAGAGGTGTGATGAACAGTTACACCAGCACTTAATGATCCCTGAAAGGCCACGTGTGGATCCCTATTGTTAGACTCCAACCAGCACCCAGGAGTTTCGAATACTAACTGGCATTTCAAGGAAGAATGGTGTGACTTGAAAGAAACTAGTCCACTCACACATCGAATTCCTGTGCTCACCTCAGGGTTAGAAGACTCAGGTCTGAATCCAAGCTCCGTCACTGAGGAAATCACTTTCACCTCTTTGGGCCTCAGTGTAATTACCTGTTAAGTTGTAATCATACTTGCCTGCCAACTTGCCGGTACTATTGTGTGGCTACAAATTTTGCATGTAAGTTTTTAATGTATATAATGTAAGCAAGAGCACCCAGTAAATATCAAGATAATAGTGGTATAGAGAATGCTACAATTAGTATTATAAAAAGGGAGAGGAATAAGTAGAATATATATATTTCTAGAAGAATACTTCGACACTGGTTGCCCACCCAGGAGGGGAACTGGATGGCTAGGGACAGTCTTGGGTGGGAGACTTTTCCCTGTATATCCTGTGCACATTTTGAACCATGGGAATTTATTACCAAATCATTAAATATATAAATATTTTATTAATTGTAAAGGATTAAGTAGATTAAGTTTATATAGTAATTACTATTACAAGTAACAATGATAAAAGTGAGAAGTTCCGAAAAAGAGAAAGTAAGTTAAAGTATTGAATAGTAGTAGAGAAGAGTTAAGCAAACCATGGTACACACTCAGTTATTCCTTTACGGTGTTTCGTCAACTCCAAGACTCCATCCTTTATAAGACACAATTTTACTTTACATACAATTAGGAAAAAAAAAACATGCTGGCAAATAAACTAACACAAATGCTTTCTTTGCACATAAACTTTAATTGTATTTAAAAATTACTTTTATCAGGCTGTGTACAGTGGTTCATGCCGGTAATCCCAGCACTTTGGGAGGCCGAGGTAGGCAGATCGCCTGATGTCAGGAGTTCGAGACCAGTTTGGCCAACATGGTGAAACCCTGTCTCTACTACAAATACAAAACTTAGCTGGGCTTGGTGGCATGTGCCTATAACCAGCTACTCAGGAGGCTGAGGCACAAGAATCGCTTTAGAGGGTGATGCCATGGGCAGGGCAGAGCATCTGGGGTCTTTTGGGAGCCTCCAATCCCCAACAGTTTCGCAGAACACTGATATCTATGGACTCTAAAATGGGCTTCATTTAAAGAAACCCACAGACCATTAATGGACAAAAACATGAATCTATATGTATTGTGACATTCCAGTCCTGGCACTGTGGGAGAGCATCAAGTACCACGTTTTTGAAGACCATGGCCTATCATCATTATGCGTTCAAGATCTGAGTTTGAATAACCTCATCAAGACTTAGATCTTCTTCAAAAGCTTCAAGTCTCATCTGCATTAAAGCTCTCCATTGAACCCTCTCACAAAAGTGCAAACTTAAAGGGACTAAAATCCGTTAACACATTCCATTTTATATCCCTTCTTCTGACTTCTCTTCAATTTCCTTGGCCTCTGGGGCCCTTTATATTGCTTATGTTCCTTTAGGGCCAAAGTGACAGTGCTTTCCAAAAAAAAAAATATGTATTCTGTGGCCATAAGTTTACAGAGAAGCATAAATTTAGCATGATGAATTTAGAATTAGGTCTTTTATGGTATTCTGTAAAAAGTTGAATTAATAATAAGAAAATGAGGATGAAGCAGTAAAAATATTTTGGGTTAGAATATACTCTCCAAAGCTATGTGGTTTAGAGAAAAGGGCCCCCAACCTAAAAGTTAATAGTTCTTATTCTGTCTCTGCCTTTTACTAGGTAACTGAGAAAGTCACTTAACCTCTCTGAACCTTAACTTCATTATCTATAAAGCGTAACTGATATTTTCCCCTCCCTACCTCACAGGGTTGTTGTGAGGAACAAGTGAAACAATGTACATAAAAAGACATATAAAATGTATAATACAGACAAAGGGTCCTGTTACGTAGTTGGAAGTCATTCCCTCAGATCTTGGGCCTAGGAAGATAGGTGATTTAAGCTCACTGAAAGCATGTACCATGTCCAGGCTGAATACATGGTAACAAGGCTATGTTACATTTTTTTTTTCCCTGAGTTGAGTACCTAAAATACCACATGGGCTAATTCTAAGAAGGAGCACCACTATATATTTCCCTAAAATTATAGCTTAGCATTGTTAATGCTCTAGAGCAGTTATGCATTGTAACATATTAGTGATTTGTGAAAGATTTTTACTAAAACGTGACCAGCATTTTTCTTTAAATGAAAGAATGTAGAATATTTCACAATGCATCCCATGTGATGAGAAAAAATATTTTTTTTAGTTATATGTACATATGCATGTGTGTGAATGTGTGTGTGTACTTGGTCATTAAATAAAATGTACTTTTTCTTCTTGTGGGAAAAAAAAAAAAGAATTGCTTTAGCCCGGGAGGTGGAGGTTGCAGTGAGCCAAGACTGCGCCTGTGTGACAGAGTGAGATTCTGTTTCAAAAAATTAAAAAATTAAAATTACTTTTATCAAAAGAATTATTTTAGGCTTAAACATAGCTTTGTGTGTTTCTTGTTAAGTATCATTCATGAATACAAAAAAAAAAAAAAGGAAAAACAAGTGAAATAAATAAACTGGTTTGTTCAGGTATTCCTAAAGTTTCTTCCCATTCAGAGCCCAACACTGAGTCATTGATGTCTACACAATATCATCCTCTGTGTCTTCCAAAACAATGGTAATGTGGCAATTCTTAGAGTCCTCTACTACTCTTCCTGGAGTTTTCTTTCAAGCCATGAATACTTATTCTGCAAAGGCCCATGATACACAATCTATTTGCACGTATTCCAGAAAAAAAAAAATGACCCAGTCTCACCAACTTGAGGGTAGGTGGTACCTTCCTTTCTGTGGCTATGAAGAATTTGGTTGCTTGACATGGAATTAGGAAATTCCAGTCCTTCCTCCAACAACAAATATTTGCTCCCTTATTATGAAATTTACTCGTCGTTGTCCTGTTTCTGTGCCTGTGTTCACAAAAGCTTTTCTTTTCAGTGCTAAATCACACTATCTTTTTGAAAATATTTTTAAAACAATTAAACTCAACAAATATAGTACCAGCAATGCACTTACCTCATAATGAACTGCCATGATGGTTTACTCATACAGATAGTGACATCTAAGTGAAGGTAACCTGGCTGACAGCTATTGTAAGAAGCATCCCAATTTCAGAGACGTGAACATTTGAAAAAATATTCATCTTGAAGTAGATGAATATGGTATTATCTTATTTCCAAGTTCTCTTTATTTTTTATTTTTATTTTTAGAGACAGGGTCTCACTGTGTTGCCCAGACTGGAGTACACTGGCACCATCTCGGCTCACTGCAACCTCTGCCTACTGGGTTCAAGCAATTCTGGTGTCTCACCCTCCAGAGTAGCTGGGACTGATTACAGGAACGCACCACCATGCCCAGCTAATTTTTGTATTTGTAGTAGAGATGAGTTTCACCATGTTGGCCAGGCTGGTCTCAAACTCCTGACCTCAAGCGATCCTCCTGCCTCAGCCTCCCAAAGTGCTGGGATTACAGGCCTGAGCCACCACGCCCAGCCCCAAGTTTCTTTAAAGAACAATTACTACCTTTATAATCAGAAGTTAACTAAACTTTTTTTTGAGAAACTAAACCAAGTATTATGCAGCCACTGAAAATTAGTTTTTAAAGACTACAGAATAACAGGAGAAAATGTCATGATACAACATTAGAGGAAAAGGGCAAGAAAAAAGCAGAGTATAAAATTTGATGCACTACATGACAACAATCTGAAACACATACACATCAAAGGCACTGAAAAGAAATCCACAAAAATGTTAACTACAATTACATGAATAGGTAGAATATATATATATATACACCCACACATATATATGTACGTATATGTATATACACACATATAAGTATATATGTTATATATATACACACATACATATGTGTATATATATGTGTGTATATATGTTATATATATACACACATACATATGTGTATATATATGTGTGTGTATATATATATATATATATATATATATATACTTTAACATTTGTTGCCCCCAGGAGGGGAACTGGATGGCACACATTCCAGCAAGAAAAAGTGACCCCACTTTAGATGACTAGAGATGAGTTTTTTAAAAACTGAATTTTGGGGGCATTTTCCAAATTTTCTTTAATTTTCTTTTTTTCTATTATTATTTTTTTATTATGTATTTTATTTTTATTATTTTTTTGAGACAGGATTTCGCTCTGTCACCCAGGTTGGAGTGCCGTGGCGCCATCTTGGTTCACTGCAACCTCCATCTCCTGGGTTCAAGCGATTCTTATGCCTCAGCCTCCCGAGTAGCTGAGATTACAGGCACCTACTAATATGCCCGGCTAATGTTTGTATATTTAGGAGAGACAGGGTTTTGCCATGTTGGCCAGGCTTGTCTCAAACTCCTGGCCTCAAGTGATCCATCCACCTCGGCCTCCCAAAGTGCTGAGATTACAGGCGTGAGCCACCCTGCTTAGCCAGGTATTTTCCAAATTTTCTTTAAAGTACATGTATTGCAAAATATATGTGTTAAATATGTATTGATATAGTTTGGATCTGTGTTCCCACACAAAACTCTTGTCAAATTGTAATCTCCAACGTTGAGGGTGGGGCCTGGTGGGAAGTGATTGGTTTAGTACAATCCACTTGGTATTATCCTCTTCTCACAAGATCTGGTTGTTTCAAAGTATGTCATGGGCCAGGCACAGTGGCTCACTTTGTGCCTGTAATCCCAGCACTTTGGGAGGCCAAGGCGGGTGGATCACGAGGTCAGGAGATCGAGACCATCCTGGCTAACATGGTGAAACCCCGTCTCTCCTAAAAATACAAAAAATTAGCTGGGTGTGGTGGCAGGCGCCTGTAGTCCCAGCTACTCAGGGAGGTTGAGGCTGGAGAATGGTGTGAACCTGGGAGGCAGAGCTTGCAGTGAGCCGAGATCGTGCCACTGCACTCCAGCCTGGGCGACAGAGCAAGACTCTGTCTCAAAAAAAAAAGTGTGTCATGGCCAGGCACAGTGGCTCATGCCTGTAATCCCAGCACTTTGGGAGGCCCAAGTGGGTGGATCGCTTGAGCTCAGGAGTTCAAGACCAGCCTGGCAACATGGCAAAACCCCGTCTCTACTAAAAATACAAAAAAAAGTAGCCAGGCATGGTGGCACACACTACTCCAGAGGCTGACACAGGAGAATCAGTTGAACCAGAGAGACGGAGGCTGCAGTGATCAGAAATTGCACCACTGCACTCCAGCCTGGGTGACAGAGACCCTGTCTCAAAAATAAATAAATAAATAAATAAAAGTGTGGAGCACCTCCCCTTGTTCTCTCTCTTGCTCCTGTTCTGGCCATGTGACATGCCTGCTCTGCCACCCCCCCCGCCCCCCCACCCCGGTTTGCCTTCCACAGTGAGTGTGAGTTTCCCCTCCTCTGAAGCAGAGCAGACACTAGTGCCATACTTCCTGTACAGCCTGCGGAACTGTGAGCCAATTAAAACTCTTCTTCCTAAATTACCTCATCTCAGGTTTTCTGTTTTGTTTGTTTGTTTGTTTTTTAAGATACGGTCTTACTCTGTCACCCAGGTTGGAGTGCAGTGGCACGATATCGGCTCACTGCAACCTCCACCTCTGTCTGGCTCAAGCGATCCTTCCACCTCAGCCACCTGAGTAGCTGGGACCATAGGCACATGCCAAGAACCATGCCTGTCTAATTTTTTCTATTTTTGGTAGAGCTGGGGTTTTGCCATGTTGCCCAGGCTGGTCTTGAACTCCTGAGCTCAGGCCATCCACCTGCCTTAGCCTCCCAAAGTGCTAGGATTACAGGCATGGGCCACCTCATCCAGCCTTCAGGTATTTCTTTTTTTCTTTTTTTTTTTTTTGAGACAGAGTCTCACTCTATCACCCAGGCTGGAGTGTAGTGGCATGATCGCTCACTGAAACCTCTGCCTCCCGGGTTCAAGCAAGTCTCCTGCCTCAGCCTTCCAAGTAGCCAGGATTACAGGCACATGCCACCATACCCAGCTAATTTTTGTATTTTTAGTGGATATGGGGTTTCACCATGTTGACCAGGACCTAACCTCAGATGATCTGCCCGCCTCAGCCTCCCAAAATGCTGGGATTACAGACATGAGCCACTGTGCCTGGCCAGGTATTTCCTAACAGCAATGCAAGAATGGACTAATACACGTATCAAAGAGAAAAAAAACCATTAAAAAATTGAAATGCTGCCACATATAACCCTGTCCTGGTTGAGAACAGTGGCTCACACCTGTAATCCCAGCACTTTAGGAGGCTGAGGTGGGAGGATTACATGAGCCTAGGAGTTTGAGACCAGCCTGGGCAACATGGTGAAATCCACTCTCTACAAAAAATTTTAAATTAGCCAGATGTGGTGGCAGGCACCTGTAATCCCAGCTACTGGGAAAGCTAAGTGGGAGGACTGCTTGAGCCCAGGAGGTCAAGGCTGCAGTGAGCTATGATTGAGCCACTGCACTACAGCCTAGGTAACAGAGCAAGACCCTGTCTCAAAAAACTAACTAACTAACTAACTAACTAAAAAGTGCATCTAAAAATATTCAATTTGAAACATTCATTTGAAAACATTTTTTTAAAGGGTTGAAGTTGGTTAGAAAGGGCTGTGGATTGGAAACTAAGGGGGCAGCTAGTAGACACCACACACCTGGCTCAGGCTTGCATACTGCTGGCTACCTGCTCAGCACCCATCCGCCTTCCTCCTTTCTGAAGGACTGCTGTTCAGTTCTGGTCAACTCACTGTCAGCTCCAGGTCTAAGAGTAACCAGACTCCTTGCCACTCATTGGTTTCGGAATGAGCATGAGACATAATTCATAACAAGGCAAAGGGAAAAAAAGATCTGCTGGGCTTTCTGAGAATATTCTTATCAGTTCTTCTGGAAGCAGTTGTCTCTATTACTCCCAGATGTCCAGCAGGCTGTGTGTTCCAGAGCCATTCAGCCCAGAGTGACACAGGAACAGACCAGGAGAGGGGGACTGAGTTGCTCCCAAAGTCCTGCCACAGGACCTCCAATTCCATGCACAAGGGCAGCTCAGCCTCTGTCACTTGCAGCCAAGACATCCTAACTAGTGGTGGCCCAATGGTGCCATCTCACCACGGCAGGCTTGACACACTTTTAAAGTTGTATTTCCTACAATTCTGTTGTTTTTCCCCAGGAATTGCTACAGAATTTGCAGGGCCTTGTGAATGTGAAAATGTAGGGTCTCAAGTTCGATAATTATTAAGAATTTCCTGATAGTGACAGCAGAGCATAAAACCAAAGGCAGAGCCCATCCAAGCCTGGGGCCCTGTGAGAGTGAATGCGTCACACACACATGAAGCCAGCCCTGACCTTGATTCTTGTTTTGCTTTTGTTTTAAGACAGGGTCTCACTCTGGTTGCCCAGGCTGGAGTGCAGTGGTGAGGCTCACTGCAGCCTTGACCTCCTGGGCTCAGGTGATTCTCCCACCTTAGCCTCCTAAGTAGCTGGGATTACAGGTGTGTGTCACCACGCTTGGCTAATTTTTTTTTTAATTTTTATTTACTTTTTTTTTTTTTTTTTAAGACAGAGTCTCGCTCTGTCACCCAGGCTGGAGTGCAGTGGCACAATCTCAGCTCACTGCAACCTCCACTCCTGGGTTCAAGCAATTCTCCTGCCTCAGCCTCCCAAGTAGCTGGGATTACAGGCATGCACCACCATGCCCAGCTAATTTTTTTGTATTTTTATTACAGAAGAGGTTTCAGTAAGTTGGCCAGGCTGGTCTCAAACTCCTGACCTTAAATGATACACCCGCCTTGGCCTCCCAAAATGCTGTGATTACAGGCATGAGCCACCTCACCCGGCCATTTTTTTATTTTTAGTAGAGATGGAATTTTGCTGTGTTGCCCAGTTGGTCTCCAACTCCTGGACTCAAGCAATCCACCTGCCTCGGCCTCCCAGAGTGCTGGGATATAGGCATGAGCCACTGTACCCAGCCTGTCCTTGATTCTTATCAAGGAAAAGTTCTCCCTGGCCTTATGATTTCAATTACCTTGGATCTATAGTTGACATTTCATGCTCAAGGCCCAAACTTGTTTTTCCAAACGCTCCCTTTTATAAATCTTATCAGCCTACACATTTGAATATGTAGGCTCAAACCTTTATTCCTTAATCTCTCCTACCCTCCTCCCTGCCTTCAAAACTTCTGATTCCCCATCCTAGACACTGACACCACCATCCACTAAGTGACCCATTTTGTACACCTCCTTGTTTCACTTTCACCACATCCTCTCCTCGAGTCCTGTCAATTCCACTTCTGCAATGTGGTCCAGGCACTGCTCTGGCCTAGCATCCATTCCATGGTCATTAATTTGGACAAAGCCTCTACTGAACCTTCACAACAGCCTCTAGTCTCCCTCTGTCCCACTTCCGGCCACACTGCTGCCAGAAAGATCTTTTTAGAACACAGATCTCAGCATGTCATTCACCTGCTTCAAAGTCCTAGGATGACAGATGACCCCTTTCAGAGAATAACTCATCAGAATTATCTCTCTTTTGGACAGCTATTTATTTAAAAAAAAAAAAAAGAGTCATACTCTCAGAGATCCTGTAATTCCACCTCTGGCAATCAAACCCAGTAATGTGAATTAAGGAAAAGGCTCATTGTACAATGATGGTTGATCTGGTTTGGATATTTGTCCCCCCCAAATCTCATGCTGAAATGTGATCGCCAGTGTTGGAGGTGGGGCCTAGTGGGAGGTATCTGGGTCGTGGGGGCGGATTCCTCATGAATGGCTTGGTGGCCCCCCCACAATAATAAGTGAGTGCTCACTCTATTAGTTCATGTGAGATCTGGGTGTTTAAAAGAGGTGGCATCTCTCTTGCTCCCTCTCTTACCAGGTGACACGCCTGCTTCTCCTTTGCTTTCTGCCATGATTGTAAGCTTCCTGAGGCCTCACCAGAAGCAGATGCTGGCACCATGCTTCTTGTACAGCCTGCAGAACCGAGAGCCAAATAAACCTCTTTTCTTTATTAATTACCCAGCCTCAGATATTCCTTTATAGCAACACAAAACAGACTAATACACAGTTCGTAACAGCAAATACTTAGTGAAGAATTTTGAACAATAACAGCAGCTAACTCGTATTGAGTGTTTGGTATACAGCAAGCATGTGCTAAACACATTTCATAGCATTTAATTCTCAAAACAACTCTGTAAACATGTAGGACTGGGAGGCTAGGAATGATAAAGTGCCTTGCCCAAGGTCCCACTATAAGTGACCTCACATTCTCTAACCCAGGTCTGTCTGACACCCAAGTCCATACTTTTACCTACTACAGGTAATGACTAAATAAGTTACTAGTCATGTACTTGTGGAAAGTTAATGTTAAAAATTAGTTATAGGACTGGGCATGGTGTCTCACGTTGTAATCCCGCCACTTTAGGAGGCAGAGGCAAGAGGACCGCTTAAGCCCAGGAGTATGAGACCAGCCTGGGCAACATATCGAGACACTGTCTCTACAAAAAATAAACAATTGGCTGGCATGGTGGCATGTAGTCCCAGCTACCCAGGAAGCTGAGGAGGGAGGATCACTTGAACCTAGAAGGTTGAGGCTGCAGTGAGCCATGATTGTGCCACTGTACTCCAGCCTGGGCGATACTCCAGCCTGGGCGACAGAGCAAGACCTCAAAAAAAAAAAAAAAAAAAGTTATAAATACTACTTCACAACATGCTTACATTTACTATTATGTGAATAAGTGGAATACAAAATGCAGTATAATTGTTTTAAATATAGAAAAAAAACTGAAGGTAGGTATGCTAAAATGTTAACAAATAGTAAAGTGATAGAATTAGAAATACTTCTTTCTTCTACTGTTGTGCGTTTTCCAAATTCTAGTGAATGCATTAAACCCTCATGGACTCCCTCTTACCTGCAGGATAAAAACCAGTTACTTCAGCACTGCTCCTAAGGACCACCCAAGTCCACACCATCTGCCCTTCAGCTTCCCCGCTACCCTGTCAGTCCTCCAAGCCTCGTAGTCTCCCCGTTGCAGGGAAAGCCTTTTCCCCTTTTCCCCACCTGCCGAGTTCCTACTCATCCCTTAGGACCCAGCTTCTTCCTGGATACCCTTCTGGATACCCACCCAGCCCTTCTGGATACCCTACAGGGGGAACCCGCTGTCCAGAAGCCTGCAGGTGGCCCCACGGCGCCCCGCCCGCATGACGCAGCCCTCGTGGCCACGGCCCGGCCCCGCCCCGCGCTCGCGCAATCCCTTTCTCAGGCTGCGTTCGCTTTTCAGGCTGCGCGGGAGGCTGTTCTGCCTCCTTCCCAGGCAGGTGTATCCGCGACTCGCGGAGCCTCCGTCACCTTTCACTTCACGGCAGCGGCGCCCCGCCCACACCTCGACGCTTCGGACACCCAAAGAGTTGGAGGGTGGGAAAGTGCGTACCTTCTGGATCCGCTTTAGCGCCATCCTACCCCGCTGCCGGGGACCCGGGCGGCCCGGCCGGGGCTGCCTGAGGCGGCCCGCTGCCGGCTCAGCCGCCACCAAGCTGCACGCCGGGAGCCGCAGCCTGCGCTTGCGCGCGCGGGGCACTGTGGGGCCGTCGTCGCCGCGTGCCGAGCGTCCTGGCGCGGCCGAGGGGAAGCAGCGGGGCTGCCCGGGTTACGCTGGCCACCCGCACCTGGTCCTGTGGCTTCGACCACTAGTCAGCAAGGCCCCGGAGAGGCCAGCGAAGAGGAGGGGCTCGTTGGCTTTACGGAGACGCGCGGAGCACCCTCAAGGTGCCACACGCTCGCCTGCTCCCTGTTCCTACATCCTGGGCGTCTTCCCAGGCTGTCATATAACTCCTGAGAATAGTGGTTCTTAACTCTGTAAGTATATATACCCTCGTACGCCTTATGGCTGGATGCGTTACAGCCATTTCCATGTAGATGTCTGTGCATACGTTCACACGCAAAACTCTCCGCAGTTTTGGAGATCTCCGTGTTCAGTCGTACCTCACGTGATCTTGCACTGCCAACATTGAGAACCCTGGCCTTAGACTATGCATCTCCCAAACTTAATTATCTGTCTCCTTCCTATTTTCCCAAGACTTGGCAGGCGTCTAGGTCAGAGTTGTTCAAACTGAGGGTTATGAACTAGTGTGTCACGAAATCAATTTAATAGGTTGCAACCAACATTTTTTTGAAAAAAAAAAAAAAAAAGCCAGACGAGGTGGCTCACGCCTATAATCCCAGCACTTTGGGAGGCCGAGGCAGGCGGATCACTTGAGGTCAGGAGTTCGAGACCAGCCTGGCCAACATGCTGAAACTCCGTCTCTACTAAAAATACAGAAATTAGCTGGGCGTAGTGACGTATGCCTGTAATCCCAGCTACTTGAGAGGCTGAGGCACGAGAATCACTTGAACCCAGGAGGCAGAGGTTGCAGTGAGCTGAGATCACACTGTTGCACTCCAGCCTGGGTGACAGAGCGAGACTCTGTCTCAAAAATAATAAAAAATAAAAATAAAAAAACAGAATAAAATATCAGTGCATTTCACATAGTAAAGGTAAGAATTGTGGAAGTTTTGTTGGTGTGTGTATGTAGATGATATTTAATCTTCAGACTGAGACATGTTTGAGCATGAAAGTGGCTGTTAATATAATTACTCTGGGACCAACGCTGTAATCTAGAATTGTCTCCAGCCAGCCAAGACACATGGTCACCTCTATGTTTGTACTCAGTCAGCATATAAAATGTATTATAGACATTTCAATAGTTGCCCAGCTTTGTCCCTGGCTTTCACGCTCCCATTCCCCCAATCTGTCCTCCACACAACTTCATGAACTGTCTGAAATATAAAGCTTACCACACTGCATCCTTACCCAGAACTCTTCAAGGAAGCCCCGTGGCCTACAGCATCACATTCACTGTCATCCAGGGGCCTTCAAAATCCAGGATCCTCGGCCGGGCACAGTTACTCATGCCTGTAATCCCAGCACTTTGGGAGGTTGAGGTGGGTGGATCCCTTAGTCCAGGAGTTCTAGACCATCCTGGGCAACATGGTGAAACCCCGTCTCTACAAAAAATACAAAACTTAGCTGGGCATGGTGGTGTGCACCTGTAGTCCCAGCTACTTGGGAGGCTTACTTGAGCCCAGGAGATCAAAGTTGCAGTGAGTTGTGATGGCACCACTGCACTCCAGGCTGGGAGACAAAGCAAGACCCTGTCTCAAAAAAACAAAAACTCAAAGTATCCTCCAGCTTTACCTTCTCCTTCCTACCTCCAGCCCACCTGACTATCAAGTGTTTCCATCACCACAGCATCTACATTCCTTGACTAGAGCATTCACCTTCCAAAGCCAGCTCAAGCATCACCCATTGAACAGCCCAAGTCAAGCACTTCCCCTTGGTGTCAAACATTGACAACAGAAATTTTTGTTAGTCCATGGGCCATCCATCCTCCTACATTATTGACATGGCCTTCCCTCCCCATAAAACAAGTGATTCTAGATTTTATAAATGTTGATATATTTGTGTAAGAATATATAAATGGTTATTTATGTGCTAATAATGTATATGGTGGTTTTGAAGTCTCAAATCTCAAAAATATTACTTTTGGATGGTAGGTTTACTAATGTGTTAATCTCTAAAATTTCTACAGAGAATTTGCATCATTTGTATAATTCAGGAAAAAAACATATAATAGAAAATGAAAAATTCTGTTTCTATTCCCTGTTGGTAGTTTAGTGCATAGTTTTCTAAACTTTTTAGCATGCTTATATGTAATGTTTCATTTTTAACATTGAAATAATTTTAGATGTACAGAAATGTTGCAAGAATAATACACAATTGGTCAGGTGCAGTGGCTTATGCCTGTAATCGCAGCACTTTGGGAGGTCAAGGCAGGTGGATTGCTTGAGGCCAGGAGTTTGAGCTCAGCCTGGCCAACATGGTGAGACCCCATCTCTACAAAAAATACAAAATTTAGCCAGGTGTGGTGGCATGCACCTGTAGTCCCAGCTACTTGGGAGGCTCAGGCTCAATAATTGTTTGAACCCAGGAGGCAGAGATTGCAGTGAGCTGAGATTGCACCACTGCCCTTCAACCTGGGCAACAGCGAGACTGTGTCTCAAAAAAAAAATAATAATAATACACAAAAGATTTTTAAATGGATAAATTTGACTACATGAAAGTTTAAAACTTTTGTGCTTCAAGCAATACCAACTAGAAAACAAAAAGACAACACACAGAATGCGAGAAAATGTTTGAAATAATAATATCTCAGTACAGTCTAAGATGCAGAGTATATTAAGAACATTTAGAACTCAATAAAAAAGACAAATAACCCAATTAAAAACTGGGCAAAAGATGTGAATAGAAATTTCTTCAAAGAAGATACTCAACTGGACAATAAGCACATTTTAAAAAAATCAGGCTGGGTGTGGTGGCTCAGGCCTGTAATCTCAACACTTTGGGAAGCTGAGGTTGGAGGATTGCTCGAGGCCAGGAGTTTGAGACCAGATTGGGCAACATAGCGAACCCCTGATTCTACAGAAAAATTTAAAAGTTAGCTGGATGTGGTGGTGTGCATCTGAGGGCACAGCTATTCGGGAGGTTGAGGTATGATTATTGCTTGATTCCAGGAATTTGAGGCTGCAGGGAGCTATGATTGAGCCACTGTACTCCAGCCCAGGAGACAGAGCAAGACCCTGTCTCTTTGGGAAAAAAAAAAAAAAAAAGGCTGGGCACAGTGGCTCACACCTGTAATTCCAGCACTTTGGGAGGCCAAAGAGGGCAGATCATGAGGTCAGGAGTTTGAGACCAACCTGGCCAATATGGTGAAACCCCATCTCTACTAAAAATACAAAAATCAGCTTGGCATGGTGGTGCATGCCTGTAATCTCAGCCAGTTGGGAGGCTGAAGCAGGAGAATCGCTTGAACCTGGGAGACAGAGGTTGCAATGAGCCGAGATTGTACCACTGCACTCCAGCAGCCTGGGCAACAGAGCGAGACTCCTTCTAAAAGAAAGAAAGAAAGTAAGAGAGAGAGAGAGGAGAAAGAGAGAGAAAGAGAGAAGGAAAGAAAGAAAGAAAGACGGAAAGAAAGAGAAAGAAAGAAAGAAAGAGAAAGAAAAAAAAATGCCTGGTGTGGTGGCTTACATCTATAATCCCAGCAGTTTGGGTGACTGTGGTGGGAGGATCACCCAATCCAGGAGTTCAGGACCAGCTTGGGCAACATGGCAAGACCCCATCTCTACAAGAAAAAAAATTTTTTTTCTTCACCAAAAGCAGATACTTGAAAAAATTTTAAGAATTAGTAGAGCATGGTGGCGCATGCCTGTAGTCCCAGCTATGATTGCTTGGGCCTAGGAGGTTGAGGTTGCTGTGAGCCCCATTCACGCTACTGCATTCCAGCCTGGGAAACAGAGCAAGACCCTGTCTCAAGAAAATAATAATCATGAGTTATAAGGGACATGCAAATCAAAGCCATAATGAGATACCACTTCACACCCTCTAGGATGGCTGTAATTAAAGGGACAGACAACAAGTGTTGACAAAGATGTGGAGAAGTTGGAACCCTCACACATTCTGGTGCGACTATAAAATGGTGCAGTCATTTTTGGAAAAGAGTTTAGCAGTTCCTCAGAAAGTTAAGTGATACCAAGTATGGTGGCTCACACCTGTAATCCTAGCACTTTGGGAGGCCAAGGCAGGTGGATCACCTGAGGTCAGGAGTTCGAGACCAGCCTGGCCAACATGGTGAAACCCTGTCTCTACTAAAAATACAAAAATTATCCAAGTGTGATGGTGCACACCTGTAATCCCAGGTATTCGGGAGGCTGAGGCAGAATCGCTTGAACCTGGGAGGTGGAGGTTGCCAGGAGCCAAGATCGCGCCACTGCACTCCAGCCTGGGTGACAGTGCGAGACCCACTCTCAAACAAACAAACAAAAACGGAAATTAGCTGGGCATGGTGGCCTGCACCTGTAATCCCAGCTACTTAGGAATCGAAGGCAGGAGAATAGCTTGAACCTGGGAGGTAGAGGTTGCAGTGAGCCAAGATCGTGCCACTGCATTCCAACCTGGGCGACAGAGCGAGACTCCCATCTCAAAAAAAAAAAGAAAAAGAAAACCTCGTGCTTGTATTTCAATGCTCAATTATTTACAGAAAAACATAATACCCTTTTGAATTTAGTGTTCACACACAGAATTTCTTTTGCAAGAAACCTTCCACAACTTGTTTAAACCTTTAGCTTTATCTTATCTAATTTAAAATAATCCTTTAACCCTAGACAAAAATTTCCATGTCCATTCCTTCTTAGAACATTTTACTGAGATTATATGATTAATGATTATTTGCTAAGATTAAGAGCCTTACCGAGTCCCTTGCCAAGTCCTGGGCCTTGCCAAGTTGTAAAGTAGGCAAGTTGAACAGTTCTCAAAGTCCAAAGAAGAAGTTTATAACTGTAAAACATTTAGCAAACCTAATATCTGTCCCGTATAATTTAGACCACCTGTTCACATTTGCATTTTACCAGTAATCTTTAAGACTGTTTTTATTTCTCAAGGATTAAAGTCACATGAACTAAAAGGTATTACAGCTTTTATTTTCCCTTCAAAAATATCTGATCAAAGCACTTATTTTCCTTTAGGCCAGTTAATTAGACCTCTCTCTTTTTTTCTTTTTTTTTTTTGAGACGGAGTCTCGCTATTTCGCCCAGGCTGGAGTGCAGTGGCGTGATCTCAGCTCACTGCAAGCTCTGCCTCCTGGGTTCATGCCATTCTCCTGCCTCAGCCTCCTGAGTAGCTGGGACTACAGGTGCCCACCACCACGCCCGGCTAATTTTTTTGTATATTTAATAGAGACAGGGTTTCACCGTGTTAGCCAGATGGTCTCGATCTCCTGACCTCGTGATCCGCCCGCCTCGGTTTTGCAAAGTGCTGGGATTACAGGTGTGGGCCACCGTGCCCGGCCTAGAGCTCTCTTTTTTACAGACATCACACACAACACATATAACTGCACAGACAAACAGCAGCAGATCCAGTAGTTACAAGATTTTCTGTTCACCAATCTCCTAATTGGACTATTGGCCTCGAGTGGGGCCCTTTAAGAGCAGGGCTAGGAAAGCATGCAGTTTTCAGGGCCCAATACATGGGGATAGCTGGAAGACAAAAACAGATTTTGAGGGGGACCTATCTGCTTTTAATTGCTGGGTTTTCATGAGAAAAACAGAGGTTTTTCCCAAAATGGCATGCATGGCACCTTTTCTGTTCTTCTCAAGGAGTCCCAGGCCATCAGAAATTATTTTAGGGCCTCGTGCATGCATTAAGGGTAGCAAGACAAAATGGAGAAAAGGAATTCAGTCAACTGAGAAAAAAATCTTTTTCCAGAAAAACAAGATCCAAAAAGAGAAAAACATAAAGGTTTTAAAAATATCCACTTTTTTTGTTGTTTTTGAGACAGAGTCTCGCTCTGTTGCCCAGGCCGTTGTGCAATGGTGCGATCTTGGCTCACTGCAACCTCCGCCTCCCAGGTTCAAGCAATTCACCTGCCTCAGCCTACTGAGTAGCTAGGACTACAGGCAAGTGCCACCACACCCAGCTAATTTTTTTTGTATTTTTAGAAGAGACAGGGTTTCACCATGTTGGCCAGGCTAGTCTTGAACTCATGACTTCAGGTGATCTGCCCACCTTAGCCTCCCAAAGCGCTGGGATTGCCAGTGTGTCACTGCACTCCCCTCAGATATCCACTTTTTAAAAAAAATTTATTTATATCCACTGCTTTATTAAAGATAAATAGTCTCATAAGAGGAGAAGTAATGTGTTCGCAGACTAACAGAAAATGCATGTATATGAGAAAGAGATGTGTGAGGTCCCTGATCTGTGCTCTAAGTGAGTGGTCAGTCAGGCAGGGCCTTGGTCAACCAGTAAGGCAGATGAGGGTCCCTGTCCTAGGGGACTCACTGCTCCTGGGTGCCCCAGGAGATGTAGTCTGGCCATGTGGCCATGTGGTACTCATCCATGAGCTGCTGCACAATCTCCCTAGATGTGTTGTGTCCATCTCATCAAAGTTGTCCTTGAACATGTCCTCCTTGCGGAACGGCTCCAGGAAGGCCTCCCACTTCCGCAGCTTGTCATATTGGCGACAGGTTCTCTAGAAGAGTGAGGAGATGCTGGTGTGGTTGGCCATCATGCGCCCACTGACCCGGTGGGCCAAGGGCAGGTAAGGAGACTTCCTCGACAGGGCCACCTGGATGCTGGTGGGGCCCAACAGGATGAAGTTGGCCAACTTCCATTCCCGGATCCTCTGCAGGCTCTTGTGGACCTGGGTGGGGTCCACCTCTCCCTGGATGGTGTTGAGGATGGTGATGTAGGAGTGGTTGGTCTGGCGGTCTCGGCCTGTGGATACCATCACGTTCTTGGGCTGCAGCAGCCACCTCATGACATCCAGGACCATGGTCTTCCTCACGCTGGCCACTGATTGGTCCATAGTCAGCTGGGTGTAGCCAGTCATGAGAAAGTGGAGCCATGGGGTGGGAATGAGTGAGGCGATGAGGCCTATGAGGTCATTGTCCATGTAGCTGGGGTAGCGCAGGGTGATGGTGCTGGCCGAGATGATGGTGGACACCAGCTGGTTGGTCTGAGAGAAGGATGGGTTCTGGATGTGCAGGATCTGGTCTGTGGCAATCTGGTTCAGGGCTGTGTTGTGCAGCACCACCACACAGTCTGCGTTCTGCATCAGCCTCTTGAGTGTGAGGAGTGAATTATAAAGCTGGACCACCACGTTGCTCATCTTGTCCTGGTTGGGAAACACTGAGTATGTCTGCACCAGCTTCTTAGGATACCTGTCATTCAGCCATTCTAAGAGGTAGGAGCCCAGGCCAGAGCCTGTCCCCCCAGCAATGAACTGACACAGCACAAAGCCATCTAGATTGTCACTACCATCTGCCTCCTGGTCTGTGATGTTAAAAATGTCCTCATGGATCTTCTCCCTCTGGGAGAATCTGCTGGCCCAGTTGTTGCCAGCTCTTCCCCCATGCTCCGACAGGTAGATGTTCTCTGGGTTGTAGAGCTTGGCACAGGGGGAGTTGAGGATGGAGTGGATCACCTGGGGCTCCAGGTCCAGCAGCACAGCCCGGGGGATGTAGTGCTCATCGTCTGCCTGGTAGAAAAAGATGTCCTTGTGGTCAGTGCCCTCAGTAGCGAACTCCTCCATGGTGCCCTTGGGGCTGATACCATGCTCAGTGCACAGCTGTTTCCAGAACTCGAACCCAATCTGATTGCTGCACTGGCCCAATTGTGGGTGATGATTTCTCTTGGTATCGCTCCTCAGGCACCAGAGTTGCAGCCGCTCCCACCCGCAACGCTGCCGCGTGCCAGCCCCCCAGATATCCACTTTTAATTAAGCTGAGCGCTCTTTAAGAAAATCCTATTTTGGGGTCTGGGTGTGGTGACTCATGTCTGTAATCCTAGCACTTTGGGAGGCCGAAGTGGGCGGATCACTTGAGGTCAGGAGTTCAAGACCAGCCTGGCCAACATGGTGAAACCCCATCTCTACTAAAAATACAAAAATTAGCTGGAAATCACTTGAACCCAGGAGGCGGAGGTTGCAGTGAGGCAAGATCATGCCACTGCACTGTAGCCTGGGCAACACAGCAAGACTCCATCTAAAAAAGAAAAGAAAGGAAAGGGAAAGGAGAAGGGAAAGGAAAGGGAAAGGAAATCCTTTTTTTCTTTCTTTTTTTTTTTTTTTTTTTGAGGTCTATTGCCCAGGCTGGAGTGCAGCAGTGTGATCTCCACTCACTGAAACCTCTGCTTTTTGGGTTCAAGTGATTCTCCTGCATCAGCCTCCTGAGTAGCTGGGATTACAGGCACCCACCACCATGCCCAACTAATTTTTGTATTTTTAGTAGAGACAGGGTTTCGCCATGTTGCCCAGGATGGTCTAGAACTCCTGACCTCAAGTGATCCACTTGCCTCAGCCTCCCAAAGTGCTGGGATTACAGGCGTGAACCACTATGCCCAGCTGTGTTTTTTGTTTTGTTTTGTTTTGTTTTTTGAGACGGTCTTGCTCTGTCACCCAGGCTGGAATACAGGGCACAATCATGGCTCACTGCAGCCTCAACCTCCTGGATTCAAGCAACCCTCCCTCCTCAGCTTCCTGGGTAGCTGGGACTACATGCCACCATGCCCAGCCAATTTTTTATTTTTTATAGAGACAGGGTCTCACTATGTTGCTGGAATATAGGCATGAGCCACCACACCTGGCCAAGAAAATCCTTTTAAATCCTTTATTACCCAACATTAGCCATGCCAAGCAGCCAATATTTCTGGCTTCTGAACATTACCAAAGGTAACCTCCCAGGTGTTCAGAGAAAGGAAAATTTAAGGTGGTTCATGAAGGGGAAGAGAATCAACAAATGATAAAGGTCACAAAGATATCAAGCCAGAAAGGACTCATTCCCTAAGCCAGGATTGAACCCGGGCTGCCACTGTAAAATGGCAGAAGCTAAAACAAAGCACTGCCATGTGGTTACAGGTCACGCTTCCAAGGACGTAAAACCAGATGGAGGCCTGCAGCAAAGTTTGCCACTGGCCAGTTTGCTGGGCTTGCTTCAACAGCAGGCCTATGGAGTCCTAGACCCACATCCCATCCCAAGGTACCCCTCTTTCTGACAGAACTATACGGAGAGACATGCAGAGCACACCAGCTTGGCTACAGCTTAAGACCAACCTCACAAATCCTTTTTTATTAATTAAAACTTTACAGATAATATAAACAGTGATCCTTATCATTCCCTTTCTGGTTTGTTTAGGGAGACAGAGGTCAAAATCCTGACTGGTTAAAACAAAAAACAAAAAAACTCCTACCCTTTTGCTGACATGTCAGGCTTCTGAGTTCCCTCCCTGCTGAGCTCAATCCCAAGCCAACCAGTTTAAGGTTTAGGAAATTAACTTCTCCCAGTTTGGAGGATACATCCCAGGAGAGCATCCCACAGCATGGGGACACAATCACCCATCTGTAAAGAGAGGACAGAGGAGGAGAAAGGAATAAGAAGGCATTTATTTAAAGGAGCCCCAGGACTCAGGATGCATTTGAAAGATGTATGCCTACTCATCTAGAAAGAGGGGAGCAAGGCGTCCCTGGTTCCCTTCTCTTCCTAGCAAATACCCGAGGTACATGAGGGAGAGAAAGCAAGGCGTCCCTCTTTCTTTTGTCCTTGTATCCCTGAGTCCCGGCAACCATGACAGGATGCCTCCCATGGGTGTCAAAGTGGCTTTCACCCATGTTATGTGGGGGGGGGGGGTGGGTAGGGAGTGGGATTATCTGCTCTTACCCATATATGCCTTATCTTCTCTGTTGTCAATAGCCTTTGCATTCCCTAGACCTCATTTATGCCATGGATACTAGCATGACCTTTATCCATGAAATGAGGCTTGGCTTAATCCGCAGAAATTAGTCATGCTTACCTGTGCTGTACCTTTTCACTTCTGTTGTCGTCTGCCTCTGGATCCCTCAGATCCAGTTTTCTTTCCTAGGGCTTCGATCCAAAGCTTGGAATTGAGTTTGGGTCAAAATAACTGCCTCAGGATGTTGCATGGACTCCTTACCAAGCTGAATGCTAAGGTCAAGCTGTGGAATTGAGTCCTTCTCCAACAAGGGAGAGAAAAGGGGTGTCTTCTGAGTTGGGATCCTGGCTGAGTAAAACATCTTCTAAAAGGAAAAAAGCCTGTAGCGTAGAGAAGCCCCCTCTACTTGCAGGGCCATGTTATTGGGTTGGTGCAAAAACAGTCACAGTCCTCGCCGTTCTAAGTAATAGCAAAAACTGCAACTACTTTTGCACCAACCTATTCCTGGCCTGGTGGAGAAAAGGAAAAGAAAAACAGCGTAAATGCAGGGCTTTGTTAACTGCTGACAGGATGGAGAAAAGAAAAAGATGCCCGGAGAACAAACCTTTTATTCTTATGCAAATGAGTTTCTCCAACAGGGAGAGAAACTTTTTTTTTTTAAGATGGAGTTTCACTGTTGTTGCCCAGGCTGCAGTGCAGTGGCACAATCTTGGCTCACTCCAGCCTCCACCTCCCAGGTTCAAGTGATTCTCCTGCCTCAGCCTCCCGAGTAGCTGAGATTACAGGTGCATGCCACCATGCCCGGCTAATTTTTGTATTTTTAGTAGAGACGGGGTTTCACCATGTTGGCCAGGCTAGTCTCAAACTCCTGACCTCAGGTGATCTGCCCGCCTCAGCCTCCCAAAGTGCTGGGATTACAGGCATGAGCCATTGCGCCTGGCCAAGAAACTTTTAATTGCTGTTTCTACCCTGGGGTTTGGACTGAGCTGGACCCCTCAGCAGGAGGAGGGGAAGACTCCATGGTATGTGGTGTGGAACACTGGACAGACAGCTGCATGGGGCCCTTGGGCCATGAGCCCCAGCCCCAGCTGGGAGGGGCAGGGAGCCACCACTTGCCTGTCCGTCCCATGCATGCATCTGCAGCCATTGAGGTGGGGGTGGAATACCCCCAATATTGTAAAAGATAAGTGCCATTACAGTCCTGCAAACAGAAGGAAAATGCCATAGAAAAGGCTGAGTTGGACCAAGGCTGACATTCCCAGTCCCTGAGAGCAATGGGGTGAGGGGGTGCAGTTTCCTCTATCCTCAGAAGAAGGCTGAGGACAAGAAAGCTCAAAAAGGAAAGGGAAACAGATTTTTTTGGTGTGCATTTTACTCATCCCTCCTCATGTCCCTGTATGGGCCACCAAAATGATGCAGGATTTTTTGCTCCTTAGCTCCACTAAATCTGGGTTCTTGTCTCACAACTAGGAAAAATTAGGCACACAGACACCTGTGAAAGGTGAGGAGAGCAGAATTTATTAAAAGAAAGCTCTCATCTCAGCAAAAAAGAGAGGGTCCTGCCAACAGGCTCCCACCTCACAGATTGAATACCAGGCCAACACACATGAGCTGAAGAGGCCAGGCTCCTCTCCCAGCATAAGGGGTGAATTCCTGGTGGCTCCACCCCCATTCTTCAGTGCGCATGCGGGCCGTTAGTCTGAGCCACTCCACATTGATTTCCCTTACTGCATTTGTGTTAAGGGACAGAATTTTTCACCATGGGCATGTTTAGGGAAGTACCCTGTGCACCATGACCTGTGCGGCATATGGCTGTCTCCTATCTCTATCAGTAGTATCAGTAAAGAGATAGAAAACCTACAAAGAAACCGAAAAATAATTCTGGAGCTGAAAAGTATAATAACAAATAAAAAATGCACTGGAGGGATTCAAAGCAAATTTGAACAGAGAAAAGAATCTGTGAACTTGGAGATAGAACAATGGAAATTACCAAATCTGAGGAACAAAACCATCTGGGGATGCAGTCCAGTAGGTCTCAGCCTTATTTTACTCAGCCTCTATTCAAGATGGAGTTGCTGTGATTCAAATGCCTCTAACACAAGTGAGATGAACTCAGAGAGGAGATCCACACTGACACATAATTAAACTCTTATTTTTTATTTTTTTGAGACACTCTCATCCTGCCACCCAGGCTGGAGTACAGTGGTATGATCTTGGCTCACTGCAACCTCCATCTCCCAGGCTCAAGAGATGCTCTCACCTCAGGCACCCAAGTAGTTAGGACTACAGACATGCATTAGCATACCCGGCTAAATTTTTTTTGAGGGTGGTTAGAGATGCGGTTTTACCATGTTTCCCAGGCTGATCTCAAGCTCCTGGGCTCAAGCAATCCACCCCACCTCAGCCTCCCAAAGTGCTGGGATTACAGGTGTGAGCCACCACACCCAGCCATAATTAAACTTTCAAAAGCCACCCTGGCAAAACCCGTCTCTACAAAACATACAAAAATTAGCCAGGTGTGGTGGCAAGCACCTGTAGTACCAGCTACTTAGGGAGCTGAGGCCAAAGGATTGCTTGAGCCCAAGAAATCAGCTTGAGCTAATATCACGCCACTGCACTCCAGCCTGAGTGACAGAGCAAGATAGTCTCTATAAAAAAACAAATAAAATAGGCCAGGTGCAGTGGCTCACACCTATAATACCAGGACTTTGGTAGGCCAAGGCAGGTGGATCACTTGAGGGTAGGAGTTCAAGACCAGCCTGGCCAACATGGTAAAAACCTGTTTCTACTAAAAATACAAAAATTAGCTGGGCGTGGTGATGTGCACCTGTAGTCCCAGCTACTTGGAAGGCTGAGGCAGGAGAATCACTTGAACTAGGGAGGCGGAGGTTGCAGTGAGCCAAGATCATGCCACTGCACTCCAGCCTGGGCAACAGAGCGAGATTCCATCTCAAAAATAAATAAATAAATGAAATAAAATAAAACTTTCGAAAGCCAAAAACAGAGAATCTTGAAAGTGTGAAGAGAGAAGTGATTCATCATATTTAAGGGCTCTTTAATAAGATTATCAGCAGATTTCTCATGAGAAACTTTTAAGGCTAGCAGGCAGTGGGGTGATATATTTAAAGTGCTTAAAGAAAATAACTGTCAGGGCCAGGTGCGGTGGTTCACGCCTATAATCCCAGCACTTTGGGAGGCCGAGGCAGGCAGATCACAAGGTCAGGAGATGAAGACCATCCTGGCTAACACGGTGAAACCCCGTCTCTACTAAAAATAAAAAATAAAAAAAAAAAATAGCCGGGAGTGGTGGCAGGCGCCTGTAGTCCCAGCTACTCAGGAGGCTGAGGCAGGAGAATGGTGTGAACCCAGGAGGCGGAGCTTGCAGTGAGCCGAGTTCGCGCCACTGCACTCCAGCCTGGACCACAGAGCGAGACTCCGTCTCAAAAAACAAACAAACAAAAAAAACTGTCAACCAAGAATCTTATATCTGGCAAATTGTCCTTCAAAAGTATGGGAGAGGCTGGGCGGGATGGCTCATACCTGTAATCCCAGCACTTAGGGAGGCCAAGGTGGGTGGATCACTTGAGGTCAGGAGTTGGAGACCAGTCTGGCCAACATGGTGAAACCCTGTCTCTACTAAAAATATAAAAATTAGCTGGGCATGGTGGCGCATGGCTGTAATCCCAGCTACATGGGAGGCTGAGGCAGGAGAATCTCTTGAACCCGGGAGGTGGAGGTTGCAGTGAGCTGAGATCATGCCACTACATTCCAGCCTGGGCAACAGAGTGAGACTCTGTCTCAAAAAGAAAAAAAAAAATTGAAGGAGAAATTAAGACATTCACAGAAAAACAAAAGCTGAGGGAATTCATTACCAATAGACTGGTCCTGCAAGAAATGCTGAAGGGAGTCATACAAATTGCTACAAAATATTAAAGAATAAATACATAAAAGGAAAGACATCCTATGTTGATGGGTTGAATTGGAAGACAATATTGTTAAGATGTCACTATTACCCCAAGTGATCTGCAGATACAATGTAATCCCTATCAAAATCTCGATGGTTTTGCAGAAATAGAAAAACCCATCCTAAAGTTCATATGGAATCTGAAGGGATCCTGAACAGCCAAAACAGTTTTAAAAAGAACAAAGCTGGAGGACTTACACTTCCTGATTTTGGAGTCTTGCTCTGTTGCCTAGGCTGGAATGCAGTGGTGCAATCTCAGCTCACTGCAACCTCCATCTCCTGGGTTCAAGCGATTCTCCTGCCTTAGCCTCCCGAGTAGCTGGGACTACAGGCGTGCGCCACCACGCCTGGCTAATTTTTTGTATTTTTAGTAGAGACAGGGTTTCACCATGTTGGCCAGGCTGGTCTGGAACTCTTGACCTCAGGTAATCCAACAGCCTCAGCCTCCCAAAGTGCTGGGATTACAGGCATGAGCAACCACGCCCGGCCCATATTACTTTAATTTTTATTATTTCCCTCCTTTTGCTAGCTTTGGATATAGTTTGCTCTTCATTTTCTTTTTCTTTAAGGTATAGAGCTAAGTTATTGAGTTGAGATCTTTCTTTGTTTTAAATATAGGCATTAAAGTATAAATTGCCCTCTTAGAACTGACTGCACTGCATCCCATAAGTTTTGGTATATTTTATTTTTTTTCAAGGTATTTTCTAATTTCCTGTGTTTTTTTTCTTTTGGTCCATTGGTTGCTTAAGGGTGTTCTTTAATTTCCACACATTTGTCAATTTTCTAGTTTTCTTCCTGTTGTGAGGTCTAGTTTCTAGTTTCATTCCATTATGATCAAAAAAGATACTTTATATGATTTTATTATTTTATGATGTATTAAGGCTTGTTTTGTGACCTAACATATGGTCTATCTTGGAGAGTGTTCCATGTGCATTTGAGAAGAACATGTATTTTGCTGTTGTTCAGTAGTGCTGTGCATATGTCTGTTAGGTCCTATTTATTTATTTGAGACAGAGTTTCACTCTTGTTGCCCAGGATGGAGTGCAATGATGAGATCTTGGCTAACTACAACCTCCACCTCCCAGGTTCAAGCAATTTTCCTGCCTCAGCCTCCTAAGTAGCTGGGATTACAGACATCCACCGCCACGCCTGGCTAATTTTTTGTATTTTTAGTAGAGACGGGGTTTCACCATGTTGGCCAGGCTGGTCTTGAACTCCTGACCTCAGGTGATCCACCCTCCTCAGCCTCCCAAAGTGCTGGGATTACAGGCGTGAGCCACCGCGCCTGGCCCTATTTATTTATTTGAGATGGAGTCTCGCTCTGTCACCCAGGCTGGAATCGGTGGCATGATCTCAGCTCTCTGCAACCTCCACCTCCTGGGTTCACACAATACTCCTGCCTCAGCTTCCCGAGTAGCTGGGATTATAGGTGTGCGCCACCACACCCAGCTAATTTTTGTATTTTTAGTAGAGAGGAGGTTTCACCATGTTGGCCCTACTGGTCTCGAACTCCTGACCTCAAGTGATCCACCTGCCTTGGCTTCACAAAGTGCTGGGATTACAGGTGTGAGCTACCGTGACTGGCTGGTCCAGTTTATTTATAGTGCTGTTCAGGCTGTCTATTTTCTTATGGTTCTCCTGTCTGATTGTACTATTATTGAAAGTGGGGTATTGAAGTTTCCAACTTTTATTGTAGAAGTCTGTATTTTTTCTCTTTAATTCTGTCAATGTTAGCTTCATATTTTTTGGGGATCTTTTGTTTGGTGCATACATGTTTATCATTGTTATGTCTTCTTAGTGAATTGACTCTTATCAATATGTAATGTTCTTTTTATTTATTTATTTTTATGAGAAAGAGTCTTGCTGTGTCACCCAGGCTGGAGTGCAGTGGTGAAATCTTGGCTCACTGTGGCTTCAGCCTCCCAGGCTCAAGAGATCCTACCATCTCAGCCTCCTGAGTAGCTGGGACTACAGGTATGCATTACCACACCTGGCTAATTGTGTTTATTATTTGTAAAGACAAGGTCTTACTATGTTTCCCAGGCTGATCTCAAACTCCTGGGCTCAAGTGATCCTCCCACCTCAGCCTCTAAAAGTGCTGGGATTAAAGGTGTGAGCCACCATGTCAGGACTTTTTGAAAAAAAATTTTAGTGTAAATTTTTAATAAAAAGATGGGACCAGGCATGGTGGCTCACATCTGTAATACCAGCACTATGGGAGGCTGAGGCAGGTTATTGCTTCAGCCCAGAAGTTTGAGACCAGCCTGGACAACATGGGGAAATCCTGTCTCTACAAAAAAAAAAAAAAAAAAAAAAAAAAAATTAGCCAGACATGGTGGCACATGCCTGTAGTCCCAGCTACTTAGGAGTTTGAGATGGGAGAATCACTTTGAGCTGGGAAGTTGAGGCTGCAGTGGGCCATGACTGCATCACTGCACTTCAGCCTGGGCAACAGAGTGAGACCGTGTCTCATAAATAAATGAATAAACAAATAAATAGATCAGTTCTCACCATGTTGCCCAGGCTGGTCTTGAACTCCTGGCCTCAAGTGATCTTTCTGCCTTGGCCTCCCAAAGTGCTGAGATTATAGGTGTGAGCCACAATGCCCAGCCTACAATTTTCTTATATGTCTCTTGTAACAGGGTGTCTTTTATTTTTTTTGAGATAGAGTTTGGCTCTTGTTGCCCAGGCTGGAGTGCAATGGCACGATCTTGGCTCACCACAACCTCTGCCTCCCGGGTTCAAGCAATTCTCCTGCCTCAGCTTCCCGAGTAGTTGGGATTACAGGCATGTGCCACCACGCCCGGCTAATTTTGTATTTTTAGTAGAGAACAGGGTTTCTCCATGTTGGCCAGGCTGGTCTTGAACTCCTGGCCTCAAGTGATCCACCCATCTCAGCCTCCCAAAGTGCTGGGATTACAGGCGTGAGGCACAGCACTGGCCAATTTTATTTATTATTATTATTTTTTAAATTATTTTTTATTTTTATTTTTGAGATAGTCTGTCACCCAGGCTAGAGTGCAGTGGCTGCAGTCACTGCAGCCTCCACCTCCTGGGTTCAAGCAATTCTCCTGCCTCAGCCTCCTTAGTAGCTGGGACTACAGGCACACGCCACCACACCCAGCTAATTTTTGTATTTTTAGTAGAGATGGAGTTTCACCATGTTGGCCAGGCTGTCTCAAACTTCTGACCTCAAGTGATCCACCCGCCTCGGCCTCCCAAAGTGCTGGGATTACAGGCATGAGCCACCGTACCTGGCCTAAAATACTGGTTTTTAACCTATGAAGTTGGCAATGATTTTGAAAAATTGTAAAAGTTACACAGTGTTTTGGAAAACTAGGACTATCAGGTGATTGTGCTGGGAAGGCAATCTGTATATATGTGTGTATATGTTGTGTATGTGTATATTTGTGTGTCTGTATATATGTGTGTAGGTATATGTATACATATGTGTGTATGTGTATTATGTATTTAAGTATATGTATATTAGTGTGTTTGTGTATGTGTGTAGGTATACACATACACATACACAGAGTATATATGTTTCAGAAGAGCCTTAAAATACTGATATCCTATTGATCTAGAAATTCAACTCTTCAAAATTTGGCATAAGGAAATAATCATTGATGTTTATGGGATGTTTTGGCTATAAGGATATTTATTACTCACATTCCTTATAATAATGAAATACTGGTAGCAATATTTATGTCCAACAGTAGGGGTTGGTTAAACATGATGGTCTAACCATATAGTGGGATGCTAAAATTCATGTTAAGTGTACGGGCCACGGGAAAGTTTCTCCTTGCCCTCTGAAGATTTACTGAAAAATCAACTCACAAAAAGCAGATTAATTGAAGAAAAGGCATACAAATTTTATGAATGTGTGCACAGGGAGAATTACAGAATGATTTCCCACCACCCAACAAGGTTCAGAAGCTTGTAGACCATCTTGGCAAAACAACTTACAGGAGGGGAGAAAGAGGAATTCTTTCAAGGGGCAATAAAGGATTACTAGGGAGAAGGAATGGATCAGGGCACAGAGATTAACTTGTACGCTATCCTATGAAAGGGTCTTTTCAGGTGTGGTTACATTCTTGGTCTTACAGGGAGGGCAAGAAAAACAGTTGTTCTCCTTGGAGGGTCTGGACTTTAAGCAGATAAAGACATTTTCTGTTTTGGGAGAAACCAGTGGGGAGGGAGATCAGAGAGACCTTGAGACTTCTTCAGTTCAGCTTGTTAAAGTGCCATATTTTGGGGTTATTGGTTTCTGAACCAGATTTTATGTCAGTAAACATGTATTCCTTATGTTTAAAAGAATGCTTATTTAGGCCAGGCATGGTGGCTCACGCCTGTAACCCCAGCACTTTGGGAGGCTGAGGCAGGCAGATCACCTGAGGTTGGGAGTTTGAGACCAGCCTGACCAACATGGGGAAACCCTGTCTCTACTAAAAATAGAAGAATTAGCCAGGTGTGGTAGTGGGCGCCTGTAGTCCCAGCTACTGGGAGGCTGAGGCAGAATTGCTTGAACCCGGGAAGTGGAGGTTGCAGTGAGCCAAGATCTCGCCATTGCACTCTGGCCTGGGTGACAGGGCAAGACCCTGTCTCAAACAAACAAAGAAAAAATTCTTTTAGTTTGATCTCCTTCATTTCATTACTCCCTTGAATCAGGCATTTAGGATTTAGGATTTCCCATTCCTCAAACTCTTCCTAACTCTGGTCCTCCTGGATTTGTCCTTATTTTGGGTGTCACAAGTTCGCGTGGCTTTACCTATCAGCTCCCATTTACAGAGCATTAATTATCTTCTGAACTCAAGGTAGCAGTTATGAATTTCTTTACCGAAGAGGACAAGGAGGCTCAGAAACATTGACTGGATTCTCCCAGGAGGAAAAGAGACCATGCATCACGCAATGTTTACTAACATTTAAAAATAGTTACAAATGTTTACAAATATTAATTCATTTAATCTTCACAGAGAGGAAGGGACTTATTTTTAGCCTTATTTTTCAAATAAGGAACTGTGGCCCTGGAAAGGTTCTATCTTGCAGGGGCTCCTGGGGCTGGTAATTGGTGGAGCCCAGATTCCAACACAGGTATTCTGGCTTCAGAGCTAAGGTTTTAATCACTGCTTTGCTGTCTTGTATTCTTAATAGTAGTAAACATTTTTAAATAGTGGTTGTTAATGATATTTTACTTTTAACTTTAATTTTATTTTTAAAAATGAAACGGGCGGGGCGGGCAGGGGGTCATCTCAATATGTTGCCCAGGCTGATCTCAAACTCCTGGGCTCAATCGATCCTCCTGCCTCGGCCTCCCAAAGTGGTGGGATTACAGACGTGAGCCACTGCGTTCGGCCAGTGATATTTAATATAATACTAAAAATGTTATCAACAATGGTTTACATTGTCCAGAGCTTTTTATTAAGCATTTTCACTTAGATCATTTTTGGAAACTCATTTTGCAGAGAGAAGAACTGAAGCTGAAAAATCTACCTGCCTAAGGACTCATAACTTGTAAGAATAGTTGTGAAACCTCACTGGAGGAACTGCAGATTCATTATTTTTCTTAATAACACACTATAAAGAATAATAAAAGTGCTTCGCATTGCCTAGAGCTTCACAAGGCCACTTTATACACATTTTACAATGGGTACCGTCTCAGAGAGGCCAGCAACTCGTCCAACACAGCACTGCAAGTAAGAAGTAGGAAAGTTATTGTTTTGCTTAATAATAAGGCCTTACGCTTCAGGGCTAAAGAAAAGCCTTTTCTTACAGAAATTAAACTCCAATTACAGAAAGGTGTGAAGTTCAGTAAGGCCCTGGGGCAGGTTATCCTACAGCTTTTGGCACCGCAGGCACCGCCCGGCGAGTTCCGGCCTCCAGGCACCTGGGCAGGTGGGCGTTGGGCGGGCTGCGGGCTGACCTGGGCCGCCCCGCCCCCACCCCGCCCCAGCTGTCCCCGGGCTGCTCCGAGAGGACCCCGGGCCCACCTTACCCCACCTCACCCCACCTCCACCCCTGGAGCGCGTCCCGGAGCGGGCGGGCGGCCGGCGGGCCAGGCCCCTCCCCGGCGCCGAGCCGCGGCCGCGCGGAGGAAGCGAAGGAGGCGGGAGCGGAGACCTCGCTGCGCTCATGGCGTCGCCCGGGTGAGTGCCGCCTCGCAGGCCCTGCGCCCCCGCGGCTGCCGGCAGGAACGGGAGCGGGACCCGGAGCGGCTCTGGCCTGCGGGCTCTGGTCTGGGATGCGGCCCGGACCCGGCCAGGGGCGCCCCCGCCCGCCAGGCCCACCAGGCCCACGGCCCGCTCGCGCCGACCTTGGGCGGACCGGCCGCGCGGGCGTGGGGGGCGGGCGGGGGCGCCGGCGGAGGACAGCGGTCCCCCGGGATGCGGGGGTCCGGGTACGCGGGCCTAGGGGATCCGGGGAGGGCGCGAGGCCCGGAGGTGCCCGGGGCGCGGCGGGAGCGAGGGCCCGGCGAGCGGCTGGGGAACCGGGGTGCGGGTCCTCGCCGCGGCCCGGGGCAACCCGCGGAGGCCTGGAAATGCTTCGCTCCGGCGCCTGGTATCGATGTTCCTGGGTTTTAAACTTGCTCGCGTTGGGAGTGGACGCTTGTTTGCCGCGTCGTTGAGACGTACCCAGAATGTCAGGATCCGGGCAGATGCAGACCCTTTGCTGACAGCCGGAGAGCCGCTCCGGGATCTCCTTGGTCGGGGCCATTGCCTACCGGCCTGCCTTGGGGTGGCTGCGCTTATTTTGATATTACCTCTTTTCAACTTTTTTGATTTAAATGTTATTCCTTTTAGGAAATGATGGCGACACATATAGTTTGTAATTTTTGAGAAAAAATTCTCACTTGGCAAACTAAAACCTCAGTAATTCATTATTTTTTTGTTTTTTGTTTTGATAATTTTACTAGTACTGAAATTTGGGAATGACAGTCCAACACTTTCATTTTACAAAGAAAGAAATTAGGCTCAAGGTCATCGCTTTAGTTGTTAAAATTCTTCTTTGACTGTTACCCATCATTCAGAGGGTCTTGGATCTAGTGGCTGTGATAGCCATTCAGAACAGTTCCCAAAGAGCTTTACAGGTGTGTGTTCAGTGGTAGGGGTGGGGAGGGGACGGTGCTAAGGGGCCGGGATCATGGATTTCGTGCCTCCTCCAGATGAGGCCTGAGCCATGCCCTGGGGTGATTTGGCTCAGTACAGTGGGCCTGAATGAAGCAAGCTGAATTTGAACCCCGCCTGCTGTCTTTCTAGGCTTTGGGGCAGTGGTCATTTCCGGGACCAGGCCTTTTCATTGCCAGCTGACTACCCAGCACTTTGAGCTCATGAATAGAGTAAGCAGGGAACCATCCCTGGGAAGGCCAGGCTGATTGACCTAGGGGTTCAAGGTCCTGCAGCATTCCTTTCCCCCTTGTCAGGAAAGGGTGGGCAGAGCCTCCTGGAGGCAATGTTGAGGGTGGCTGAACCTGTGTGGGGCTGCCCTGAACGAAGCTTTAAAAAAAAAAAAAATAGTGGTGCATTTGGTGCCCAAGTACACTACTTTGTAGACATGGGTCAGAGGTGGACTTAATGCTTCACTGGTGTTTCTGTGAGCCAGTAGGGCTTAAACTGTGTCCCTGTAGTTGGTGACATTTGGTATTTGCGGTTGTGATTATTTGTGTGACCCCCATGAGTCTGCAGTTTGTAATCTATAATTTTCTGCGGGATATCCATTGCAAAAGCTGAGGTCTCAAAACCTTTAGTATACAAGTCATGCACCACAAAATGACAGCGGAGGACCACGTTATATGACAGTGGTCCCATGCACAAATACTTATCATTGTGTTAGTTGCCTACAGTATTCATACTGTAACATGCTGTACAGGTTTGTAGCCTAAGAGCAACAGGCTGTACCATATTGCCTAGGTGCATAGTACACCTTACGATGTAGGTTTGTGTAAGTTTGCCCTATGATGCTCACACAAGGACCAAATTGCCAAATGACACATTTCTCAGAATGTATCCCTGTTGTTAAGTGACTCATGACTGTTGCTTTATTTCATTTTGTGGGGTAAGCTATGCACATATTATGTACACTGGCAGACATAGCTCCTAAGTGTCCACTTCTACAGGCTTCCCTGGTAGATCAGAGTCTAGCTAGGAAGACAGTGCTTTCTGAGACCCTCAGGGCTATCTCAGTCAGCCAGCTAGCAAACATTTAAGCTACTGCACTAGGTATCTTAGGGAGCAAGTCCACAGATAAAGGGCAGGGATGGGAAGGGACTGGTGATCTGGACTGGGCTAGTCATAGAGGAGTCTCCAAATTGATGTTTTTATTAAGTGACAATCTCCATGAGTTGGGAAGGAAAGAAGAAACGCTGACCATTTTTGAGGACCTTATGAATATGCCAGGCATTGTGCTAAATAAAGGAAATGGCAATCAAAGGATATGAAGGCATCAAAGGAAAAGATGTGTTTGAGAAATGCCCCATGGCCCAGTGTGTTTGGAGCTAAGTGGAGACAAGTTCAGAGGATGAGACTGGGACCAGATGATGGGACCTGGTCCCGTTTGTGGACTCACTGCCCACCACTCGCTGAAGGTAAATGAAACTATTTGCATTGGTGGAGCTCTCAGAGAATCAATGTGACAGCAGTATAGAGACGGCAGAGAGGGCAGAAGACAGGGAGCAGCTCATGCTGCCATCTCCCCTCTTTCGAACAGGCCTCACTCAACAGCTCATCTCTTGTCTTTGCCCCTTGCTTGGCTGTCTCACAACTGCCCAGATCTTCCTTGTCTGCCAGCTCCTCTGCCTGCTCTTTCACTGTTGGGGTTTCCTTGGGCTCTATAATCCATCTCCGCTAGTCCCAACACATGTTCTCTGCATGGTCACATCTGTTTTAGTGGCTTTAACTGTTGTCTGAATCAGAGGTTCTTAACTTAGGCTCCATGATTCATGGATGGGCTTCTGGGGGTCCCTTTGTTCTCTGAAATTGTATGCAGCATTGGGAGTAGTGTGTAATTTTCCTGGGCACAAGGTCTGTAGCTTTCAACAGATTTTCAAAGGGGCTCTTATCCTTAACAATGTTACAACTATTCATCCTAAATTTCCAGATTTTCATTTCCAACTACACTAGATACAGCTCCTCAAGTTTCTTTAACCTGGGTTAGCTGTGTGAAGTCTATATTTTTCAGATTGTTACTGATGGATAATTTGAAAAACAATAAATAAAGATCAAGTATAATTGGCTTTACATAGACCACCGATCTTAAAATCTTAAAAAGATTTTAAATAGTCACTTATTCTTATCAGAGTGACAGCTTTACAGAAACAACTAGCATCCCTCCTCCCTCCCATCTGAGTTTGGGGGGGTACCCTGACAGATGTTTTCCTTTGCATTTACATACTAAGTTTGTTCCTTGCTCTGTTTTTACATAAATGCTATCATACTGTTCTGCAGCTTGCTTATTTGCCCAACAATATGCCTTGAAATTCTTTCCATGCCAGAACAAGGAACAGATCCACATACATTTGTTTTTTGTTTTTGATTTACCTACATTTTTTTTCTCTCTTTCTCTTTCTCTCTCTCTCTTTTTTTTTTTTTTAATAGCAGTGGGGGTCTCATTATGTTGCCTATGTTGATCTTGAACTCCTGGGCTCAAGCCATCCTCCTGTCTCGGCCTCCCAAATTGCTGGAATTATAAGCACATTACACAGTGCCCAGTCTACCTACATTTTGACAGACATATAATATTCCATGGCATGGTTACATTATTCAGTTAAGAATGTTCCCGGTTTTCTCTAAGATAATGCTGCCCATCTGTGTCTCACTCTGGACATGTAGAGTACCTGCAAAGACTTGGACTGCTTGAGCAGAGGGCCTGCTTTTGTTTTTTGTTCTTCCTGCCTGTTGTAACTTGATGCTGCCAAATGATCCTCTTAAATGATTGTACCACCTTCCCTGCCACCACCAGATTTTAAGGATTCTCTGTACCTCCCAACACATGATGACATCATACATGAAAAGTTTTGCCTGCCTGATGGAATAATTGAGTCAAGAAATAGGATGCTAATGGCATCTTCGCTTACCCGGTCTTTAAAGATAGAAACTTCATCCCTGACCTCTGTATTCCCTTAGAAAGATTCCGCTTTTTTCTTTGATCCAGTGGGTAACAGCAAGTGAGTAAGTTGATCTCCATAAGTAACTCTCACTCCTCAGCGCTTTGTTTCAGAAAATATGGTCCCTTTCTGGCCAGGAGAAATGGAGTAAGACCTGCCCTAGAAGGGAGGAGCTCGGACACAGAATGGGTGGAAGGACCTGTGGGGTCCGAGTGGGGCTGTGGAGAATGCTTAGCTATATAGAGGTGGGACTCATGGTAGTGGATGAGGTGACTGAGTGATTGAAACCCAGGAATGTGTGGCTAATTGGGGTAGAGGAGAAGCCATCACTGGACGACAAACCCAAGGCCAGTTGTTCCTCTGTGGACTGAGTCCTTGCCTGAGGAAGGAGGGCACACGCACCTTGGCACCTGCCCCTCTTCTTCCCCCCTCCTCCTCCCTCTCCACCATCTTCTCCTCCCCCTTCCCTTCCCCTCCTCCTCCCTCTCCTCCTCCCTTCTCTGTTCTGTCTCCGTTCCTCCCCTCCACTCCTTTTCTTTCCTCTCGCCTGCTCCTCTCTCCTCCCCAGTGACCTCCTCAGGTCCTTTCCCCAGCCCACTGTTCCTTTAAACATTCAGCTGGAGACCTCATCCACCCTCCTGGCTGCTCCTCTCAGGAACATCTCGGCTCCTGGGAATTCTCAAGGACTCATCTACCTTGGAAGCTGAAAGCACCCCCATTAACATCCATTGGCTGTCAAAAGTACCTGACTTGACTTTTAACCTTTTGTCTTTGCTGTCCAGGAAGATTCTCTCCCACCACTGTCATTTTATGGGAAGGGAAAGGCTCAGCTTTCCCACTGGAGGCCCGGCCTGGTCTGAATGGGCCAGGCCACAGCCCTAGAGCTCACAGGCCCTCTACACTGGGTGAAAGATGGGTCCTCTGGCCACACTGGGGGAAGGGGAAAGGGGGCCCCGTAAACCACACTGAGAAGGAAGCATTAAGAACTCAAGATGTATCTTTGCTCTTGGGAGAAGTCCAGCAGGACCCTTATCTTGCTCAGTAGCTGCTGTGACTTCTGCAGAAGGGACCTAGCTTTGCCAGCAGGACTGAGACTTTGTATTGGCTCTCTGCTCACGGATGTGGGATTGCCCAAAAAGCCAGCAGCCACCCAGAGTGTTCCCTACGCTGGACGTACGGGAGAACTAGCAGGGATAGAAAAGGCCAGAAGTGTCCCTGGTTCTTTAGGACAGCTCTCCAAACTTCACTCACCTGCCCATGGGTGGCAGAGTGCACCAGGACTTCATGGGATGCAACAGCCATGCCGTTGACCTCTCCATGGGGATGGACTGAAGAGCCCACCCCAGCTCAGGGGAGAGCCTCTCATCCGGAACCACGAGTGACAGGGACTTTCCAGTCCTAGGGAATGTTCTTTTAAATTTAGATCCTGCCCACCCCCAACAAGTGTGCTGTCAGGCCCTATTCTAAATGCTGTTGCGTATATTAAGTTATTTAATCTTCACAGCAACCTATTCAATAAGGACTGTTATTTCTAGTATAGAGAGGAGGGCTCCTAGGCCTGGCTAAGCAGTTTAAGATAAAATGCAAAATGACCCAATTCAGGATGATTATAGTTGGTTTAAATTTGGTTGCTGAGGCACAAACAAAAGTGTTGGATTCTGTAGTTTTTGTTGTGATTACAGAACACATGCAGTATCTTCCAGAACCCTTTGATAAAGCTGAAGTAAGGATGGGCTCACATGGCCCACGTGAGTAAGAAGCTGTGTTGACAGAGTGGACGATACCTTCAATTATGGCTTAACAAAAAATGCCTGAAAATGGAATAACTTAGAAGGAACTCTTCCTTTAAAGGATTTAATGGCAGGTGCAGTGGCTTACGCCTGTAATCCCAGCACTTTGGGAGCCTGAGGCAGAAGATGGCTTGAGCCCAGGAGTTTGAGGCAGCGGTGAGCCATAATCATACCACTGCACTTAAGCCTGGGCAACACAATGAGACCCTGTCTCCTGTCTTTAAAAAAAAGAGACAGAGACCTACCTGTATGCTAGGAGCATCCTTCTCACTGTAGGTCAGATGTGGTGGTTCTGTTTTAAATTTGCTGAATTGTGACTTTTTTTCTTTTTCTTTTTTTTTTTTTTTTTGTTTTGGTTTTTTTTGAGGCAGGGTCTCACTCTGTCGCCCAGGCTGGAGTGCAGTGGTGTGATCTCAGCTCACTTCAACCTCCACCTCCTGGGTTCAAGCGATTCTCCTGCCTCAGCCTCCTGAGTAGCTGGGATTACAGGCGTGCACCACCATGCCTGGCTAATTTTTGTATTTTTAGTAGAGATGGGGTTTCACAATGTTGCCCAGGTTGGTCTCGAACCGCTGACCTTAAGCGATCCGCCTGCCTTGGCCTCCCCAAGGTGCTGGAATTACAGGCATGAGCCACCGCGCCCGGCTGACTTTTTTTTTTCTTTCTTTCTTTTTGAGACAGAGTTTTGCTGAGTCTCCCAGGCTGGAGTGCAATGGCAACAACATGGCTCGCTGCAGCCTCAATCTGCTGTGCTCAGGTATTCCTCCTGCCTCAGCCTCCTGAGTAGCTGGGACTACAGGCGCATGCCACCACACCTGGCTATTGTGGATTTTAAGAAATTTTTTTTGTAGAGACAGGGTCTTACTATGTTGCCCAGGTTGTTCTTGAACTCTTGGGCTCCAGAGAGCCTCCCACCTCAGCCTCCCAAAGTGCTGAGATTATAGGCGTGAGCCACCACACTTAGCCTATTGTGACTTTTTAGGGTCTCTAATACTTTCTTTTAGGGCACTAAAAACTTAATCTTAGATCCAGTTGGTATTCATTTGGGTGAATGAAGTGGTAGGGACCTACCTTAATTTTTTTTCCAGGTTTTTGTGATTGAATAAGTTCCAGATACTCAAAGCGACCTAGATCAGTGATGAAATTTTTGACTGCATTTGGACCTATTTCTGGGATCTCCTTTTACTGATTTCTCTGTATATTCATGAGCAACCTTAAATTATTTTAGACTATTTAATTATTATGTTCTATTTTCTGGAAAGTTTTGTCCTTCACTGTTCTTTTTCAAAATTTTCCTGATTGTTATTTCATAAATATTTTTTCACAGAATCAACTGGTTTTGAACCTCAATTTACTTATAGGTTAATTTAGAGAGAATTGACTTTTAAAATTATATTAAAGGCCAGGCATGGTAGCTCATGCTTATAATCCTGGCATTTTGGGGGGCTGAGGCAGATGGATCACATGATCCCAGGATTTGAGACTGGCCTGGGCAACATAGTGAGATCTCATCTCTTAAAAAAAAAAAAAAAAATTAAGCCTTTCTGCCTAAGATAGAATACTCCTTTAAACATTTTTTATTATATATATAAATATAAATATTTATATTTGTATTATAATAAGGCATATATTATAAATATATATTTATATAAAAATTTTTATATAAATATATATATACACTTTTTGAGATGGAGCCTCACTCTGTTGCCCAGGCTGGAGTGCAGTGGTGTAGTCTTGGCTCACTGCAACCTCCGCCTCCCGGGATCAAGCGATTGTCCTGCCTCAGCCTCCCGAGTAGCTGGGATTACAGGCATGCGCCACCACGCCTGGCTAATTTTCGTACTTTTAGTGGAAACAGTTTCACCATGTTGGCCAGGCTAGTCTCGAACTCCTGACTTCAGGTAATCTGCCTGCCTTGGCCTCCCAAGAGCTGGGATTACAGGCATGAGCCACCACACCCAGCCTTTTTTTTTTTTAACTCTTTCCTCTCTGAAAATCCAGAAATAGATTTCTTTTAAATTAAAATAAATTTATTTATTTATTTATTTATTTATTTATTTATTTATTTATTTTTGAGACAGGGTCTTCTTGCTCTGTCACCCAGGCTGCTGTGTACTGCAGCCTCAAACTCCTGGGCTCAAGCGATCCACCTCAGCCTCCTGAATAACTGGACTTAAGGCACATGCTCCTGGACCCAGTTAATTTTTAAATTTTCTGTAGAGTGGGGTTTCACTGTGTTGCTCAGGCTGGTCTTGAACTTCTGGCTTGGAACTCCTGACCTCAAGTGATACTCTCACCTTGGCCTCCCAAAGTCCTGGGATTATTGGCATGAGCCACTGTGCCCAGCCCTTTTCAGTTCTTCAAGTCTTAATCAGATTCAGTATTTTAAAATTCTTCTCAAATAGGTGTTGCACATTTGTAACATATTATTTTTCTTGTTGCTACTACAAATCGGAGCTCTCTCCTTCCATTGTTTCTAACCTATTTGTATAATAGGAAGGCAGTTACTGATTTTAACTTTGTATGTCCCCGGCTTACTGAATTCTCTCATTGTTTATGATAGTTTTCAGGTTGATCTCTTGGGTTTTCCAGGTCTACCTGCACCATCATTTCTTTGCATTATGGAGAAAATGCAAGTTGATTCTGTCTTTGTTGTGAGTACACTGTGGTGTCAGGTGGAGGTTGTAGAGCATGTATCTTTAGGGAAGTTGCCGACAGTGGTCTCTCCTATACGCGTTGAAGGATTGCCTTTATTAGCTCTCCAAACCCCTTCCAGCTCACGTGCTGGCTTAGCATATCCAAGGGTAGGGGTCTCGGGCCAGTCTGTCAGTGCCAATTTGCTCACGATTCCCTCAAGTCTTGCTTTACCCACAGACCTCCCTATCTGAGACAGGAGCAACTGATTGAACCTGGAAAACTTGAACTTATTTTGGCTTGTGTCTGTAGACACTTTGTGCAGTCTGTTGCAGTCCTTCACAGATGCTTTTGAGAGTCCAGCCACATGCCATTGCTGCTGGTACTATTGCCCAGGTCTGAGCCTTTGTTGTTGTTTTCCTGAATATAAGGCTAGATAATGGAGCGTTTGTGATCCCTTGTCTATTCTCAGCCTGGCAGCCGGTAACATAGACAGGCCTGTCACCCTGCACCCAGGGCCCTTTCATGGCTACCCCATCCTCTAGAATAAGAACAGCCAGAACCTTTTTTTAAAAAATCTTTTTTATTTTTATTTTTTTTCTCTTCCTCTTCCTCCCCAAAGCCTTAGTCTTTTGTGGCCTGTAAAGTTCAGTCGTCTCTAGCTTCTCCTGCTGCCTTCTCCTACTCACTGATCACTCTCTTGCTCAAGCCACTCGGGCCTCCCTGTTGGTCCCTGGGTACGTTAGGGCCTTTGCCCCGGCTATGCCTGCGGCAGTCTTCCCCTGGTAGTCATATAGCTCCTGCCTTCACCTCCTTCCAAACCAGTACTAACACGGCCCTTTCTCCAGCCAACCTGCTCTGCGCTCCCCACCACCATTCTCAGCACACCTGACCTTGGCCTGTGCCTTGTTTTCTCTGTAGCACTTAACATCTTCTAGCATAGCCTTTTAAATTTTTATTTATTTATTTATTTATTTATTTTGAGACAGAGTCTCATTCTGTTGCCCAGGTTGGAGTTCAGTGACAGGATCACGGCTCACTGCAGCCTCAACCTCCTGTGCTCAAGTGATCCTCCCACCTCAGCCTCCCCAGTAGCTGGGGCTACAAGTCCTACACTTCTTAAATATAGGGGATATTGTTGATTACCAATATCCCCTTGCCTTGTTGAACTGTAAACCAAGAGCAGAACCTTTGTGTCCTCATTAATGTATCCTAAATTCCTAGAAAGGTTCCTAGCAATAAATATGTGGATAAATCCAAGAGAACAATAAATATGTGGATAAATCTACAATAAATAATAAATAATAATAAGTCCACAATAAATATGTAGATAAATCCAAGAGAACTTTGCTTAAGATGTATGTAAGTCCCTTTGGATCCTTGTAGCACATCTGAGGCATGTGTGTCAGGGATGATCAGCCTCATTTTATAGGTTAGTATATGTGTGTTTGTAGTGTTTTTTGTTTGTTTACTGTTTGTGCAGTGAGTGTTCCCCTCTCTCTCCAACTTAATGGTAATGTAAGCTGTTGGAGAATTAAGGCTGTGTTTTAAAGCTCTATTTTCCATTGTATGGGGAAACTTACACAGTACTAACTTTTTTATCTTCTAGTTCTTTGACACTAAGTATGTAATAAATTGTAGTTAACCATATTCACCCTACAGAATTACAGAGCACCAGATCCCATTCTCCTACCTAACTGTAATTTTGTATCTTTTTTTTTTTTTTTTTTGAGACAGAGTCTCTCTCTGTCGCCCAGGCTGGATTGTCGTGGCGCAATCTTGGCTCACTGCAATCTCCGCCTCCCGAGTCAAGCAATTCTCCTACCTCAGCCTCCTAAGTAGCTGGGATTACAGGCGTGTGCCACCACGCCCAGCTAATTTTTGTATTTTTAGCAGAGACAGGGTTTCACCACGTTGGTCAGGCTGGTCTCAAGCTCCTGACCACGTGAGCCACCGCACCTGGTGTAATTTTGTATCTTAACCAACCTCTCCCTATCCTCCCCTCTCCCATGCATTCCAGTCTCTAATAACCACAATTCTACTCTATACTTCCATTCACTCAATTTTTTTCTTAGCTCCCACCTGTGAATGAGAACATGCAATATTTGTCTTTTTGTTCCTGACTTAAGGTTCTCCAGGCTCATCTGTGTTGCCACACAGGATATGATTCCATTCTTTTTTATGGCTAAATAGTATTCCTATACATGTATACCACATGTTCTTTATCAGTTTGTATGTTGATAGACAGTTACATTGATTCCCTATCTTGGCTATTGTGAATAGTGCTATATTAAACATGGGTGCACATATTCCTTTGACACACACATTTCCTTTCTTTTGGACAAATAGTAGTGGGATTGCTGAATCACATGCTAGTTTTATTTTTAGTTTTTGAGAAACCTCCATAAAGGTTTTCCATAAAGGCTGTACTAACTTACATTCCCACAGTGTATAAGAATTTCCTTTACTCCACATCCTTACCAGCATTGGTTTTTGTTTGTTTGTTTTTTGAGACAGAGTCTCACCGTGTCATCCAGGCTGGAGCGCAGTGCCATGATCTCACCTCACTGCAACCTCTGCCTCCTGGGTTCAAGTGATTCTCATGCCTCAGCCTCCTGAGTAGCTGGGACTACAGGTGTGTGCCACCACATCCAGCTAATTTTTATATTTTTATAGAGACAGGGTTTTGCCATGCTGGCAAGGCTGGTCTTGAACTCCTGGACTCAAACAATCCATCCACCTTGGCCTCCAGAAGTACTGAGATTATAGGTGTGAGCCACTGAGCCTGGCCTGGTTTTTTGATAATAGCCACTCTAACTGGGATATCATATCTTTTTTTATGATTTTGATTTGCATTTCCTTGATGATTAGGGATGTTGAGCATTTTTTCGTTTATTTCTTGGCCATATATATGTCTTTTGAGAGATGCCTGTTTGATCCTTTGCCTACTTTTCAGTCAAATTATTATTTTTTTTTTGCTATTGAGTTGAGTTCCTTGTATACTCTAGATATCAGTTCTTATTGGATGAATAATGTACAAATATTTTCCCCCATTCTACAGGTTGTGTCTTCACTCTGTTGGCTGTTTCGTTTGCTGTGCAGAAGCCTTTTAGTTTGACATAGTCCCTTTGTCTATGTTTTTTTTGTTTAAATTTGAGACAGAGTCTTTCTCTGTCACCCAGGCTGGAGTGCAGTGGTGTGATCACAGCTTACTCAGCTTCAACCTCCCGGCCTCAAGCAATTTCCCCACCTCAGCCTCTCAAGTAGCTGGGACCACAGGCGTGAGCCACCATGGTTGGCTGATTTTTCCAATTTTTTGTAGAGATGAAGTCTCCTTCTGTTGCCTAGGCTTGTTCTCAAACTCCTAGCTCAAGCGATCCTCCTGCCTCAGCCTTCCAAAGTGCCATAATTACATTCATGAGCCACCAAGCCTGGCCTCAAGAGTTCTCATTATTGATTTCTAGTTTTATTCCCTTGTGATCTAAGAAGACACTTGATATGATTTTGATTTTTAAGAAATTTTTTGGCCAGGCACAGTGGCTCACGCCTGTAATTACAGCACTTTGGGAGACCGAGACAGGTAGATTGCTTGAGTCCAGGAGTTTGACATCAGCCGGGCAACATAGCAAAACCCCATCTCTAAAAAAAATAAAAAATAATAATAATTAGCTGGGCATGGTGGCATGCACCTGTAGTTAGTTTCAGCTACTTGGGAGGCTGAGGTGGGAGGATTGCTTGAGCCCTGGTGGTGGAGGTTACAGTGAGCTCAGATGGTACTACTGCACATCAGCCTGGGCAACAGAACGAGAGTGTCTCAAAAAATTAAATTAAAATTTAAAAAATTTGTTGATTTATTTTGTGCCACTACATGGATCTATCCTGGAGAGTGTTCTGTGTGCTGGTGAGAAGAATGTATATTTTGAAGCTTTTGGATAAAATGTTCTGTAAATGTCTGGGTCTATTTGGTCTATAGTGCAGTTAAGTCTGATGTTGCTTTGTTGATTTTCTGCCTAGGTGATTTGCGGTGCTGAAAATGGGTATTGAATTCTCCAACTATTATCGTATTGGCATTTATCTCTTTAGCTCTAATATTTGTTTTATATATCTGGGTGCTACAGTATTAGATGCATATATATTTACAATTGTTATATCCTCTTGCTGAATTGATCCCTTTATCATTATATAATGACCTTCTTTGTCTTTGTTTTTTCATGTAAAGTCTATTTTGTCTAAGTATAGCTACTCCTGCATACTTTTGGTTTCCATTTGCATGGAATATTTTTTTTTCGTCCCTTTACTTTCTTTTCTTTTTGTGTGAGATGGAGTCTCACTGTCACCCAGGCTGGAGTGCAGTGGTGCGATCTCAGCTTAGTGCAACCTCCGTCTCCCGGGTTCAAGCAATTCTCCTGCCTCGGCCTCCCAAGTAGCTGGGATTACAGGCATGTGCCATCACACCCGTCTAATTTTTGTATTTTTAGTAGAGATGGGGTTTCACCATGTTGGCCAGGCTGGTCTTGAACTCCTGACCTCAAGTGATCCTCCCACCTTGGCCTCCCAAAGTGCTGGGATTATAGGCGTGAGCCACTGCACCCAGCCTTTTTGTCCTTTTACTTTCAGTCTGTATGTCTCTTTATAGGTGAAGTGAGTTTCTTGTAGACAACATAGAGTTGGGTCTCATTTTAATCCATTTAGTTGGAGCACAATGGTACAGTCACTGCCTACTGTAGCCTGGATGTCCCAGGCTAAAGCAATCCTCCTACCTCAGCCTCCTGAGTAGCTGGGACTACAGGTGCATGCACCATGCCCAGCTAATTTTTTCATTTTATTTTACTTTAAAAAAATACATATTTTTTTTGAGACAGAATCATTCTCTATCTCCTAGGCTCAAGTGGAACAGTGCAGTCATGGTTCACTGCAGCCTTGACCTTCCAGGGCTCAGGTGATCCTCTCACCTCAGCCTCCTGAGTAGCTGGGACTACAGCCTGCCACCACACCTGGCTTTTTTATTATTATTATTTTTGGAGAGATGACATCTTGCTATGTTGTCCAGGCCACTCTCAAACTCCTGGAATAAAGGGATCCTCCCACATTGGCCTCCCAAAGTGCTGGGATTATAGATAGGTGTGAACCATCATACCCAGCTTTATTTTATTTTTTTGTAGAGATAGGGGTCTCGTTCACTTGCCCAGGCTGGAATGTCCGGTTTTACTTTCCTGTTTTTTCTTGGTGGCAGATACCATTTGTTTGCTTTCAGATATAACATTCCCCTAAGCACTTCTTGTAGGCCGAGTCTAGTGGTGATGCATTCCCTCAGTTTTTACTTGTCTGGGAAACACTTTATTTCTCCTTTTCTTCTTCAGGGAGTTTTAATTTTTCTTAAACATGTGGTCACTCTCTAGAGGTGGGACACCCCCACCCCATTTTTGGCTTAGATCTTCTCGTGTGTTGACTTGTGTCCCCCTAGAAGGAGTGTTGAAGTCCTAACCCACAGTACCTGTGATTGTGATCTTTTTTGGAGATAGGGTGTGATTTCTAAAAAATTATATGTGATTAGTTAAAATGAGTTCACAGTGGATTAGGGTGGGTTCACATATAATAAGACTGATATTCTTACAAGAAGTGGAGAAGAGACCCAGAGGGGAGAAAGCCATGTGAAGACAGAGGTGGAAGCTGGTGTAGCTGTCAAGCCACACATACACTGTATTAGTTTCCTGTGGTTCCTGTCAAAGGTACCACAAACTGGTGAGTTAAAAAAAAAAAAATTGGGGCTGTTCGCGGTGGCTCATGCCTGTAATCCCAGTACTTTGGGAGGCCGAGGTGGGCAGATCATGAGGTCAGGTGGCTGAGGCAGGAGAATCACTTGAACCTGGGAGGCAGAGGTTGCAGTGAGCCGAGATTGCACCACTGCACTCCAGCCTAGGCAACAGAGTGAGACTCCGTCTCAAAAAAAAAAAAAAAAAAAAAATTGGCTGGGCGCAGTGGCTCACACCTGTATTCCCCACACTTTGGGAAGCCAAGGCAGGAGGATTGCATCAGCCCAGGAGTTTGAGACCAGCCTGGGCTACATAGCGAAACCCTGTCTCTATAAAAAATACAAAAAATAGGCTGGGCAATAGTGGCTCATACCTGTAATCCCAGCACTTTGGGAGGCCAAGGCAGGCCTGATCATGAGGTCAGGAGTTTGAGACCAGCCTGGCCAACATGGTGAAACCGCATCTCTACTAAAAATACAAAAATTAGCTGGGCATGGTGGCACATGGCTGTAATCTCAGCTACTCAGGAGGCTGAGGCAGGAGAATTGCTTGAACCTGGGGGCGTAGGTTACAGTGAGCCGAGATGGCGTCACTGCACTCCAGCCTGGGAGACAGAGCAAGACTGTCTCGGGGGGAAAAAAATACAAAAAGTAGCCAGGTGTGGTAGCGCATGCTGTAATCCCAGCTACTTGGATGGCTGAGGCATAAGAATCACAAGTATGAAATTGCGTTGCAAGAAAGCAGTGGGCAAGTCAGAAAGAAGGGAGCTGACTGTGAGGAGACAAAGGCTTGCTGTGGATTTTATAGGATGGTGTTCGTGCTGTTTTCTGGAGAGAGCTATGTGCAGTACTGATAATGCCAAGGTTGCAGTGAGCTAATTTGCATTTTTCTATCAGCCGAGGGTCTGATGATAGCTGGGCGCAGGAAGATTGTGACTTATTTACGCAGGAGGATTATGTGTCCTGGACCATGAAGAAAGGCAGACTTACAGCTTATGTGCTTTCTCTTTGCTTTTCCTTGGTCCCACCAGCCTGACTCCTTTTCCCTAATTAGGACTCCACATTTAAAAATATATTGTTGATTATAATACAGTGAGTAATTGTACCTGTATTTGTCTGGTGCTCACCTTGTTCAGAATTGTTTTCCTATGCCATCTTGTTTTATGGGCACCATCCAGCAGAGGAACCAGTTTTGTTGCTAGAAATTAGTGATTGATCTGGAGCAAAACTTGGGTTCTGCCCACGAGGTTTGCCCTATCTATTCTAGGCATGGATGGACTGTCCAGGGAGTGCCATATTCTGAGGTAGGTCAGCAGAAAAACAAAGGTGTGACTTCCCCTAGTCGGTAATTACTTATGTGCTGAACACCCAGGTCTGCTAAATCAGAATCTCCAGGTTTTAGCAGAAAAGCTCCTAAGATAATTCTGCTGGGCAGTTAGAAAAAAAAGAAGGAAATGAAAAAGGAAAAGTGAGAAGACAAGGAAAGTTAACCCTGCATTGTCTTCTGTGGCTAGATGGTCAGCAAGACAGATGGCCTCCAGAATGAGCAATGGGCCATCAGCAGACCTGCCGGAAGTAGGGTTCAGCCACATGCCATTTATGGCATGGCTGCCCTGGTGTTGGTCAGGGGCTTGATTCTTTCTGCCAGACAACAAACCAGCCCGTCCACTGGCTAACTTAGTGAGAAGGAGCTGTGGACACCCTGGACCCTGAGGGTGGCGATCAGGTCACCCCTGCCCTGGAGAGATGTCTATGTGGGGAAGTGCCCAGAGGAGGGAAGGTGAGCAGCTGCTGCAGGTGGCCCCTAGGCAGTGTCTGACACCACACCCTGGGGGCTTAAGGACCTTGGCTATTTCCTGTGTTCTGACTGTATTCTGAATACCAAGAGAATATTTACCTTTTAAAAATTGCTTCCATGGCTGGGCGCGGTGGTTCACGTCTGTAATCCCAGCACTTTGGGAGGCTGAGGCGGGTGGATCACGAGGTCAGGAGATCGAGACCATCCTGGCTAACATGGTGAAACCCCGTCTCTACTAAAAAATACAAAAAAATTAGCCGGGCGTGGTCGTGGGCGCCTGTAGTCCCAGCTACTCGGGAGGCTGAAGCAGGAGAATGGCGTGAACCCAGGAGGCAGAGCTTGCAGTGAGTCGAGATCACGCCACTGCACTCCAGCCTGGGCAACAGAGCGAGACTCTGTCTCAAAAAAAAAAAAAAAAAAAGTTTCCAGTGGCCGGGCGTGGTGGCTCACACCTGTAATCCCAGCACTTTGGGAGGCTGAGGTGGGTGGATCACTTGAGGTCAGGAGTTCAAGACCAGCCTGACCAATATGGTGAAACCCTGTCTCTATTAAAAATACAAAAATTAGCCAGGCGTGGTGGCGCATGCCTGTAATCCCAGCTACTTGGGAGGCTGAGGCAGGAGAATTGCATGAACCCAGGAGACGGAGGTTGCAGTGAGCCAAGATCACACCACTGCACTCCAACCTGGGTGACAAAGCAAGACTCCATCTCAAAAAAAAAAAAAAATTGCTTCCAGTAATAAAAGTAGAATGTTTTTCAGCATTGTGAAGGATATGGGGAAAGGGTCATGATTATAAGTTAATAGTGAAGTAGGGTGTGTACAGTAAATATGCTAATTAAGGGCCAGGGTGGGCCCCAGAAGAAGATGAAACTAAACAGCCATTAGTCATCAGGGAGCAAATTGGGGCGTGCGAAAGCACTACTCTTCTATCTGTTAACAGAATGGGCTAGAGCAATGGGAGTAGATTAAGAGGAGGAGAGGACAGATTAACATAGGGTATAATTTTCAAACATATGACAGGAAAGCATTTTTATGATACTTTCTTGTATTTTACATGTGTCTTATTTTTGGAATCAGAAAAACATATATGGTGATATTAGTAATTTTCAAAAACTGCACTGCAGAGAGCTCCCTTGCCCCTGAGTAGGGCCGTTGGAAGTGCTGTTCTCTGCCGTCTTGGTCCGACTCCGCCTGATACACAGACAGGAAACTTAGCAAGGCTTAGAAGTGGGCTGGAGCCCGAGTTGACAGATTGGCTGGTGTTATAATTTTTAAAATTACTGGCTATAGGGTACAGTGGCTCATTATTTTTTGTTGAGATGAGGTTTTGCCATGTTGCCCAGGCTAGTCTTGAACTCCTGGGCTCAAGTGATCCCCTTGCTTTGGCCTCCCAGATGCTGGAATTACAGGCATGAGTCACTGCACCCTGCTCTAAAATGATACTATTCTGACTGCAGCATCCCCCTCCACATTTCATGTTCTGATGTGAGCAAGAGAGCCTTCTCTTTCTGCCCATGTATTTATTATCCATGTGGACTCACTAATTGCTGGTTTTCAATGGTTTTAAATCAGTTACTGTGTTTATGTTTGTGCTCACATTGTCCTAGATTTGACCAGTGAGAGTTCCTCAGGCTGGCTCCTGTGCCCATCATGTTTTCGAGCATTTCCTTACTTTCTGAAATAAGATGCTCAGGCTCCTCCTGTTCTTTCCTTGCCCCAGCCATCATTCAGGATCTCCAAGGAGTCCGTTTCTTTTAGCGTGGAAGGTATTAAAGGGTGCTAGGCATGCCCATTGCCACAACAGTGTCTTTGCTTCTTGGCCCTTTCCGTGGACAGTTAGGAAATAGATGCATGTGTACACTCGTATACACACAGAGATATGTGTGCACACCTACATCTACACACTTAAACACATATGCACATAAGCATGCATATAGAAATCACAGTTCACACGAGTGCCTCCAGTTCCATTGCGCCTCTGCAAGTTCTGCTGTAACTCTCCATTCTATGTTTGTATGTCCTTTCTTCAGCAGTTAGTTAGCACCCTGGCTCCTGGCAGAATCAATACATTTACTCATTTGCTCACTCTATGATACATCTAAAATAGTTTAGTCTTTTTTTTTTTTTTTTTGAGATGGAGTTTTGTTCTTGTCACCCAGGCTGGAGTGCAGTGGTGCGATCTCGGCTCACTGCAACTCTGCCTCCTGTGTTCAAGTGATTCTCCTGCCTTAGCCTCCGAAGTAGCTGGGATTACAGGCGCCTGCCACCACGCCTGGCTAATTTTTATATTTTTAGTAGAGACAGGGTTTCACCATGTTGGCCAGGCCAGTCTCGAACTCCTGACCTCAAGTAATCCGCCCGCCTCAGCCTTCCAAAGTGCTGGAATTGCAGGCGTGAGCCACCACACCAGGCCTAAAATAGTTTATTCTTAATTAGACTGCACTTATCATAGCTATTTAAAATAATTCAGGATCACCCCTTCCAGACCACAGTGTTAACTTCAGATGAACATCCTTCTAGAGTTCTGTATATATACCTATAGATAAACATACACAATTTTATTAAATTGTAATCATACTGTGCATACTTTTCTGTAGCCTGACTTTCCCCCGACTAATTAATATAACAGCTTTCCCTAATATCTCATCCAGCATCTTTTTGTCCACAAAAGAAATCCATAGCGTATTTTTTAATGGCTGCAGAATTTGACCATAATTCCGTTATTGCACTTTGATTTTAAAAGGCATCAGTTTTTCGCTATTATATATAAAGCTGGCATCAACATCTTTGTAACTAAATCTTAATTATTTCCTTAGGATAGAAGTGGAATTACTGGGCAAAGGGTATGTATATTTTTCTGTCTTTCTGAATGACTGTATTTGTGCTCTGGCCAGCAGTTTTGGAGAGTGCTGGTTTTCTAGACCAGTGTTTCTCAACTGTGGGTGCATATCAGAATCATTGAGGGCACTTTTAAAAGCAGTGATACCCAGGACCAGCTCCCAGAGATTCTGGTTTCATGGATCTGGGGTGTGACCCAGGGTTTATAGTTTTTAAAAGCTCTCCAAGAGATTTTATATGCGGCCAGTTTGATAGGTGAAAGTGGTATTCCATTTTTTTAATTATAATTTTCTTCTGAAATTGTTTCAGGCATTCAGATTTGGGAGAAGTAGCCCCAGAAATAAAAGCATCAGAGAGACGAACAGCTGTGGCCATTGCAGGTAAAGTTGGATGAATTGGATGTGGGCCCACTCTGGAGCTGAAGTACTTCTCCTGTCCCCTTGGGATTCTGGGTTCCAGCCCCTCCTGGACTTGGGATTGTGCATCTCAAAAATAAATAAGTTTAAGGCTTTTATTTTTCCTTTTACAAGAAGATTCCATCTAAGGGTCTTTTAAGCATTCCTCATATATTCAAAATAGTGTTTTTTGTTTGTTTTTTTTATGGGCAACACTTTATTCTAGAAAATGGAGTAAGTGTTCCCAGGATTCAGTTAAACAGGTGATTATGACACAATTTAACAGAAACACATTACCCCAATTTTAGCATAACTGCCATTGTAGGTCATAGTTAAGGTGACTGTATAGTTTATCTTCTAAAGTGGGCACTTCTGAGAGTGAAAGGGATGTAATGTTGGGAAAACAGGTATAAATTGGGATTGTCCCAGAGCACACTGGGGCTTGTAGTCTTCCTGGTTATGGTCCATACAGGCTGGTTTTTCTTTCTCTGAGGATTTGGGGGTGGGGCTGTAACGCCACCCTTTGTAAATTCACCTTTAAGGTATGGTGGCCACACTCCAGATATCTTTAGCTCTCTTACTAACTCATTTTGTTTTATATTTTCTTTTCTTTTATTATTTTATTTGATATTTTATTTTATTTTTTGAGACCAAGTTTCGCCTTTATTGCCCAGGCTGGAATGCAGTGGCGCGATCTCAGCTCACTGCAGCTTCCACCTCCTGGGTTCAAGTGATTCTGCTGCCTCAGCCTCCCAAGTAGCTGAGATTACAGGCATGCGCCACCATGCACGGCTAATTTTTTGTATTTTTAGTAGAGATGAGTTTCACCATGTTGGCCAGGCTGGTCTCGAACTCCTGACCTCAGGTGATCCACCCGCCTCAGCCTCCCAAAGTGTTGGGATTACAGGCGTGAGCCACCGTGCCCAGCCAGTAACTCATTTTAGATATATCTTTCATAAATTAGGTTCTTCTTAAAATGAATGTGCTAAAAAAATAAACTATGTTTTAACTGCCAAAAAAAAAAGTGTTCTATTGGATATTAATAGAGTTATGCAAAAACAAAAATCCACAAAAATATGCAAATAAGTTTTGGTTAATAAAGTTTTATTTTAGGCTGGATACAGTGGCTCACACCTGTAATCCCAGTACTTTGGGAGGCCAAGGCAAGAGGTTCGCTTGAACCCAGGAGTTTGAGACCAACCTGCGCAACATAGTGAGACACCGTCTCTATGGAAAAAATCACTATTTTATTCATTCAAACAAATATTTTTTGAGTACTTACCATGCACTAACATTGTTGTAAGCATTGCGATATTGTAAACAATAGTAAATGAAAAGGCTCAAAGCCCTTCATGGAACTTAAATTCTGGAAGGTAGGCACCATGGGGATTATTGGCCAGTTGGTCAAGGCTTGTAGCAGAATTGGGATCAGGCAGTAATTGCCCAAAGCCCTTTAGTTTCTCCACATCTAGAATTATGCTATTCAACACAGTAGCCACTAGGCACATTGTTTAAAATTAAACAGAATTAAAACTTCACCTCCTAAATACTCTAGCTGTATTTGCTCAGCAGCCTGCATGGTGAGTGGCTGCAGCTTGGACATTGCAGATGGAGAACTTCAGCTTGGGAGGTTCCCTTGGGGAGTGTTGTTCTAGACAAATGAGAAAGAAAGCATGGGGATGGGGCGAGGAGAGGGAATGGCCTTATTGGATGCTTATTGTGAGCTAGGTTGTCTTAATTACTTTTAACTATGACCTCTAAGATACTTATCAATCCCTGTTTCATTTGAGGAAACCAAGGCACAGAGACACCCTGGTTCTTCCCCGAACTTTGATCTCTGTGTCTCTCTCTACTGAATAAACCTCCAGTGGTTATTCTTTATAGTTGTTCTTCATGAGTTATGTGAGTTCCTCTTGAGCATATGCTTCATTTTAAAGACTTAAAGCAAGGTTTTAAGCCTATAGGATTAAAAACAAGTTGTATTAAAGTATACTATACAGGCCAGGTGCAGTGGCTCATGCCTGTTATCCCAGCACTTTGGGAGGCCGAGATAGGCAGATCACTTGAGGCCAGGAGTTTGAGACTAGCCTGACCAATGTGATGAAACCCCGTCTCTACTAAAAATACAAAAATTAGCTGGGAGGGATGGTGGGCGCCTGTAGTCTTAGCTACTCGGGAGGTTGAGGCAGGAGAATCGCTCGAACCTGGGAGGTGGAGGTTTCTGTGAGCCGGGATCATACCACTGCACTCCAGCCTGGGCGACAGAGCAAGACTGTCTTTAAAAAAAAAAAAAAAAATTATACTATACATTCAGAAAAGTACTCCAATTAATAGCTTGAGAAATATTCACAAACATGAACTTACCTATGTAAGCCAGAAACCAGATCGAGAAGCTGAAGAAAACCCATGCCCCCAAAGGTCCCTTCCAGTTACTTCACCTCTCATCTGTCATTATCTGGACTTCTAAAAGGATAGATTAGCTTTGCCTGGTTTATACTTTATGTAGTCACACGATATAATTTATTTATCTTACTCAACTCTGAAGATTCTACTTCATAGCTCATTCTATTTTTGTCTCACTCCATCACTCAAGCCGGAGTACAGTGGTGGCCATCATAGCTCACTGCAGCCTTGACCTCCTGGCCTCAAGGGATTCTCCTGTCTCAGCCTCCCAAGTAGCTAGGACTACAGGTGTGAGCCACTGCACCCGACTAATTTTTTAAAAAACTTTTTGTAGAGACAGGGGTCTTGCTATTGTGCCCAGGCTGGTCTTGAACTCCTGAACTCAAGTGATCCTCCTGCGTTTTCCTCCCAAATTGCTGTGGTTACAGATATGAACCACCCCACCTGGCTTGAAAATGGTTTTAATGGCCTTACTTGGAGTTCTCCAACAATGGGCTCATAACAGTTATTCCTGGGCTCACCATGGTGGTAGGGCCTGGCCTATCCTCTGTCCCTGTGTTCCGTGTGAGCCCAGTACTCCCAGAGTCAGAGCTTATCTCATCCTTAGGTCACTTCCTGCCCAATGTGAAGTATAGTGGAGACGTTGGCTCATGGAGCTGAGCCCTCAGTGGCCCCCCATGTTTGCTGTTTTGTGTCTTTGCCTGGAGCCCTGCTGCTTCCTCTTCCACCTGCCCCACAATCTGCTGATGGCTGCAGAACATCAGGCTCTCTCCGAACCCTAGTCAGTGGTTTCCTTAGTTTGGTAACCCTCAGTCTTTGGCTACTTTGTGCATCCTTGACCTCATCCACCTATTAAATCCACATCAGAGCTATTTCCCACCCCTAACCAAGCAAGGCCCTATTTTCTCTGGGTCTGGAGGTTACTCCTGACTCCAGCTTAAAACTACTCTCAGAACCACCCTAACCCTATCTCTGGCATCTTTAGACTTTCCCATTCTTTTCTCTAACCATTTTCTCTCCTCACAGGGCATTTTGGGTTCCTTGGAAAATTTGTTCTGATGGCTTTTCCTCACTTGAATAATGTAATCTTTGGACTGCTTGGCATTGTGGTTGATGTGTGTGGATCTTGTGCCTTCTCTGATCTTCTCATGCTTCCTGGACCCCATTTTCTTTTTCTCTTTCCTGCTTTTCACATGTCCATCTCCCAGAGATATCATCAAAGAAGACGGTTTGAAATGTTAGGTTTATCTACCTGATTACATGGAAATCATGAGAAAACATAAATCTGAAAATATCCGAATCTTGATTCATAAGCTCTTAAAAATATAAATTTTGGGGCCGGGCAAGGTGGCTCACGCCTGTAATCCCAACGCTCTGTGAGGCCAAGGCAGGTGGATCACAAGGTCAGGAGATCGAGACCATCCTGGCTAACACGGTGAAACCCTGTCTCTACTAAAAATACAAAAAAATTAGCTGGGTGTGGTGGCGGGCGCCTGTAGTCCCACCTACTCAGGAGGCTGAGGCAGGAGAATGGCATGAATCCGGGAGGCAGAGCTTGCACTGAGCTGAGATCGCGCCACTGCGCTCCAGTCTGGGCAACACAGCAAGACTCCATCTCAAAAAAAAAAAAAAAATATATATATATATATATATATATATGTATATATATATATATTTATATATATAAATTTTGGAACCTAGGTGTTACTTTTTCTTGGATCAAAGTCAAAATAGTCAAAACATGCACTGAGAAGTCTTGCTCCCTCCTTCCTAAGCCTCCTGTTCGCTCCTTTATATTGTGTGCTTGCAAGCAAATCTAGAGTTTTAGGTCTTTGTTCATACATAAATATCTGACTAGCACTACATTAAACACATTTTGTAATTAAGATGTTAATGTTGATGGACATTTCATGATGTTTGGAGACTTTGGACAAATAACAGTTCACTTGTAAGTCACAACTCTTCCCCACTGTCTCTCCCCCCGCACCTCACCTCTGTGTATTTGTGCTCTGATGTACATTTCAATTTTAAGTGATTACAAAAATTCCTTATGCTGGAATAAAAATAACATTGACAGGTGCTGAATTTTTAAATAGTCAAGGAATTTCTGTCAACTTACATTTTAAATAGTTTCTAAAATCAAAGGTTAATCTATGTAAGTTTTATGGTTATTCATGTTTTATTTTCCCAAAGTTTAGAAAATTCTATAAAGATATATCCTAGAGCAAATCTGTGTCTTGTGTGTAGCTATTACTACCTTGTGATGTATTTTTTGCTGGCAAAACATTACATTTACATAGGAAAAACTGAAACCAATAATAGCACTAAAACATCAGCCACCATATTGTCACTTGACGTTTTTTGTTGTTGTTTGGTGTTTTTTTTTTTTGAGACAGGGTCTTGCTCTGATGCCCACGCTGGAATGCAGTGGTGCAATCACAGCTCACTGCAGCCTTGACCTCCCAGGCTCAAGTAATCCTCCTGCCTCAGCTGGGACCACAGGCTCGTGGCATCATGCCCAGCTAATTTTTGTTTGTTCGTTTGTTTTTGAGATAGCCTCACTCTGTCGCCCAGGCTGGAGTGCAGTGGCATGATCTCAGCTCACTGCAACCCCCGCCTCCTGGGTTCAAGCAATTATTTTGTCTCAGCCTCCCAAGTAATTCCAAGCTGGAATTACAGGCATGCGCCACCACGCCCAGCTAATTTTTGTATTTTTAGTAGAGATGGTTTTTCGCCATGTTGGCCAGGCTGGCTGGTCTCAAATTCCTGACCTCAAGTGATTTTCCTGCCTTGGGCTCCCAAAGTGCTGAGATTACAGGCATGAGCCACCATGCCTGGCCTAATTTTTTAAAAAAAGTCTTTGTAGACACAGGGTCTTGCTTTGTTGCCCAGGCTGGTCTCAAACTCCTGGACTCAAGCACTCCTCTTGTTCAGCCTCCTAAAGTGCTGGGGTTACAGGCATGAGCACTTGAAATTTTTGACAGAAAGGTTCTAACTTGCTGATGAAACTAAATGTATTTGGTTTCTTTTTTCTTCTAGATTTGGAATGGAGAGAAATGGAAGGAGATGATTGCGAGTTCCGTTATGGAGGTAGAAACTACAGGATTTGGCAACAGATTGGACTGGGGAGAGGGGGAGTGGGTAAAGTGACAGATAACCGGGATTTTATATTTAGAACAATTGGGAGAAGTTGCCATCTTGGTGAGAAAGAAGGGTTCTAGGTTTAGCTTCAATTAATTTGTGTCAGCCAAGGGTGCATTATTTGATTGACACTTCATTTTCCATTGCTTTTTCCATAGATGGTACAAATGAGGCTCAGGACAATGATTTTCCAACAGGTAAGCATTTTCTCTGCCTTTTCTCTCTGTTCTATGAAAGGGGGTTATCATCTAGGCCAGCAGTTCCCACACCTGACTGTATCAAATCACCTGGGGAGGCAGAGCACTCAGGTTTAGGATGCCCTACTTCATTAACCCTTTATACATTGTTAACCATATTGCTAAAAAAAAAAAAAAAAAAAAACCCTGGGAAGCTTGCTAACCACATAGAGTAACCAGGCCCCCCCTCCACCACCCAACATACTCACTGCCTTTAATAAGTTAGCATGTTTGGAGGTGAAACCCAGAGATGTTTCATTTTTTAACAAGTTCCTGAAGTGATTGATTCTAATGTACAGCCCGGTTTGGAAACGATTTATCTGGTCCAACGCCTTCATTTGCAGATCAGGATACTGGGCCCAGAGCTTCCAAACAACCTGCCAAGGGCCACACACTGGGCAGAAGTGTTTTCTTTGTCTTTTTCCCATTGCCTTTTACTACCATGCTACTTAAAAAATAAAAAGTTATTCCATGTCTGGACAAGAAAAACAATGTTCCTAGTTTCATTCAGGCAAAGCTAGGAAACCTGAGTAACACCTGTTTTGGCACAATGTGACTCTTCCCATATAGTACTTTTGTTTTTGTAACAAGTTCATAGGTCCCCTAATGTTCTGTGGGGCAGTCCTGTGGCCACAATGCCTGTGGAACTCTCTGAGCAGAGTGTCCAGCACTGTGAGTCCTGCTGGTCGTATGGAAAGTGGTCTTGAATCCATCACTTGACCTTCTTGGGAAACAGGCAGAGGGCTGGGTCACCCAGTGTTTCCTTTCATGGTTTATCTAAGCATCAAAGCAGTATCATACACGTTGCTTCCTCTCTCGAGAAAGGAACTGGAAAAAAGGCTGCAGGGCAGTGGAATTTGTATTTACTTCATGCATTAACATTTAAAGTGACTCAGCACGGTGCCTCACATCCAGCACTTTGGGAGGCTGAGGCAGGCAGATCATTTGAGCCAGAGAGTTCAAGACCAGCCTGAGCAATATGGCAAAATCCCGTCTCTACAAAACATACAAAAACTAGCCAAGTGTCTTGTGCACCTGTAGTCCCAGCTCCTCAGAAGCTGAGATGAGTGGATCTCTTGAGCCTAGGAGATCAAGGCTGCAATAAGCTGTGATCACACCACTGCCTTCCAGCCTGGGTGACAGAGTGAGACACTGCCTCAAACAACAACAAATTTTAAGACAACTAATTAATATGCAGCATGAACATTAGTAAGGTGCTGGGCCAAGACCTGGATGGTGAATGGAATCTTCAGAGGTAGCAATACTGTTTCAAGCATCTAGCTTATAAGATCTTATATTGTATAGGGTGATATTTGAGTATCTGCGCAAGTAAGTGCTCACTTACTAACAGTCTGCACTGAATATTTTAATACATTTAAAATTTAAAACTGCATTAAAGCCAGGCACCATGGCTCACACCTGTAATCCCAGCACTTTGAGAGGGCTAGACAGGTGGATTGCTTGAGTCTGGGTTCGAGACCAGCCTGGGCAACATGGCAAAAACCCATCTCTACAAAAAAATACAAGGATGAGCTGGGTGTGGTGGCACACACCAGTAGTTCCAGCTACTTGGGAGGCAGAGGTGGGAGGATCTCTTGAGCCCAGGAGGTTGAGGCTACAGTGAACTGAAATCATGCCACTGCACTACAGCCTGGGTAACAGAGTAAGACCCTGTCTAAAAAAAAAAGAAAGGGGAGAGGAAAAAAGAAAGAAAAAAAAGAAAACCTGCATTATTGATTTCAGGTTTGCAAAATGGTTGTTTAGCTATAATTGCTGACTCTTTATGCTTAGTGATTTCTTTCTAGTTCCTTTAAAATATTCTCTTATTTCTAGAGAGAAAAAAAACACAAAAAAACATTAACTAGAAAGCCAGAGAGTGATTCAGTGATTATGACTCCTGTGGGAACTTCCCGGTGACTCTGAGTAGCCCACGGAAGCAACACAGTGGGGAGGTGAGGCCTGCATTCAGCTTGTAGGAGTCATGTGCTGCTCACTGTAGCCAATTAATTTTGAGCTCAGTGTTAGATCTTACAGGTTTCTAGAAAGACCAGAAATATGGCTTTTGCAAGAACTCTTCCAGTTGTTAAATGTAGCTTATTTATTTCTGTTCTTTCTTTTGTTTAATGTCACATATATCTGTGGTTAGGTTGGTACCTATTGTACCTTGATGTCCGGGTTCCAGCCCTGCCTTGATCTCAGGTCAGCCTTGAGCACACCCTGAGCCTCCTGTGCCTGCACTCTGCTCTCTGAAGGGGGTCGTCACTCTCCCCATCCTGCTGGGCTCTCCTTCACCAGCTCTTCCCTGGCCCCTAGCTCAGAAACACAGGGTGAGCACTTATGTCTTCATTTCTTTCCACAGTGGAGAGAAGCAGGCTTCAAGAAATGCTGTCACTTTTGGGCCTAGAGACGTACCAGGTCCAGAAACTCAGCCTCCAGGACTCTCTGCAGATCAGTTTTGACAGTATGAAGAACTGGGCCCCTCAGGTTCCCAAAGACTTGCCCTGGAATTTCCTCAGGAAGTTGCAGGCCCTCAATGCTGATGCCAGGAATACCACTATGGTGCTGGACGTGCTCCCAGACGCCAGGCCTGTGGAGAAGGAGAGCCAGATGGAAGAGGAGATCATCTACTGGGACCCAGCTGATGACCTTGCTGCCGACATTTATTCCTTTTCTGAGCTGCCCACCCCTGATACGCCAGTGAACCCCTTAGACCTTCTCTGTGCCCTGCTGCTCTCCTCAGACAGTTTCCTGCAACAAGAAATAGCGTTGAAAATGGCCCTCTGCCAGTTTGCACTCCCACTCGTGTTGCCTGACTCGGAGAACCACTACCATACATTTCTGCTGTGGGCCATGCGGGGCATTGTGAGGACATGGTGGTCCCAGCCCCCAAGGGGCATGGGGAGCTTCCGGGAAGACAGCGTGGTCTTGTCCAGGGCGCCCGCCTTCGCCTTCGTGCGCATGGACGTCAGTAGCAACTCCAAGTCCCAGCTTCTCAACGCCGTCCTCAGCCCGGGCCACAGGCAGTGGGACTGCTTCTGGCATCGGGACCTCAACTTGGGCACCAATGCCCGGGAGATTTCGGATGGGTTGGTAGAAATTTCCTGGTTTTTTCCCAGCGGAAGGGAGGACTTGGACATTTTCCCAGAACCTGTGGCCTTTCTGAACCTGAGAGGTGACATCGGGTCTCACTGGCTGCAGTTTAAGCTCTTGACAGAAATCTCCTCCGCTGTGTTTATATTGACTGACAATATCAGTAAGAAGGAATACAAATTGCTGTACTCCATGAAGGAGTCAACCACAAAATACTACTTCATCCTGAGTCCCTACCGTGGGAAGCGCAACACAAACCTGAGATTTCTGAATAAGTTAATTCCTGTGCTGAAAATAGACCACTCACATGTCCTGGTAAAGGTCAGCAGCACTGACAGCGACAGCTTCGTGAAGAGGATCCGGGCCATCGTTGGGAATGTGCTGCGGGCACCCTGCAGGCGGGTATCTGTGGAGGACATGGCGCACGCAGCCCGCAAACTGGGCCTAAAGGTCGACGAGGACTGTGAGGAGTGTCAGAAAGCGAAAGACCGGATGGAGAGGATTACCAGGAAAATCAAAGACTCGGATGCCTACAGAAGGGACGAGCTGAGGCTGCAGGGGGACCCCTGGAGAAAGGCAGCCCAAGTGGAGAAGGAGTTCTGCCAGCTCCAGTGGGCCGTGGACCCCCCTGAGAAGCACAGGGCTGAGCTGAGGCGGCGGCTGCTAGAACTTCGAATGCAGCAGAACGGCCATGATCCCTCCTCGGGGGTGCAGGAGTTCATCTCGGGGATCAGCAGCCCCTCCTTGAGTGAGAAGCAGTACTTCCTGAGGTGGATGGAGTGGGGCCTGGCACGGGTGGCCCAGCCGCGACTGAGACAGCCTCCGGAGACGCTTCTCACCCTGAGACCAAAGCATGGGGGCACCACAGACGTGGGGGAGCCGCTCTGGCCTGAGCCCCTAGGGGTGGAACACTTCTTGCGGGAGATGGGACAGTTTTATGAGGCTGAGAGCTGTCTTGTGGAGGCAGGGAGGCTGCCGGCAGGCCAGAGGCGTTTTGCCCACTTCCCAGGCTTGGCCTCGGAGCTGCTGCTGACAGGGCTGCCTCTGGAGCTAATCGATGGGAGCACGCTGAGCATGCCCGTCCGCTGGGTCACAGGGCTCCTGAAGGAGCTGCACGTCCGACTGGAGAGACGGTCAAGGCTGGTGGTTCTGTCAACCGTCGGGGTGCCAGGCACGGGCAAGTCCACACTCCTCAACACCATGTTTGGGCTGCGGTTTGCCACAGGGAAGAGCTGCGGTCCTCGAGGGGCCTTCATGCAGCTCATCACAGTGGCTGAGGGCTTCAGCCAGGACCTGGGCTGTGACCACATCCTGGTGATAGACTCCGGGGGCTTGATAGGTGGGGCCTTGACGTCAGCTGGGGACAGATTTGAGCTGGAGGCTTCCTTGGCCACTCTGCTCATGGGACTGAGCAATGTCACCGTGATCAGTCTAGCTGAAACCAAGGACATTCCAGCAGCTATTCTGCATGCATTTCTGAGGTTAGAAAAAACGGGGCACATGCCCAACTACCAGTTTGTATACCAGAACCTTCATGATGTATCTGTTCCCGGCCCTAGGCCCAGAGACAAGAGACAGCTCCTGGATCCACCTGGTGACCTGAGCAGGGCTGCAGCCCAGATGGAGAAACAGGGCGACGGCTTCCGGGCACTGGCAGGCCTGGCCTTCTGCGACCCTGAGAAGCAGCACATCTGGCACATCCCAGGCCTGTGGCACGGAGCACCTCCCATGGCCGCAGTGAGCTTGGCCTACAGTGAAGCCATATTTGAATTGAAGAGATGCCTACTCGAAAACATCAGGAACGGCTTGTCGAACCAAAACAAAAACATCCAGCAGCTCATTGAGCTGGTGAGACGGCTGTGAGTGTGCAGAGAAACCCAGTTCAGGTGTAGGAGGCTGCTGTGGGCAGCCCTGTCTGATGGGG